>NC_000007.14:158396778-158709843 GCF_000001405.40 Homo sapiens | reverse complement strand
GTTGTGTATGAAAATTCCTTTATCGAAAGGCCGGGGATCATGTTAAAGAGGAATTCAACCTAAGAGGGGGAAGAAAACCACTTGCACTGAACAGGAGCTCCCCAGAAGTCCAGAGGGCCCTGCAGAGCCTGGCTCGCCCCACCATTCCCCTCCCCTCACTGTCGGGGACACCAGGTGATGGTATCTGTCTCAGCACCCCCAGTTGTCACCCTCCACCCCTTCCCAAGCTCTCCCTAAGTGTGGCTGTGCCTCCTGGGTTCAAGCGATTCTCCTGCCTCAGCCTCCCGAGTAGCTGGGATTACAGGCGCACGCCACCATGCCTGGGTAATTTTTGTATTTTTAGTAGAGACGGGGTTTCACCATGTTGGTCAGGCTGGTCTCAAACTCCAGACCTCAGGTGATCTGCCCACCTTGGCCTCTCAAAGTACTGGGATTACAGGTGTGAGTCACTGCACCTGGCCTCAGGTATTCCTTCATAGCAGTGTGAGAGCAGACTAATACAGCTTCCTATGTGCTGGAGAGACTCCTCCCCTTCTTGGAGCCAGTGGCTCACTCTGCTGGGCCAGGCCCTGTGTGGCCCTGGAGACCCCTCCTCCGGGCCCCCGGCTGGTGTGACAGAGCCCTCACAGCTGCCCTGCACTGGGGGGTTTTGCCCAGAGTGGCTTTGAAATGGTTATTTTAACTAGGATTCCATGAAGTTCCTAGCTAATGACTTCTTGTTGGTTTAGCTTATTTTCCATGTTACAATTATTATAATTAAATTATAAATCTTGTATTTTCTTATACAGGCAAGGGAAGGGTTTCTGAGAAGCTGATAACAATGGTTTCCTTTGGAGCAGAGGGCTGTGTCCAGGGGGTCTCAGAAGACTCTTCTGTATACCTCTTCTTGCCATGTGAGTTTGAACCGTGTGATTGTGTTACTTGTGCAATTCAAAATAAACTAAACTTAAAAAAAAAAAAAAACCCTGCAAACCCTATGCTTGGCTCACTATGAAAGATATTATATTTTTGGCCGGGCGTGGTGGCTCACGCCTGTAATCCCAGTACTTTGGGAGGGTGAGGCGGGCGGATCACGAGGTCAGGAGATCGAGACCATCCTGGCTAACACGGTGAAACCCCATCTCTACTAAACAAAATACAAATAATAATAATAATAATAATAATAATAATAATAATAATAATTAGCCAGGCGTGGTGGCGGGCACCTGTAGTCCCATATACTCGGGAGGCTGAGGCAGGAGAATGGCGTGAACCTGGGAGGCAGAGCTTGCAGTGAGCCGAGATAGCACCACTGTACTCCAGCCTGGGCAACAGAGCGAGACTATGTCTCAAAAAAAAAAAAAAGATATTATATTTTTATCAAAGATATTTTTGCCAAGTTTTATACCCTTTGAAACTTAGTTTTATATTGCCTTGCCATGTGGTCCACCTTTAATTCTATAAACCTTTTCTAATTTACCACATTGTAAGATTTTAAGAACACAGATGATCTCATGCCTCATTCATTCATTTATTCAGAAAATATTTTCTTCAAGCATCTAAAATGTGCCAGGCCTTACGCCACGGATATAGGACTAAGGATGACACAGTGCTTGACATGGAGGAGATGATGAGGCCTGTGGTAGGGGGCTAAGAGATTGCATTACAGTGAGGGTTATGGGGTTCAGGAAATAAACCCCTATAGAAGGTAAAGCTTGAGCTGAGTTCTGGAGGAGTGTCATCTATTTGCGGGGAAGGTCACATTCCCAGTGAACGGTGATGGCAGCGGGAGGCAGACAGGTTCCTGGGTGGGAAGGGGCAGGTCCCTGGTGAAACCCCACTTTCAAGCCAGGGACAGCCTGAAGTTCCTGGGCCAGGATGCCAGTTCCTGGTGAAGTCCGAGATCCAGAAAGAGAACTTACTTGATGCCTTTCAGCCAATCAAGTAGTGCTTTTTCCAGGCCTGCCCATGGGCCAATCAGCACACACTTCCTCCTGTCTATGGACCAATCAACATGTACTTCCTCCATTCTGAGCCCATACGTGCCTGTGGATAGGAGCTACCCACTTCGAGTCTCCTCTCCACTGAGAGCTATTTGGTCAGCTGTTCTCTGCCTTGCTCACCCTCCAGATGTCTGCCAAACCTCATTCTTCCTGGACATGGGACAAGAACTTGGAACCTGCTGAATGGTGAGAGCAAAACGAGCTGTAATACTTTCCTGGCCAGCTTGCCAAGTTGCAGGTGGGAGCCAAAGTGGCTGTAACGGGTTCCTGGCCGGGTCGCTGAGCTGCGGGTGGTGACACGCTCCCAGACTGAGGGAGTGAAGAGTGGTGACCCTTGTAGAGGCCCAGGCCTTGGGATTCCCCAAGCCAGAGCTATAATGCTATAGCCCTCCCACCCTCTGCTGGCGCCCAGTGGCCACCCCATGCAGTGGGAAGCAGCGGTGGGGCCGGGACAGCCAAGGAGCCGTGGACCGGTGTGGGGCGGCAGGACCAAAAGACCTGTAACACAAATGAGGTGAAACATGCCGCCCCGGAAACACGACCCCCTGCTAGCCACGCTGTGGGTGATGAGAAGGACAGAAGAGCTGTGGCCCTTCTGGGAGCCCAGACCTCGGGGCTCCCCGAGCCAGGGCTGTGACACAGTGTAACCCCCCTTTGGGGCTCTGTGGCTCCTGGCATCTGTGAGCTTTCGGGTGCCACCATGTTCCCCTTGTCCAGATGCTGATGCCTGCAGTGGAAGCCACTTGTGGTACCTCTGGTCCAGCCACAGCCTTGCATGGAGCCGGCAGCTGTGCAGGCACCTAGAGCTGCCTGCTCCACCACAGCAGCTGCATGGCTGGGTGTGCGCAGTGGTTGGACCCCATGCTCGCTTGCTCACATACCCCTTGCCGCTCTGCACCTGGCTCACCCTTGGCAGGCGTGGGATCTGGGTTGGTAGTGCAAGCCGAGTGCAACCTGCTGGGCTGAGTGGGCTCGAGCAAAACTCTAGCAGAGGCACCGCTGGCCACGGAGGTTTCTAGCTGGTGAAGCGATACCCAAAGGATCCTATGACATTAGTGGCTGCATGGGCAGGTGCATTGGGGGTGCACTGGGCGCTCCTGCTGCCCTGCTTCCACGTGCCTCTGAGCACTGCACTACATAGACATTTAGGCCTCATAACAACCCCCTAGAGGAGGCTGAGCTCTGCATTATACAGACATTTAGGCCTCATAACAACCCCCTAGAGGAGGCTCAGTACTTAAGTAGGTCCCATTTGATAGATGAGGAAACTGAGGCTCAGTCGTCCATGGCTTGTCAAAGGTCACCAGCTAGTGAGCACAGAACCAGGTTAGCCCAGGTGGTACAGCTTCAGAGCTCACATGCGTAACTTGTTACATTATTCCTACTCAGGAAGTGGAAACCCCAGGAACAGATGGCTGATTGGAGGAGGGACCAGCATAAGGAAAGGGGCAGGATTCAGGGGTGGGAGGGGAAGTCGATATCTGTTTTGGATGCATGTCAGCACCAGCGTGGGAGTAGGCAGTGAGCTGTTGAAAATTCTGGAGTTCAGAAATAACCGTGTCTTGCAAATCCAGATGCAGAGGTCACTGCTTGAAGGTGGCAGTTTGCACCTTGGATATGAAGGAAATTGCTAAGAAGAAAGCAGTGAGAAGATGAGGGCACCAAAATTCAAGAAATGGCAGGGAAGGATCTGTGTATGGAGGGAGGAGGAGGTCAGAGGTGGCTGGAGCCCCAGGATGAAATAGGCAATGTTAGATATCGGCCACCTGTTGACAAGGGTCCCAGACTCAGCATCCTCTGAGTGGGTCTTCTCCCTCCCCTCTGCAGCCTGCCTTGCTTCACTGTTGCAAGCTTCCTAGTAAACCAGTCTTCTCCCTGCTATAATTTTATATTGCTTGTTGAAACGATATTCCAACAAGTAACATAAATATTTTTGATATACTAGGCTAAATAAAACATATTTAAAAATTAATGTCACCTATTTATCTTCATTTTTCTAATGTGGTCACTAGAAATTTACAAGTGCACTTGTGGCTCCCATGATGTTCCTATTGGTTGGTGCTGTGCTCCCACAGTGCAACGACTTCAATCTCGCCAAGACCTCTGGCTTGAGTTAAGCCAGGAAAACAGATACCACTCTAGACATCTCAAGCATGAAAGAATATAGCTCCAGGGAAGGCCAAGTCCTCACGAAGGGATGCAGAGCTCGGTGGTAAAGAGCACCGTTTTCTAAGAATTTGCTTTCAACAAAAATTGGGAACGCCCAATCAAGTTATTCGCTGACACAAATTAAAAGAGATTGATACATCAGTATGTGATTTTGGCATTTAAGTCCAAAGAATTGAATGACATTGCTACTCCTCCTTCACACGGGTGCCTCCGAGGGTCCCCGCTAAGGCCTCTCCCTCTCCACCCTATGGGCAGCTGACCTGCCGGGGGCCTCACCTGCTGGAGGAGCAACTGCAGGAGAAGCACCTGTTAGGGGCCGCACCTGGCCGGAGGGGCTCCTGCGGGGGAAGCACCTGCCCAGGGTGCACCTACCGTGTGCAGGCTGCGGACCACCCGGACAGGTGCCCCCTCGGCAGGGAGGGCGGTCACGGGGGCCGGCCAGGTCGGGGTGGGGTCCTCCCGGGGATCCAGACACGGCCCTGTGGCCTCTCCCCGCCCCAAGCCTTTCCTTTCTCTCCCCCTCTCTCTCTTCCTCTCCTTCCTCCTTCCCACAACACCGCCCGCTCGCAGCGCCCCGCCCTCTCCTGGACCGCGCACTCCCTCCGCGGAGGCCCCAGGACGCGCACGAGCGCGCAGTGGACGTCGGCGCGCGGACCGGGCATGGGTTCCCCAGCTGTGGCGCCCCGCGTGCGCGTTCCGTAGTGCCCGGTAGGGCACTGGGCTTAGCTGCTCGAGGCCGCGCCCTAAGAGGCGGGGCATAGACAGGAAGAAGACTGGCGGGCATGTGGGCGGGGCATGATCTGGAGGCGGGGCGGGCCGGGCGTGTGGGCGAGGCCCGAGGCTCGCGGCGCCCCAGCTCTCGCGAGAGCGGCGCCTGATGACGACCGGGAGGGCGGGGCCCGTCTGGGGCGCCGGCGGGTGCGTTTGAATCTGGTCCGAGCGCGGGAAACGGCGGGTCCCCGAGCCCAGGTAAGAGCTGCGGTGCCGAGCCGGGATTGGGTTCAGAGCAGGGGCTGGGAAGTAGCAGGGATCGGGCGGGAAGCCCCTCCTCGGCTGGTCGGGGTCCCAGCCTCCCCTCCCCTAAGGAGGCGGCCGACCTGCGTGCGGGCAGTGCTGCCTCTGACGGAACTGGACGGAACTGGCGACCCCGGGCCATCCCCCCTACCCAGCTCAGCGACGCCCGTCCTTCTTGTCCGTGTCGGAGGAAAATCCCAGCCCCGGGCGCGGGCACTGCCCTCAGAGAGCGACCCCCCAGCCCTGAGCATGGGCACCGTCCTCAGAGAGTGTCCCCTCAGTCCTGGGCATGGGCACTGCCCTCAGAGAGCGACCTCCTCTGTCCTGGGCATGGGAACTGCCCTCAGAGAGTGTCCCCTCAGTCCTGGGCATGGGCACTACCCTCAGAGAGCGACCCCCTCAGTCCTGAGCATGGGCACTGCCCTCAGAGAGCGTCCCCTCAGTCCTGGGCATGGGCACTACCCTCAGAGAGCGACCCCCTCAGTCCTGAGCATGGGCACTGCCCTCAGAGAGCGACCCCCTCAGTCCTGGGCATGGGCACTGCCCTCAGAGAGCGTCCCCTCAGTCCTGGGCATGGGCACTACCCTCAGAGAGCGACCCCCTCAGTCCTGAGCATGGGCACTGCCCTCAGAGAGCGTCCCCTCAGTCCTGGGCATGGGCACTGCCCTCAGAGAGCGACCCCCTCTGTCCTGGGCATGGGAACTGCCCTCAGAGAGAGTCCCCTCAGTCCTGGGTGTCGGTACTGCCCTTAGAGAGAGTCCCCCTGAGCCCTGGGTGTAGGCACTGCCCTCAGAGAGTATCTCCCCAGCTGTGGACGTGGGCATTGTCCTCAGAGACATCAGTCTCCTGAACTCTTGTTGCTGGTTTGGTGCCTCTTGTTGTGTCCATGAGGAAGGAGTTTGGGGACGGAGTGGGAAGTCACAGGTGGTGAGAAGGTAACAGGGATTTCTTCTTTTTAATGCTCATCTTGATTTAGTACCAGACCTCCTGTGCGAAGAGTAACCTGCTCTTCGGACTGATAACTGGATGGTGAGATGACTCCTTACCTTGAAAGTAGCATTCTGGCTGCAGGGCTGAGGTCTTATGCACATATGGTACAAGAAACATGGAATATTGCCACTTTGGGAGATAGATTGAAAAATTAACCATTAAAAAATTACAGTCACTAATATAAGAGGGAAAATGGGAAATATAGGAATAAGTTTGGTAGTCTAGAGGAAGTGTATTACTGTAAGTTGGACTAACATGCCAAAGAGGTACACTTGGAAATAGAGCAAACAAGAAAAGTGACCAGAACTATGAAAAAGTGGAGAGTGTTCACAGACTTGCCGGGCGAAGATGTATGATTCCATGTGTTTGCTGCACCTTATTGGATTATTTTTCTAAAATCATGAATTTGTCCTAGCCACTATTCATTATGCTTGTTACTGGCCACTCTCCCTTCCCTCCCCATTTTCTTTGTCAGTGAAAAATGTGCCAGTCATGCTTGATTTAAAGAGGGAGACACGTTGTCGTTAGGCAATTTCATCATTGCATGAACATCACAGAGTGGACTTGCCTACACCTAGAGGTGTAGCCTACACACATAGGCTGTATGGTGTAGCCTACTGCTCCTAGAATGTTACTGTACTGAATACTGTAGGCAACTGTAATACAATGGCAAGTATTTGCATCGCTAAACATATCTAAGCATAGAAAAAGCACAGTAAAAATATGGCATTATAATCTTATGGGACCACGGTCATACATGTGGTCTGTTGTTGACTGAAATGTTATGTGGTCCATGACCGTAGTTCATAGTTCAGCCATTTGAGTTGAGGAATGAGATGACCAGACTTCACTGTTAACTTATTTCGGGAGTCATTAAACTGAGGTTATTTTTGCTTTGTTCAATTTGGACATTAAAATCTAGTATTATATGTTTAAGATGACTCTCTGTCCCCATAATTATTGGCAATAATTTTCCATATTGCTCTATTTATAATGGTGCAGGTGGTTTTCATTTATTTTTAAAGTGAGGGGGCTCCTACTGCAAATGTGTTCCATCATTTGCTATTACCTCATCTTTAGGTTGATGTTTTTTCAGTAGGGCACCAGTAGCACCAGGTATTGTGAATGCGAAATAGAATTTCCTGGAAAAACACAGGCAGGATGGAGGGTATACAAAGTCCCCTGAGCTCTCATTATCCCGAAGGGGTGGGAGGAGGGTGCTGTGGTTGAGCATGCCTAATGCATAGTCTAACAAGATCCCAGGTGACCCCCGGGGCCACTGTTTTCCATCTCACTTTGAATAACAAGATGACACTAACAGTGGGATTTTTTTGATGGAGGAATGGCCTTTAGAAAGGGAGCATCTTCAGAATCTGCAGCTGGGATCAGATTGTTCTTTTGTTGAATCAACTCAGCTCTGCCGAGCCAGCATCTTGCTAAGGTACTAAAAAGGGAGAGATGGTGGTGAGCTTCCTAAGGCTATTTGGATTTCTCCCTCCTTAGTTGGTAATTTTATTAACAATTGTTGATAAAATATCATTAATATCATGTTATTCACATCCCCAGTAAAGGAAATAAGTAAATTGTTTTTCAGATATTATAGCGTGTTTTATGTCAGAATGTTTTTAGAAACTGTCTGCCATACGTGGTTGAGGAATTTTCTTGCAGTTCTTGGATGTTAATATCAAATTAAATCTTACAGGAAAAGATATATTTGCAAGTGTTTCAGTATGATTGTGTTTTCCATTAGGGTTACAAAATAAATGCCATTTGAACAGTGCCATCTGTCATGGAAAAACGTGAGACGTTTGTACAAGCCGTGTCTAAGGAGCTGGTTGGAGAGTTTTTGCAATTTGTTCAACTTGATGTAAGTTTCATGTTTTAGTTTTGTTGTGATTTTTGACTGTGAATATGAAATATGTTCTAAAGTCATTATGTCCCCAAAAGAAACATAGTTATCTCAGTGAATCCTTAGCGACCAATGTTTATTTGAAAGAAGAAAACAAAACCCTTTATACTCAAATCTACCTGCTGGTGGGCTACGCTAAGATGTAAAAGATAAACAGAAGTTAACCAGTCAAAGAGGGATGTTGGGGGAAAGGACCCATCTAACAAAGAAGGTCACTCTGAAGACTAGAGAAGGTTTGTTGTGTTTGAACTTGAAGTTCAGCAGGAAGGCAGAAGATGAGGCTGGGGGCTAGGCTACACGAGTCTTTACCATTTTAAGGAATTCAGACTTTATCTTGAGAACGGTGGGTGCTTGAAGCAGGGAGCGAGCTGTAGGCAAGGGAGGAAGAGAACAAAAGAGAAGGAGAGAGAACTAGTGGACAAAATAGAGGTAAGGAGAAAAATATGGTTTGCCTTTTGGAAATATTCCTCTGACTACAAGTGAGAAATATGTCAAAGGGACATATTTAAGGCTAACCTCTTAGGTTGTGCTCTTCAAAATGATGGTTGAATTAGGAACTGGAAATGGGAAGCTGCTTGGTAGTGAAGTGATGGCACTATTGGACTGATTGGATATGGATATGGTGGGGAAGGGCCCAGGCGTCTGACTGTGTAGTACCATTCAGCAAGCTCATGAACGTGGGAAGAGGGCAGATTCAAGGGAGAATGTGGCTCCATTTTGGAGGTACCAGATGACTGGTGGTGGGATGTGCACCAGCGGATGGCCAGTAGTCAGACATGCACGTCTGGATACCAGGGGAAAGGGCTGAGCTAGAGACAGGTTGGGCATGGAAGCCTAAGTCATGGGAATGCCTGCAGTTATCTCTGTAGAGTTTCAGATAAAAGGGCCTAGGACACATCTCTGAGGAAGCCAGCATTGGAGGCACTGACTCTGAAATACGAAAGTATCTTTGGGGCAGGAGACCCTTGGCACACTTGTCTCACTTGTTCTTATTATGTGGTGAAAATCAAATTAGTGACAAAGAATTAGAGGAATCTAATAATGAATTTGTTACTGGCAACATTTAAGAAATCATTTTTCTTTATAAGAGAAATGAGCTTATAACATGTTTTGGTATTATAAAATGATATCCTGTAAACTTAAAAATAATCGCAAACTCATAGGCATCTCATCACCATAGAAGTGTTTATAAGAGCAAATTAGTTAGATAATATATAAATGTCTGCTTTAGCAGTAGCAGTGTATATGGATTGTATTGGAAATGCAGTACATACATATTTTAAAGTCTAAAAGATTGTTGTTGCAAAGTGCATACCATAATGTTAACAAAATCACAGAAAACTAAATTGAAAATCAGAGGTAAAAATAGCAACTCAAAATCACACTGGTGGCCACAATGACAGGTGCCCTTCTGGGGTGCGTTGTTTCCAGCCACCCGTTGTGTGCCAACCAGCCTTTGCAGTGTTGCTGGAAAGCCAGCAGACATCTCAGGAGAATACTGAATTAGTCCTTATACTAATGAGGCATTAACTCTAGTTTATCAATAAGCTTTATTAACACTTAACAGTTCAGCTTAGTACCTAGTCACCGTGTGGCTCTTACGTGTAAAAATGAAAATGTGTAGGATTGTGCATCACGTGGTTTCATCAAGTTGAATGACAGAAATGCCATTTTATATAATAATGATGGTTTCCCATAGTTCAATTTGATAAGAATTTAAATCAGTTTGGGGCCTATCAGGTAGATCTTTCCAAGTACAGTTAGTTCTGCTGTAATCCCACACATGCATTACCAACAGTCACTGCACTCTGCAGAATTGGTTAAAATAAATAAATAAATAAATAAATAAATAACCCAGAGAGATTATGGGGAAAATGGAGTTAGAGGGACAACACTAAAAAATTTTGCCAGTGACATGTTAAAAACAGGAACCTAATAAAACAGTAGCATAATTTTATATGTTAAATCAGTAAGAAATGCATAAATACTATAGTAAGCATGGCACTTTACCTTGAAAAATATTTACATTCTATAGTTGGGAGTAGGTGCCTGTGCTCCCAAGGTACACCTGCCCCTCTGTGTGTAAGAGGAAGAAAATGAGGTAGAACAGAGGAGAAAAAGGCAAGCAAGGCAGAGGGGAATACAGAGCATTGGAGAGCACGGTGGGCCTGGGGAGGGTGCAGTGCAGTGGGGTTGGAGCCTTTGGGTCATAGCAGGTGAGGGGCACAATGTGTGGCCCAGGTATGAATGGACTGAGCTGGTAGGTGTCTGAGTTGTGTTTCATGGGATCCTGGTGGCTCCAGTCAGTGGGTGCAGTTTTCTGCATTCACCTGGTATTTCTTGCCTATGAAATCCCACATAAGCAAATGGGAATTTGCCTTTGGTCAAATTGTTCCTTGATGTATTGACAATGTTGGAACAAATTTTTATTTTCAAGCAAGTGTTCCAGAGTGGAGCTGATTATACTGTATGCCCTTGTCCTTCTTGGAGAATCAATGATGGGGAGGAGGACACAGCACTGAGGAGAATTCCATCATTTAACAAACATGTCCTAAGTGCCTTCTGTGTGCCAGACACTGCACTGAGAGTTGGGGTTATAGTACACACAAAGAAAAGTTTCTGCACAAATGGGGGTTTATGTTCTAGTGGTAGAGGAAGAAAAACAAGACACATAGAGAAATAATAAAGCAGGTGGAGGCTGGGCACAGTGACTCACCTCTGTAATTCCAGAGCTTTGGGAGGCTGAGGCAGGAGGATCGTTTGAGGCCAGGATAACACTGGCCTGGGCAACATAGTAAGACCCCGTCTCTACAGTAATGTTAAAAAATTGGCCTAGTGTAGTGGCTTGTGCCTGTGGTCCCAACTACTTGGGAGGCTGAGGCAGTAGAATTACTTGAGCCCAGGAGTTTGAGGCTACAGTGAGCTATGATTGTGCAACTGCACTCCAGCCTGGGTGACAAAGTGAGACCCTGTCTCAAAAAAAAAAAAAAAATACTACTACTACTGATAAAGCAAGTGGAAGTGGAAGTTGGGAACGATGGAGTGGCTAAAGAAAACCTCAGAGATGATATTTGAACAGAGTTGGTACAGTCACATGACTCTTGATGAGGATAGGTTCTGAGAAATGCATCATTAGGTCATTTCATTGTTGTGTGAACATCCTAAAGTGTGCTTACATACACCCAGATGGAGCAGCTCAGTACACACCTGGGCTAGATGGTACAGTCTACCGTCCTAGGCTACAAACCTGTGTGGCATGTTACTGTACTGAATACTGTAGGCACAGTGTTGTAACACAATGGTGTGTGTCTAAACATTGAAAAGGTACAGTAAAAATACAGTATAAAACATAAAAAATGGTACATCTGAATAGGGCACTTAGTGTAGCTGGAGCTGGCACAACTGGAAGTTGTTCTGGGTGAATAACTGAGTAGTGAGTAAATGTGAAGGCCTAATACGTCATTGTACACTACTGTAAACTATAAACACATTACACTTGGGCTACAGTAAATTTATAAAAACATTTTTCTTCAATAATAAATTAACCTTAGCTTACTGTAACTGTTTTACTTGATAAACTTTTAAAATCCTTTATAATAACACTTAGCTTAAAACACAAACTTATTTTGCTTTACAAAAAATCTTTCTTCATTTTATTTTATTTTAACTTTTATATTCAGGGTTACATGTACAGGTTTGTTACATAGGTCAACTTGTCTCATGGGGGTTTATTGTACAGATTATTTCATCACTGAGGTATTAAGCCTAGTAATTAGTTATTTTTAGTTATTTAGTTATATTAGTTATTTTTCCTGATCCTCTCCCTCCTCCCACCCTCTACCCTCCAATAGGCCAGTGTGTGTTGTTCCCCCGTGTCCATGTGTTCTCATAATTTAGCTCCTACTTATAAGTGAGAACATGCTGTATTTGGTTTTCTGTTCCTGTGTTAGTTTGCTATGGATAATGGCCTCCAGCTCCATCTATGTCCCCGCAAAGGACTTGATCTCATTCTTTTTTTATGGCTGTATAGTATTCCATGGTGTATATGTACCACATTTTCTTTATCCAGTCTATCATTGATGGGCATTTAGGTTTATTCCATGTCTTTGCTAAAAATACTCTCTTTATACCCCTATTTGATAGCTTTTTTCTATTTTTACTTTTTTTTTTTTTTCTTTTCAGTTGGAGCCTTGCTCTGTTGCTCAGGCTGGAGTGCAGTGGCGTCGTCTTGGCTCACTGCAACCTCCGCCTCCCGGGTTCAAGTGATTCTCCTGCCTCAGCCTCCTGAATAGTTGAGATTACAGGCACACGCCACCACACCGGCTAATTTCTGTATTTTTAGTAGAGACAGGGTTTCGCCATGTTGGCCAGGCTGGTCTCAAACTCCTGATCTCAGGTGATCCACCTGCCTTGGCCTCCCAAAGTGCTGGGATTACAGGTGTGAGCCACCATGCCCAGCCATCTATTTTTACTTTTTAAACTTTTTTGTTAAAAACTAAGACACAAATATACCATAAGCCTGGGCCTGTACCAAGTCAGGATCATCAGTATCACTGTCTTCCACCTTAACATCTTGTCCCAGTGGAAGGTCTTCAGGGGCAATAACAGACATGCAGCTGTCATCTCATCTCCTATGATAACATTGCCTTCAGGAATTTCTCTTGAAGCACCTGCCTAAGGCTAGTTTACAATTAACTTAAAAAAATGTAGAAGGAATATACTCTAAAACAATGATAAAAAGTAGGTTTGTTTACACCAACATTACCACAAATGTGATTAATCTGTTACACTATGATGTTTTGACAGCCATGACATCACTAGGTGATAGGAATTTTTCAGCTCCATTATAATCTTATGGGACCACTCTCATATATGTGGTTTGTCATTGACTGAAATATCACTATGCATTGCCTGACTATATTTGATCAGAGATCCAAATGGGCCATGCAGAGATTTGGGAAAAGAAGATTCTAGACAAAAGGAATGGGAAAGGCCGAGCCCCTGAGGCAGGGCACATTTGGGAAGCTAAGGGTGTGGACTTAGGAGGAGGAGGGTGGCAGGGTTAGGGTGGAGAAGTAATTTCTTTCCTGTTGAAATAACTGCTAAGTTAAAAGAAAAGTTGCAAGAGGAATTCAAAGGAATCCTGAATACCCTACGTCCAGGTTTGCCAGTTTTTACCACTTGCCACATTTTCTTTATCATCCTTTGTATTTACATTTTTTTGAATCACTTGAGTCAGTTGTAGGCATTGTGCCTCTTTATCTCTAAACATTTCAGTTCGTATTTTTCTAAAAGATATTCTGTTATATAATCACATTAAAATCCTCAAAATCAGGAAATTTAACATTGTGGATAATCCTGTTAAATAACCCTCTGCAGCCTATGTCCTCTCCTCTTGAATCTGGATTGGGCTTGTGCCTGCTTTGACGGACGGAATATTGAGGAAGTGGCCTTCAGAAAGTTTGGCAGCTTCTACTTCCTCTCGGAGCCCGTGGTTGTCATGTAAGAAGTGCAGGATCACCCTCTGCTGGAGAGAGAGACCACACACAAAGGCTGGAGGATGAGACTGCAGAGGGAGACCTCATTAGTGGGCACCAAAGTGCCAGACATCCAACACCCAGCTGCCACCTTAAGCACAGGCATGTGTCCCCAAGAGTGAGCATCTGATTCATGAGATACAGTAAAATTGTTGCTTTATGCTACCAAGTTTTTTGCTACGCAACAAGACTTCCCCTGCTTCATACACATTGTGCCAGTCACAAGAGGATACCTCCCTCTGGGCATATAGACTACAAAAAGGCACCTTGCTGGGGCACAGGTGGCCAGGGCACTCACACAGGGAGGAGAGGCCCTGCAGGATGTCCACCCCACCGGCCCCTCATCCTGGTGCGCTCTGTACAGCACAGGGCTGCACAGCTTCTGCATCCGGGGGCTGGAGGTGGTTGTGGAAGGATGCCCACAGGCAGCTCGCTAGTCTGCACGTGTTCTTTCTAACTGCTGGGCTTTTGTGTTGCCCTGCCTTTGCCCAGTGTCCTATGGCCCTAGAGGCCTGGGCCGTCACTGCTAATGTCGTGGCAATGCCAGGCAATGACCACCCCAAGGCCATGCTGGGGAGAGGTAGAACATTTTGATATTTGAACAGCTTTTGTCCCCCATCCTTTCCTTGCCCTTCCAGCCAGCTCTTCAGTGCCCTAGGCAACAGCCACTCATTTCTCACATCCCCAGCTCCAAACAGCCTTCAGTGAAGCTGGGTGTGTGTCTCATTTTGTTGCTATAGTTTGTTACTGGAACCTCTCTCACTCTCATTTCTTCAGGGTTGATTTTTCAGGAAGGAGTTAGCAGCCCATCCTAGTTTGTCACATAGGTGGATGGGCAGCTATTTCTTTTCCTTCAGGCTATATCCTTCAGCATACACCTCTAATAGATTTTAACAATCTGTAGGTTGTTATTCTTGCCCCTAGACTGTGAACTTACTCAGGGCAGGGTGGGTCCTGATTCGTTTCTGTGCCCTAACCATCAGTCAACTAGTATTTCCTGATGTAAGCGTCATGAATCAGCCCAGTCATTTCTCTGGTCACCTTCAGTCACCAGAGTTTGCCCTGAATAGAACCTCTTGATCTTTGAACACAGTAGCTGTGGTCCATCACCCAGATGAATGACCCCAGCACCAAAACTGTCCATTGATATACTGGAAAATTACCATTAATGGACTTAAGCGGGCCATTAACTTATTTTTTCTGCATAATTGAGGCGTAAAGAATTATTCAATTGTTCATGATTGAATGTCGGGTCTATAGGTAGATCAAGATACTGTCTAAGGTCAAACATTTGAGAGCTGGTCTGTGTTTGCATGTGATTGACAGGCAAAGGCTTAAGGAAAATGGAGAGGAGAATTGAAGGGGAGGAGGGTCAAGGAAACGAGGAAAGAGAGTAGATAGAAGTGAACAAGCGGAGGTGGAAAAAGCTAGATGAAAAATGAAGGAGCGCTAAGAAGAGGAGAAAACAAACACCAGGGCAGGAGAGGAGCTAGGAGAGCAGGAAGAGAGGATGGGGGGATGGAGGGCTTATGAGGTTATCTTTACTCTAGTTCCTCCATCTTACTGTGTTTTTTATGACCCCGACAGTTTTGAAGAGTGCAAGTGGCTCTTTTGTGGTATAGCCTTCAATTTGCATCTGTTGAGGATCTGATTAAATTTTAGTGTGCATTTTGGCAGGAACTGCTTAGCAGTGTTAGGTCCTCGGCGCTGTCAAGACAGGAAGCGCATGGCATGGTCTGTCCGTCCCTGTGTGGGTAGGTGTCCGCCAGGTCTCTTCTGGGAACCTGCCTCTGTGGGAAAGTGGTGACACTGTAATGTCCTGCTGCTCACCAGGCTTCCACCCACTTGTTTCAGCATCTCCCGATAATTCCTGCCAGAGTCCATAATTATTGTGATGGCTATAAAACAGTGATTTTCTAACCCTGTATTGCATCTATGTTTATTCACTGACATTCTAGAGCATGCAGGTGCTATTAATTAATGATTTGATATTTATTATCAGTATGCTGTCATTGATTTTTTCTTTTTAGAGACGGGCTCTTGCTATGTTGCCCAGGCTGGAGTGTAATGGTACAATCACAGCTCACTGCAGCCCTCTCTCCCAGAGTGGTTGGCTTGGCCTCGTTTATGCTTATTTCATTCAACTGGTTATAATTAATCACTGTCACTGTTTTGGTGCTCACATTGTTCCAAATTTGGCTATAGGGAGTCCCTTTAATTGGATTCTATGCCCTTTTGATGAGGGCCGCTATTTGCTTCATCAAAGAGTACGTGAGGTCATCTCAGATAAGAGGAAATGGGTTTAGAGGGTTGTTGGAGGAGATCTGAAATCATCTTGTTGGCTGGTGGGAGAGAATGATATTGAGGAATGAGTAGAAGGTGGTGTTGAGGGCCCACTTGGGGCTGGAATCTGTGGCCACAGTATTATTATTGCCATTGTTATTGAACTTTAGCCTACTTTTGTAATCTAATTCTAGGTATGGAGATGGTGGACATTTGGGTCCCTTTTAGGGAGGGTTTTGCTAAGTGGGTGAAATTTTAAAAACTCTGAAGATTAGGATGCTAGGAAAGAATAGGTGGAGAATCCCTGTGCTTCTTCCCTTTTAGGAATGGATTTTGAATACTGCAACCAAACTCTTGAACTTGTAATGAAGTTAACACTTAACTTTTCTTTTGATGACATTATGAAAAGGATATGATTAATTTTTTGTATTTGAAATGTGACACTTGCTATTTATGTTACAGAAAGAGGCCTCTGATCCTTTCAGCCTAAATGAATTACTAGATGAATTATCAAGGAAACAGAAAGAAGAATTATGGCAAAGGCTGAAGAATTTATTGACAGATGTGTTGTTAGAAAGCCCAGTGGATGGGTGGCAGGTAGTGGAAGCCCAGGGTGAAGACAATATGGAAACCGAACATGGCTCAAAAATGGTAGTATTTGTTTTTCAAAAATAAGAAACGTTTTTCTCTTTTTTTTGTCAAAAAATAACTTCACTGTGTATCATTGAATTTTACATTAAGACAGATTTTGAAGTTAGAAGTCAAGAATTTTAGAAGTTTAGTCTGTTGTAGTTTTATTCACTTTTCAACCCTACTGTTATTAATCTAATACTAAATATTGCTGTTCTTTTAGGATGATTTACTTTTATTCAACTTTAATTCTTTTTAGAATAAGCTAGAATTGTGGCTTGATTTTTAGAAAATTTGTAACTGAAATTTCTGCTAAAAACTGATTTTAAGTTGATGATTTTAATTCACTCATGCTTTGATTTTTCATTTATAGAGAAAAAGCATAGAAATAATTTATGCAATTACATCTGTGATTCTTGCTTCTGTGTCTGTAATAAATGAAAGTGAGAACTACGAAGCCCTACTGGAATGTGTTATTATATTAAATGGTGAGTTGATTTTGTTATAAATGGCATATTTAGAAGTGGGTGTTGAAATACTTGTTTTTGTTTCTGTTTTTATTTATTCATTCATTTATTTATTTTTTTTGAGACGGAGTTTCGCTCTTGTTGCCTAGGCAGGAGTGCAATGGCGCGATCTCAGCTCACCGCAACCTCCGCCTCCCGGGTTCAAGCGATTCTCTTGCCTCAGCCTCCCTAGTAGCTGGGATTACAGGCATTCACCACCACGCCCGCCTAATTTTGTATTTTTAGTAGAGACAGGGTTTCTCCATGTTGGTCAGGCTAGTCTCAAACTCCTGACCTCAGGTGATCCACCCGTCTCAGCCTCCCACGTGGCTGGCCTGAAATGATACTTTGTAAAAGGAAACTAGTTGTTTTCATGAGCATTGTTGAATTTAGTAGCAGAAGTTGTATAAAGGTATAGCTTTGCAGTCAAGTTCTTTTTCTTCAGCTAGAATAGGAGCATACTTACATAAGAGTTGTCCTGAATACTTATTTATTTTATATTTATCATTTTTTTTTAGAGACAGAATCTCGCCCTGTTGCCTATGCTGAAGTGCAGTGACATGAACCCAGCTCACTGTAGCCCTGACCTCCTGGCCTCTAGCTATCCTCTCACCTCAGCCTCCTTAGTAGCTGGGACCATGGCCCATGCTTTTTGTTTTGTTTTGTTTTGTTTTGTTTTTTGGTAGAGACAGGATCTAACTGTGTTGCCCAGGCTGGTCTCAAACTCCTGTGCTCAAGTGATCCTCCCACCTTGCCCTGGCAAAGTGCTGGGATTACAGGCATGAGCCATTGTGTCTGGCCTAATTAGTTTAATTTAAGCTCCATTCAGATGTTATAGATGGTGAGATGGGCAGTACTCAGCAACTAACTGCTATTTACAGGTTTTTCAGGGAAGTCTGACTTACTGGACCAATGATCAAGAACTTGTTGAGAAGAAAATACCTGATTATGTGATTACCATTGCTAGATAGTGTCAACTTAACTAAGAATTTGTGACACTGAATTTTTTCTTAAAGTATGTTGTGAACGTGATCTGAGGAGTGATTATTGACTCCTAGGGGAGTTTTACTGTATTGAAATTTAAATGATGGTACTTTTCAAGTTTTAACAAAACTGTAAAACTAGTTATTAATTTAGTCTAAGTTAATGAAAATATTTGATTATGAAATATATAAAATTTTAGTTACAAAAGATGTAAAAATATCTTAATGATTTTTAAGAAAACTTTTCACATACCCTCATCCTTCACTGTGCGAGTGTAATTAGTTTGTTGTGACAAAGTATCTCATCAAGCTTCTTATTCTTAGCATCACTTGGATTTATGTATGTTTTATAGTACATTGTTTTATTCTGAATTCTTGAGTTGAAATACAGTGTCTTATTAAAAAGTCACCCCAATCATAATGAAAATAGCTTCCAAATGCTTTGTGAATTTTACTATCAGTTTATTTGTATGGTCTGCAAATAACTAGTGAAATGATTAGTGCTAACACTGTAGTTGCTATCAACTTCCCAGTTAATTCAGGAATGTTATATTAGTGTAATGACATTCAGATACCTACAGATTATAATTATGAGCATTAGTATCATTAATCTAATTATTGAGCTTTTCTGTTAATAAAAGCACTGCAGTTTTTGTATTCATTATGGTAATTGCTTTGACTGTTTTTCACCTCTGAGCCAAAATTTGAGGCTGGCACATTGAGGGATAGTAGTGGATTATTGATTGGTCAGTAGACCTGTCTTGGCTCTGGTGTTAACAGAGATACCATTGGTGTTGTTACACTGAGGTTTGGTTAGCCTCAGCATCTGCCTTTCTAAAATTGGTGATACGATTTCTCTGAGACTTCCAGTTCCAAAAATCTCTTTTCTATTATGTCTGTTGAGGGTCTTTTTATAACAATCGTCAAACAGTTTTTTAATTAACATTATTTGCATTTTATAACTAATGTATATAAATCTTTGGCAAGTTAAACATAACTAATATTATTTGCTTAGCAAAGCTTTAAATAATATATAAAGTCATGATACTCTAAACTGTTGACTCTGAAGTAATAAGAATTTGCCTTACTAATTGGAAAATTACTGTGCTGTATTTTAGGTATTTTATATGCATTACCTGAGTCTGAACGAAAACTACAGAGTTCTATTCAGGATTTGTGTGTTACCTGGTGGGAGAAAGGCCTGCCTGCCAAGGAAGACACAGGAAAGACAGCCTTTGTCATGTTACTAAGGAGGAGTCTGGAGACTAAGACAGTATGCTCACTTTTTATTTTTTTAAAGACAGGGTCTCTCTCTATTGCCCAGATGGAGTGCAGTGGCATGATCATAGCTCACTGCAGCCTCAAACTCCTGGGCTCGAGCAATCCTCCTGCCTCAGCCTCTCAAGTAGCTGAGACTTCAGGAGTGCACCACCTAGCTAGGACTTTATTTTTAAACGTCTTCCTAACATTCTAAACCTGCGCTATTCAACGTAGTAGCCACTTGCCACAGAAAGCTGTTTAAATTTAAAGTTAAAAATAATGAAAAATTCAGTTCCTCAGTTGCATTAGTCACATTTTAGTAGCTCTACAGTGAAATGTGGCTAATGTCTACTGCACTAGACAGTTCAGATGTATAAAATCTTCATCATCGAGGAAGTTCTTAAACTTGCTGGATTTTTAATTATTTTCCTTATGTTTTAAAAAAATGTTCTGTAGAGCTATAGGGGGCATTTGCAAATTTTAAAATCTGTTTTTATTTGTCGTTATTTTTTAATCTTTGATGAATCAACTAGAATTACCATTATTTATGATATAAAATATACTTGATTTGAAATATGACTTTACTGTTCATTGAAAAAGGTATCACATTTTTTGTGTCATTCCTAGGGTGCAGACGTATGTCGGCTTTGGCGTATCCATCAAGCTTTATATTGCTTTGATTATGATTTGGAGGAAAGTGGAGAAATTAAAGATATGTTACTTGAGTGCTTCATAAATATTAATTATATCAAGAAAGAAGAGGTAAATAGGTATTTGTTTTTTGATCTGTTTGTGAGCTGCTTCTTAATAGATGTTTCTCCTGTGTTCACATGGTTCCTGTCTGCACCATGCTCGGTGTTGCTTAGCTACCAGGAGCTATTTACTGCACATGATTTTTACTGCATGGCAGTACTAGAGAAGACATTTTACAAGTCCTTGCTTATTTCATCATTAAATTGGATGGTAACAGGTGGCTGTGTGTTACCTAGGGGAACCGTAATTACATTTTAAATTAAGAATGATTAAAAATAAGGTTGAGAAAGCACTTCTCTATGAATGAGATCTGGCCTTCTGCCCTAATTCCATTTTAATTGCCATGTACTCAAAACTGTCATCCCATAATATCCTCCCTTTCTTTTTTCTACCCATCCTGTAAATCCAGAGAGGCTTCTGGCCTGTTGCTGCACTGCCCGTCCTGGGGTCAACTCCCATATGAGGCTACTGAGCACCTGAAATGGGACCCAACTGAACTGAGATTAGCCATAAGTATAAAATACACATGGATTTGAAGATTTAGTGGGAAAGAAATGAACATAAAATAGCTCATTAATAATTTTTGTTCTATACTTAATATAATAGACAATATTTTTATTGTCTGTTATATTAAATATTGCTTTACATAAAATATATTATTAAAATTAATCTTCTTTACTTTTGTTAACATGACTACTAAAGAATTGAGAATTACAGAGAGGCTCGCATAGTTCTTCTGTGTTAGGGGCCTTCTGCAGTTGTTTACTGAGCGTCGACTACATGCTCAGGCAGTGCCAGGGGAGACTAGAACAAGCTTTTGCATTTGGATGCTCATGGCTCAGCAGGCACATCTCTGAGGCAGAAGGAGGAAGTCATCCCTCCTCCCTGAAGGAGGTGGAGAAGGGCTTCAGAGGAAGAGGAGGACCAGCTCTGAGGTACAGAATAAGTTTCCTCCAGGTGTCACAGCTGCTCAGCGGCAGAGACAGAACTGGACCCCGGCGAGCCATCTGCAGTCTGCTAGACAAAGGGCCATGTGATTAGGACTGAGACCTTTGGCTCCCAGGGTCTTTGTTCACTTTATAGGTGGTGCCCTTGGTCAGGCCTTTCAGCCTCAGAGTTTTGTTCTGTAAAATAGGAGCAACAGTTACTGTTTCACAGGATTGTTGTTAGGAACAGATGAGGTAATATGTATCAAACCGCAGCCCAGGCGCTGGTGGATAAGAACCCCTGGGGAGGGCTGCCCTTTGCCATCCTTGCTGTGTCAGCACCATCGTTATTACAAAGATGTTGGACACAGCCTGTGCCCCACACATGTCTCCAGGATTGTTCTGAAATGGGAGAGTGAAGAAATTAATGATGGATTCAAACAATAAACTATTTTATGTTGACTTATACATAAGGAGTTGATGAATCGTACTTGTTAACTTATATATGTGTGCAGATATATAACAGACATAAATGTATGTATGTGTTATAACCTCTACCCTTTTTAAAAAATTGATGTCTCCTTTGAATTTAAGATATCTAAATGTAGTTTCCTAATCAATCATTAATTTGGTCAGGTCAGTTTCCAGTCATTCTGGGTAAACCATAAACATCTTGTACTGTACTAACAGATTACTTCCAGTGAATATTACTGTTTTTTTTTTTAACTTGCCTGTTGTGAGCATGGTTACCCTGCATTTGAATCAAAATGTATTGCATTTCTGTAGGATTCCAGTTCTGTGCAGTGGTGTGCTGGTAAGAGATGAAGGTGCTATTCACTGAGAGAGTTCTAGATAGATGCATCTTATGCACTCTATAGAGTATGAAGATTGTATTCATTCTTCTTAGGTTCAGATACATAATCTAGTAGCATGCATATAAATTATCATCACATGATGTATTTATGACTTGAAGACTGTGTATTTGGAAATTCTAGCTTGACAAACACTTAGCCTTTTAACTATATGAGTCCTCAGTTTTCTCATCTATAAATGAGAAGGTGAAATGAACTGGGATATTCAACTCCATTCCCACCCACCTATGCTAGATTTAAAGCTTTCTTTCATTTGAGACTATGGAACCATCCATGACAGAGCCAGAATGAGATGTTTATGGACCCATGGTTACTGTCTGTGGTCTCCATCTCTGCACCTGTGGCCCTTGAGGACAGAGGCGCTCAGTGTAGCGGCTGCTCGGCCCTGGGGGAGGTGGCTTGTGTGGCTCCTGGCTGTGCAGGCCCCGCAGACAGCTCAACTCGTGCATGTGCTCTCAGTGATAATTACATGTGCCTCGTTTTTAGCAATAGCAATGTTTAGCTTACTAGACGTTCAAATAATTGTTTGTTATTTGGCACTTTTTATTTGGTTGCAATGTAAACATTCTATCCTTTTTTATTTCTAGGGAAGAAGATTTCTTAGTTGTCTCTTCAACTGGAATATCAACTTCATCAAAATGATCCACGGGACCATTAAAAACCAGTTACAGGGATTACAAAAGTAAGTGTTAAAAGTACTGAAGATTTTGTGCTGTCTTAATCTGGTTTTGAAAGATTCCATTTGGTCTGACTTCTTAAGTTATAGTAATGGATTAGAAGCTTTAGAAATACGTTATTTATTATGTACCATTGGATCACTGGGTAGCTTTTTCCTTTTATAGGAAATCATTCTTTTCCAGTATTGACCACTGAAATTAAGGTTTTAATTTGTGGTAGTTCTTTAAATAGTTAAAATAGTTTCCAGTTGAACCTTAGCCTCGCTCGTAATAAAGCCATGTCCATGGTACTTTGAATGCAATGTGTGCTTTTTGGTTGAACGTGGCCTGGCCAGGGTGGCTTCTCGGAAGAGCCTGTGGAATCTGCAGGAGCAGCAGGGAACGTTGCAGTCATGACTCTGCCACTCCCTGCGTGATGGAGATGTCAAGTGTGTGCTTGTCGTTTGCCAGGCACAAGGCAGAGTACTTCATTTGCTCCAGCACTGAGTACTTAGTCTCCATTTTAAAATTTAATCCTCACAACTCTCTTTTGAGATAGGCTTTGCTTTCTAAATTTCCCAGTGTCAGGCAACTGTATAAGTACCAAGTTGGGATCTGATTCTGGATCTCTGATTGCAAAGCTCCTGTTGTATACTAGATTGCTTTTTCATATTTCCTCATCTTCAGAATATTTGAGTTGAACTAATAGATTTCTAAGCTTATGATTCTTAAGTTGATACTGGTATTTTAGGGCTTCTTGTACCTCAGGAATTGGTAGCGTGAAAAGTCCAACGTGACTCCAAGTCGACAATTTATTTATATTTAAATATTTTTGACTTTAGAATTTTGTTCTGGACTTATGCACTCATAGTTTCACAGAAAATAGTAAAGTTTTGGGTAAGCCTTGACTGAGAAGGATGAAATAGTTCGTCACTTCAGTTTCCTTTCCCAAAACCTTCTCCGTTTTCTACTTTTTGCTACAGGTAGATAACCTATTTCTATAGATGATTTGCAAAGCACTAGTTTAAACTGAGTTTCTTCTTCACTATGGTTGGAGAGTAGCTGAAATGATACATGTTGAAAGAATAATTCTTAAAATTTGCATTAAAACTATTTTGATCTTTTTATATAGGTCTTTGATGGTATACATTGCAGAAATTTATTTCAGAGCTTGGAAAAAGGCTTCAGGGAAAATACTGGAGGTATTTTCATTTTTTTAAATGTTAACACTTATTTTTATTATATTTTAGTTACTAAATAAGTAGTCAAAGAAGGGTTATTTAAGATCCATGTTTATGCACTCTGTCAAAATAAAGCCAAATAATGAAAATCTATTTGATGGGCAATCCAGTCACTTGCTAAGATGTGTGGTTTGTGGGAGGTAGGACTGTGCTCTTTCAGCTGGGAGGGAGCTCTGACCCTGATCTTTCCAGCCATGTGCTCACTGGGCATTTGGAACGTGGCCAGTCTGAATCAAGATGTGTTGTAAGTGTAAGAAACATACCAGATTTCAAAGACTTCATATGGAAATGAGAATATAAAATATCTCAGTACTTTTTAAAAATGTTGAGTGAATGTTGAAATGTTAGTGGTTTGGATGTATTAGGCGAAATGTGGTAGTTGGCCCTTTGTGGGTTTCGCATCCATGGATTCAATCAACCAAGGATCGAAAATATTTGGGAAAAAAATGCATTGTACTTAACATGTACAGACTTTTTTTTCCTTGTCATCAGTCCCTACACATATAGTGTCACAACTATTTCCATAACATTGACACTGTATTAAGTATTATAAGTAATCTAGAGATGATTTAAAGTGTGCAGGAGTGCATAGGTTATATGCAGATACTACTCCACTTTATATGAGGAATTTGAGCATCCGCAGATTCTGGTCTCTGAGGGAGGTCCTAGAACTGATCCCCCATGGATACCAAGGGATGACTGTGTAATATTGAAGTAATTTTACCTGTTTCTTTTGTCTGTTTTTAATGCAGCCACTAGAAAATTTAAAATTGCATCTGTGGCTTGCATTCAGTTTCTATTGGATAGTGCCGTTCAGGGACTTCAAGTCACCTCTTTTAGTTACATTATTTTTGAGAATTTGAAGATATTTTCTTTGATTATGGGTAACTCTGGTGAATACATAGTATTTATGTTATGAAGATAGGGCTATGTAATCCACAATCCCAACTCAACATCCAGATACCCTTTTGGACAAAAAAGTGTGTTTGTTTTCCCTTATATTTTTCTTATACCAGGTTCTCAATCATTTTATTTTTCTCTGAGAATAAAATTTTTACTCTAGGTCAGAAAGGAGCCTCTCACAACCCTGTGTTCTATCCTGACTTTTCATTCCTCTTTGGAGAGCAGGCCCTGCACTGATGGGCAGAGGGAGGAACCTGCAGAGTGGACAGAGGCTGCCCCATGTCTGGGTTTACTTCCATCCTCTCTGCTCCTCTGCACAACTTACACTTGATTTGTATTGCCAAGGTTTATCACTGACTTCTAGAAAATAAAAAATAGGCTGGGCGTGGTAGCTCACGCCTGTAATCCCAGCACTTTGGGAGGCCGAGGAGGGTGGATCACCTGAGGTCAGGAGTTTGAGACCAGCCTGGCCAACATGGCGAGACCCTGTCTCTACAGAAAAATAAACAAAATAAAAACTATTTGACTAGATGTATACAAAATTGGTATCAACAATGTGTATTTCTCAGTCTCACTCCATTCCTCTCTGCCCTCCCTCTCTTTAAGTTTTTCAGGCAAATTCCAGACCTGACATTTCATTTCTACATACTACTTTATTCATCTCTCAAAAATGTGCTTATGGAATGCCATTGTAAGACCTAAAAATGTGACAGTAAATCCTTGGTATTTTTAAAAATAATCAAGCCACATTAAAATTTTTCCAGTGATCTCAAATGTCTCCTTAGAGTTTTTTTGAATTAGGACTCAACAAGTTGCCCACATGGCATTTGCTTGTTATACCATTAAAATCGCTTATTCTAGAGCATTCCTCCCTCCTTTCCTTTTCTTAAAATCTATGCCATTGGCATGTGAGGAAACTGGACCAGTTGTCCTGTAGAATGTTGGCATACTGATAGTTAGCTCTAAAGGTTTGGATTCAACTTTTATGGTACAAATAACTTCCCAGGTAGTGCTGTGTATCTCATCTTTCATTGCAAGTCAGACAATGTGTGGTTGTCCCACATTAAGTGATGCTAAGTGACTTCAGGTGAAGGAAATATTTTCAAATATAATGGGGAAGAGGAACTTGAGCATCTGCAGACTCTGGTTTGTATTAGTATTAACCCTAGGAGCGTTTCCTTAGGTCCTTCCTCAAAGCCACAGAAATCCTGCTCATGTGTGAGGGTGGGCACAGAGTACAGGTACAGACATAGGGTCCACTGGGGTTTTTTGCTACTCTTAGAGGCTAGGCCTTTTCCCAGTTGCTGCACTCTGAGTACCATTAGTGCATGGGGCTGATGAAGGGCTTCCCACACACCTTCCTTGCTCAGCCCTTGTCAACAGTGGCCCTGAAATATCTTATTTACAGTTTCCGCCGTAGAGGTAGTTCTGTTTTTGTTCTGTGGAGGCTGTTGGAACAAATCCAGTCTTCTGAAGGTTGTCCAGGTCAGTGATGAGTCAGAAGAGGGGGCTCCACACTCACCATGCACTCAGTCTCTGAAATTTGTCTGATTTGAACTAGCCTTGAGTGGTAGGTGGAATCTTACATTGCCATTTGGCACAGATTTGATATTTCATCAAATAAAAGAGAAGCAAAGCATTCTCCTTGCTATAAGAAAACCAAAGGGATTCTAAGAAGCATGGACTTAAAATAAGAAAGCTTGGACAAAAGGGTCCAGGTTTTTTTCTCATGAAATATAAGATGGACAGGTCAGACTCTTTGTACTCAAATGCCGCACTGCTTGTCAGGTCGTCAGTAGGACACACACACACCAAGTGCTTTGCATTGCATTTGTTATTTCAGGCGATTGAAAATGATTGCATCCAGGACTTCATGTTCCACGGGATACACCTTCCGAGGAGGTCTCCAGTGCATTCCAAAGTGCGGGAGGTAAGATTGTGAACAGATTGTTTTTGAAATAATGTTTCCTCTGTTTTGTTTTTAGATAATTGTTTTGGTTAAATTTTAAAATTAAGCTTTCACAGACATCAGTTAGGGGGATTTCTCAGAACCTTGATATTTGATGTCTGGCAGTTTTATTCCTGCCACCAAAGTTTTAATGAGGAAAGCAAAGGTGTATTGTTGAGATGGTTAGTATTGTATTTGAATGACCTTAAATTCAATTCTCTGTCTTGAGATTTTCCAGAATTATTGGTTTCTAATGGCCACTATCATTTTTTTCAAAGATCCTAGAGGGTATTTGAAATTATTTTTATTATTTTACTTATTAAATTCCAATTTTGCTCTTCTGCAAACCAAATGAATAAATGTTTTGATTGTTTCTTTTGATATTTTGTTCTGTAAAGGTAATCTCAGAATTTAGATTAATCTCAGAATTTAGATATGAACTTTACCTTTATATTAATAATTGTAAATGGACTGACTAGATAAGATTCTATCATCAGTGCCATTACTACACTGATAGGTGTTTGATGGATCTTAAGGATCCTGGCAGGAGGAATGGGAAAATCTGGTCTGCTGTGTTTATTTAAATTAAGCAGCTGCTGTTGATCAGTGTTCTAACCCATGGGATGCCTTGTTTGCTTGCTGTTAGTTTTGGCAACCATATGTCAAGAAACCAAGTGAATAAAGACTACTCATTTCTTTGTTTTGTTGTAGAGTGAAACTACTGCTATTTATAGAATGTAAATATACTAATTATATTAATTTTGAGTGGATAAGAAAATGTTTCTTTGCATTATTGATGATTTAATTTCAGTTACACAAGGATAAAGAACCCAGAGATTTATCTAGACTACTGAGTTTTCCAGAGGATTTAAAAATCGTGATTGCATATATTTAGGATAAATATATTCAATGAACTCCCTGTCCTACCCACCCCCCACCCCCATCCCAGTGTGGCTTTATTTAGTTGTAGTCAGTTTGGGTTATTTATTTCACATAGATGAGTTGGTGTTTCAAATTTTATTTAGTAGAATTGCATTAAACTATGTATTTATGTAAACTATGTTTATGTAAACTATATGTGTAGTTTATATGTAAACTATGTATGTTTTCATATGTTATTTTTGCTGTGGTAGTCTGAGTAATTAAGATATTATAAGTATAGATATCACTATTTGGTAAATTTATGGAAAAATGCACAAAAAGAATTTAAAGGGAGAATATTAGATTTCACTCAAGTGAAACGTGTTACTCAACTCCAAGTAATTGTTTTTGTCACAACTTATAACACATTATAGTTTCTTCCTCAAATTGTTTTTATTTGATAACTATTAAATTTATCTGATAAGTCATTTTATTGATATTGAAAGAGGTTTCAGGCAGTGCTTCAGACATCATTTGAAATTAAAAATCTCAACATTGTTGATGAAAATGTTCTAGAATTAGACAGTAACAATGGTAGCATAGCTCTAAATATACTGAAAGCCACTGAATTGTATACTTTAAAACAGTAGATTTTGTGGCATGTGAATTAAGTCTTAAGCTGTTTAGAAAATTTTTCTATGAAGCAAGTGTACTGTTGATATCAAAGTTTGATAGTATTGTACACAAAAAGCAAACTATAGACTAATGTCACTTATCACCATCAATACAAACTACAAAATAATAATCAGAAAAAAATAATCCCCATACTGCAGCTCTTCTAGGGTTAAGTTGATACAAGCTCACTTAAAGTGTAGGCTGTTCTTTTACAGCCTGTTTAATCTTTCAAAATTTTCATGTTTCACTAATAAAGTTTAGCCCCAAAAGGTGTGAATAGAGAAGTAAGGCAAAATTAATTGTTGTTAGGGACATGAGGCTACAAAGAATTTTGGGAAGATTCTGACTGGAAAAGAAGTGAGTAGGAAAAGAAGAATGAAAGCTACAAGAATGATCATTTTCTGATTTTTTCATAAGTTTTGGGAGGAACTTGATACCTAAATTAATCTCATACAGTGAGGGGTCACTAAGTGTGACACCTCCTTGTTACAAAGTTATGAAACAGTTACCACATGTTGGTAATAAAGAGGTTAGTTAATGTTTTGGAACAAGCGTGAGCTCTTAGAACCATTCAGGAATCTCCCCTTTTCCATTTTATCCTGAAGGTCAGAGGTTTAAACGAGTCTTTTTTTGAGGTTATGTGGCTGTTGGCAGAATAGCAGAAACTAGAACCCAAACCATTTTATAGCCCAAGGCCATTAATCTTTTTATTTCAGCCGTAGATTCTTTCTTGTGATTGACTGCATTTACTACTGTCCTATATCCATTGAAGTTACTCCTGCTGAAGAATTGTCATGACATGTGGATGCCAGCCAGAGCCTACTTGTGGTGGAGAGAACAATTCTCCCTGTTGCTCTTTCCAAATGCCATTTTATTTTATTTATTTATTTTTTTGTTAATGCCTTCCTTTTCCTTTTTTTGGTCCTTAGGTTCTGAGTTACTTTCACCATCAAAAGAAAGTTCGGCAGGGAGTGGAAGAGATGCTTTATAGATTATATAAGCCCATCCTTTGGAGAGGATTAAAGGTATACATTTCAAATAGTTTATCCGTGTTTGGAATGTACTACTTGTGCTTTTGAATTTAGCAAACTCTAAGTCCAAATTACAATAAAATAGTAAAGATAAGGCTGAAGACTGAATGCTTTCTGAAATTTTTGAACAAATGTTTTTTTCTTTTATTAAAAGCATTTCTTGGTTTCATTTAACTGGAAATCTGGATTGGTTTAGTGCTAACTACACAGTTATTTTTAAGTAACCATGTTTAGGGAAGGAGATTAGAGGCATGCCGTAAAGCAAACCAGCTGAGGCTGTGGGTGGTTTGCCGCGCTGGCCTGGGCTGTCCAGGGCTGTCCAGATCCTTGAGATCTAACAAACACACAATAACTTTCAGTGCAGACAACCTGGTATCTTTAGTGAGGATGTGGGGTGACCACTTCTTAGTGACATGAAGTGGGCTTTGAAGTGAGGAAGCTTTATCTTTTCATAGTATCTGTTGACATTGAACTGAGCAATGTTTGGTCAATTTAAACGTTATAATTGTCTGTAATTTGAAAATAAATCTGTATCAAGATAATTAAAGTGTTACTTTGGGAACACTGTACTTAAGCCTTCGTATGTTAACTCTTTGGGATTCTGAGATACTCTTCTTTTATTATTATAGGCCAGAAACTCTGAAGTTCGATCAAATGCTGCATTGTTGTTTGTTGAAGCATTTCCTATTAGGGATCCAAACCTTCATGCTATTGAAATGGATAGTGAAATCCAGAAACAGTTTGAAGAGCTCTATGTACGTACTTCAGGTGGTCAAGCTTCTTACAGATATCAGCTTTGTCCAGGCTGTGGCATGTACTGCTTGTGTGTGTCCCCACCTCCCCTGTAACCGCCAGAGCTCTGCTCCCACATGGCATGGTTTCTAAACCTGGACTGTTCTTCAGAGAGATGCCACTTCTCCCTGGGGCCTTCTATAACAGCGTGGACCTGTGGTGTCTTTTTCTACTTTTGGGACATTTAATTATTTATTACTATGTGTGGTTTTAAACATTTTATGCATATGCCTGTTGTTTCCCCAATGGAGAGGTGGTGTCATATGGTGGGTAAAGCACATGCTCTGGTGTCAGCCCCCTGCTCTCTGGGGTCAGAGTCCACCACTCTCACTTAATAGGTATGTGGCTTTGGGCAAGTCACTTAACTTCTCTGTGTCTTTCTCTGTAAGTGTGATTGCGATATTGCCTATCCTAAAGGTGTTGGGTAGCATAATGAGCAAACACTGGTTATATTTCAGGGCAAGCCTACAAATAATGCCTGTGGCAGGTGATTTTTCAGATGAGGTGCTAGGATGTTAAGATGCGGCATTTATTTCCAAGGAGTATTGTGGATTCTTTTCATCTACTTAGTCTGTATTTCCTAACACAGCTTACTTAAGCAGTGCATACTATCTACTGTCCTAAGTAGTAAAGTTTTAGGAAACAATGACAACAAAGTGCTGTTGTAATGCTGTTGCCTGTGGTGCTTCTGAAGTGCTCCCTTTTTTCTTTTTCTTTTCTAACTTATGGAAAACCTGACATGCAGAAAGTTAAAGTAATAGTATAATAGGCCTGCACAGTGGCTTACGCCTGTAATCCCAGCGCTGTGGGAGGGCAAGGTAGGAGGACTATTTGAGGCCAGGAATTTGAGACCAGTCTGGGCAACATAGTGAGACCTCGTCTCTACAAAAAGTTAAAAACAACAACAACAACAAACAAAAAAACAGCCCGGTGTGGTGGCACACGCCTGTGGTCCCAGCTACTTGGGAGGCTTCAGCCCAGGAGGTCAAGTCTACAGTGAGCCATGATCACACAACTGCACCCCAGCCTGGGTGACAGAGTGAGACCCTGTCTCAAAAAATAAAAAGAAAAAAAAGTGTAATAAATATCTGTATACTTCTTCAAGCACACACACACATCCCTAAATGAAGTCATTAGTATTTTGCTGTGTACATTATGTATATTTATCTACAATTCCTTTTTTTTTTTTTAAAGATTCCTTATTTTTAAATTTTATTTTATTTTATTTTATTTTAGAGACAGAGTCGTGCTCTGTCTCCCAGCCTGGAGTCCAGTGGCGTGATCATCACTCACTGCAGCCTCAAATGGGAGGATCGCTTGAACCCAGGAGGTCAAGGCTACAGTGAACCATGATTATACTACTGCACTCCAGCCTGGGCGATAGAGCGAGACCCTGACTCTTATTTTAAAAAAAGAAAAAAATTTTGTGGACAACAAAATTTTAATCTCATGTAATTTTCACATGCCATAAAATGTTAATTTGTTCATTTTTTCCAACCATTAAGAAATATGAACCATTCTTAGCACTGTGGGCTGTGTAGGAGCAGGTACCAGCTGGGTCTGGCCTGCGGCATTGTTCACCAAAGCTGGCTGAGAGCTCCTGTCCCTGGTGCTGCACCTCTTGAGGCTTTAACTCAACCTTTAGATGGAAATTAGGCTCTATCATGAGGAGACAAAGGAGGTGATCTGATAAATAAGTAAGAGCAGTGGTTATTTCCTGTATCCTCTGTGTACCTTAACTGTTCTCTCATGCTTTTTGCTTTATTGGTATTTCTTAAACCTGAGTAATATGGAGAACCTTTTTTTTTTTTTTAAAATAAAAAAGGGTCTAGGTGCAGTGGTTCACGCCTGTAATCCCAACACTTTGAGAGGCCGAGGAAGAAGGATTGCTTGAGCAATCCTGGGCAACATGGCGAAACCCCATCTATACCAATTAAAAAAAAAATCAGCTGGGCACTGTGGTGCATGCCTATAGTCTCAGCTACTAGGGAGGCTGAGGTGGGAGGATCACTTGAGGCTGGAAGGTCAAGGCTGCAGTGAGCTGACATTGTGCCACTATACTCCAGCCTGGGTGACAGAGCAAGACCCTGTTTCAAAAAAGAAAAGGATTCTTTGAATGTTTTTAAATGAAGGGATGCGACAGAAACAGCATTGCAAGTCATGTGCTGTCATTTTGAGTGCTTCTCTGGTGATGGTGTAATTGCAAACAGGTCTGGACACTGAATCCAGAGAGGATGTGGTTGTAAGGTGATTGTCTGGAATATATTTTTATTATTTTTAAAGATTATTATTGAAAGTAATTAATAGAAAACAAAATGTATAAAAACTTCTGAATCCCAAGGACAGGCCTTCAGATTCCTAAAGTTCTTTTCTGTTTTTTTTTTTTTTTTTTTTTTTGCTTTATTTTTATCATCTTTTTTTCTTCCTATTTGCTTTTTCTTAAATGACTGGTCATCTTTTCCATTCTTATGTTTGGATAAAGGATTGGGTTGGTAAGGTAGTTAGCAGGTGTTCTTCTCTAGTTGTGTAGAGTCATGTCTCAGGTTTGCCTAAATGGGCAGAGTGCAACAGCAGGAGGACTTCCCTTAGTTTCTGTGGAGGAAGAGCAGGCAGGCAGGTGACCCCTCGGTACCCAAGTACAAAGGGCCCTTTCCTTCTGGGTGGCATTGCTCTTCCTTCTTTTGCTTTTCTGGAGGCTTAGAGTTATTGCTGGCTCTTTTTTTGTTCTTCTTTGTCTGTTGCCCAGTATCTCTTCCTGGCAGATGACACACGTGGTTTAGAAACCATTTGTAAGACTTTATCCTGGGGAGCACATCCTTGCCCCTGAACTCCTGCTGGCCTGTATGCCTCATCAGGGGTTGTTTGCAGCCCTTGCCACAAACTCTTCTCTGTAACCTGGGCTCTGGGTTCGGGGCTGATGTGAGCTCTCTGAGGTCACAGCCTCCTGTCTTTAGAGCACCCTTACCTAGGAATGTCTAGGTTACAACCTTTTATGCTCTTTTCTCCATGAATCTATTCCTTATTCCCTCTCTTACAGAAATTTCTCAGTCTTTTTGTTTCTATTATTGCTAATAGAAATTGATCATTTTGGTCAAATTTTGGGGAAGAGATGGGGTAAATGCTTAATTTTAACTTGAAATCTTTTTTTCTAATTAAAGTAGTAAGAATTCTGTTGTGTTTTTCAACGTTTCTAATAGAAAATGTCATGCATAATAAAAAAGAGACTGGAGTAATAACCCCTGTGTGCCCACAACACAGTTTTACTCATTGCTGACTAATCCCAATCTGATTTCTTCTTCCCCTGTCTTGAAACATATTTGGGACATCATATCATTTCAGCTCTAAATGGGTCAGAAGGTATTGATAAAAGATAATTTTTTTTTTAATCATGCCATGATCACAGCTAAAGATAAATTAACGATGATTGCTTAGTGTCTTTGGGTACCCATTCGTTGCTCTCATTTTCTCGTTTTGTTTGAATGTTTCTCTAACTAAGGCCCATGTGCTATGACTAACTGACATGTTGCTTAAGTCTCCTGGACCACGAGCTCTCTTGCCATAATCTTTTTGTGTTTTGTTTTCTTAAAACTTGCTGTTTTTGTTGTCATTGAAGAAGCCAAATTATTCTATGACGTTTCCAGCAGTCTGGATTTTATAGAACCCATTCCTGTGATGCCATTAGTGTGTCCCTCTGCCCTTTGTGTTTCCTATAAATTGGTAGTTAAATGAGAGAGTTGATCCGATTCATGTATTTGGGATTTTGTTTCGTGAGATTATTTCCCTGTTGATGTCGAATACTCCCATCGGGGTACTTATTGCCTCATTGTCTGTTTTTGAATTTTTAGTACCACTGACGATCATGGCCTGGATTAGTTCATTACAAGTAGAATTATTTTATTCTGGGCTCTAAAATGCATTACAGCATTTTAGAATTCAAAAGCGTGGTGTACGTGGGCCATGCCTAATCTGAACACCTGCCATGGTCAGCTGAGTGTGCAGGTCTCACTGAATGACAGAGCTGGTTTTGAGGCCCTGCTGTCAGGGGATGTGGCACATGAGGCACCCCATGTTTCTGGCTTGATCTTAAATACTCTGCTTTAGAAGCGATAGCAAGTAATCTCAGGTCTAGGAATCCATATGTGTCCAGTATTTCTATGCTCAAAGTTTCTCTAAGTTACGAATCCCTGAAGTGCTCACGTGTGAAGCAGATGTGGATTTCGGGAAATAAGTCAAGGTTTTTAAGCCTTTCTCCCCTCCTACTTATAGAGCCTTTTAGAAGATCCTTACCCGATGGTCCGTTCCACAGGGATCCTTGGTGTTTGTAAAATAACTTCTAAGTACTGGGAAATGATGCCCCCGACCATTCTTATTGACCTCCTGAAGAAGGTGACTGGGGAACTGGCATTTGACACGAGCTCAGCTGATGTTCGTTGTTCTGTCTTTAAGGTAAGATTTTTTAAATTATGTAAGTAATGTTTATTTGTTGTAGAATAATTAGAAAAACAGGAAAAGAAAAAGATTAAAATAATACCTGTAATCCTACTCCACAAAGATAACATTTTTGACCTGTCATATATCCAAAGTAAGGTTTTTAAAAACCAAATTCAAAGTGTTTTCTACAAAAAATGATGACTTGAACTAATAGTAGTTTTTAGTGTAAGGGGGGAAGGGGTCCCAGTACTGTTGAATTTATTCTCTTTTGTCTCTTTGTGTAATGTCTTGGAGAAATATGCTTTGCATAGAATCTTGTACATATAATATATTTGGATTCACTTAAGTAATTTTTTAGTATCTCCCACCTATCACCAACACCAATTGTAGCTCAAACCTTGCAAGAAGAACTCACATTTTATTTTCTAAGCAACCTGAACTGTCTTCAGGTTTATAGAAATTGTAATATGTATGTTAGATGGTAGTGGGGTGGCCACTGATCTTTTTTCCCCCTGACTTTGGTGAGAAAATGTGAAACGGCCAGGTGTGGAATGAACCAGAGGGAGGGGGCTACCCAGGCTGCAAAAGCAAATGCTCTTGGAGAGAGGGTTTGGAGAATCTGTAAAGCTCTCAGAGAGGCCAATTCAGAGAATTTCTTGAGGTACTGTGAGATGACCTAAGAAGAACTGATCTCACTTTCCTGCTACTGGAATCAACTGTTTAGAAGCTCTGACTCCCCTGAGCACAAAGCAGGTGACTTCCTCTTCTCTCAGGTGCAAAACAGACATTTTCAGAGCAGCTCTTGGGCCTCACGGCCATGCCCTAGTGGGAGCTTCTGTGGATCTTCCTCCCCACTTCTCAGGAACCTGCTTGCTTATTTTCTGTATTGGAAAAGTTTTCTGGGCTAGGTGCAGTGGCTCACACCTGTAATCCCAGCACTTTGGGAGGCCAAGACAGGTGGATTGCTTGAGTTCACGAGCTCGAGACCAGCCTGAGCGGAGTGGTGAAACCCTGTCTCTACAAAAAGTACAAAAAAAAGTAGCTGGGCATGGTGGTGTGTACCTGTAGTCCCAGCTACTTGAGAGGCAGAGGTGGGAGGATGGCTTGAGCGTGGGAAGCAGAGGTTGCAGTGAGCCAAGATTGTGCCACTGCACTCCAGCTTGGGTGATAGAGCCAGACCTTGTCTCAAAAAAAAAAAAAAAATTTTTTTTTTTCTGTGCATATTCAACCTCTCCCTCTCAGCAGTGTCCTTCCTATAGGTTTGTAAGCATGTTCGCATCTCCATCCGAGGCAGAGGCTCCCCCATTTCTCCTCATTGCAGAGAAAGATATTCTGAGGAGCATGTCTGTGTTTGTTGAGTGATCAGACATTTGGGCTCATGCCTGTTGCTCTGCAGTAATTGTTAGGAGCAACCTTCTTACTCTCAAAAGAGTCTTAGTTTAGTGGTCACCTAAATAGTCTATCTCCATTTCCTGCAACTCCCCAGTCTACTATAAAGCGTCTTCTATGTCCACTACTCCAGTAAAGCATTTCTAGCCAAGGTGAATTTCACATGACCACTTCTCTAGACTTTTTTGACCTCTGAGCAGAATTCATTCCTACACCATTCCCTTGTCCCTCTGGATGTTGTGGTAAAACCTCAGTCCCTCTTCTTCCTCCTGGTCTTTGGTTGAATACTCTTACTCTTCAAGTGCTGGCTGAGGAGCCAGGGAGCCGTGCGCCTCTTGCACTGTGACGGGCTCCCCCTGGCTATCCGGTTTCCAGCCTTGCTCTGACTGTGGTTTGCATGCGGCTGGTCCCAGTTTACAGACAAGCGTCTTCTTTGAGAGCTCTGCTCAGGTGACCAGCAGGTAGCTCTGAGATTCAGACTATCCACAGCATGCAGATTAGGAAGTGCTCCTGGGGTGCACACCTGTGTAAGGGAAGGGACATTAAGCCGTGACACAGCCTGGGAAAGCCTCGTGCAGACCCACAGGCAGCTCTGGAGCCAGCAGAGCCCTTCAGACTGGGCCCATGCTGATTCACTATTGCACACTGGCTGCCCGGGAAGAAGAAGGCATTTTCTTCAGGAGGCCATCCCCAAGCATGCTGATGGCGAGGGCAGCTCAGCAGCCCCAGGACAGCTGGGGTGAGTGCTTCATTTCTGATGGGGCCTTGGTTGTACGTCATAGCAACCACCCTGTCTCCACTGCTGAGTTGATGACCATCTTTTCCAAACCTGCTGCCATCCAAGAGTTTTATTTATTTTCCTCTCTCCCCCTTGCTCCTCTTTCTCCTTGAAGTGATGATGCCATCTGCTGAGTCACTCACTTGCGTGCTGTTCTTGCTTCTTCCTCCTTCACCCAAGTCCTGTCTTTCCCTTCCTGGTGTCTGAGGTTCACCTGCTCCTTCCTGTTGCTGTCATCCAAAGTGGCTGCAGCTCCCTGGCCGGTCTTCTCTTGGTCCTGACCTTCTGACCACCGTCTGGTGCTTTCATGCTTCTGAGGAAACCCTTGCAGGGCCACTCTGAGATGCCTCCCTTGCCCAGATGGGTCATCTGTGAGGAGGGATGAGTGGGCTCTGGAGTAGAGGAAGAGTCAGCAGAGAATCTACAGAAGAAAGACCAGAGAAGTTGAAGGAGAATTAGGAGAACACAGTGTTATGGCAGGGGCTACAGGGGCTGTGGGATTGGGGGAACTGGCAAGGTAGGTGGTGGCCGGTGGCCGGTGTCCAGTGGGAGGGCAGGATCAAGAGGAGGCTGTGGACACAGGTGGAGCAGATGATTCAAATCAGTCTGCCCTTGAGTGCTTTGGAAGAAGAGCTGTATATACTTGAAATTTTTTGAAAAAATTATCGTCATTAAAATATATGTGGCCAGGCATGATGGCTCACGCCTGTAGTCCCAGCACTTTGGGAGGCCGAGGCGGGCAGATCACGAGGTCAGGAGATCGAGACCATCCTGGCTAACAAGGTAAAACCCCGTCTCTACTAAAAATACAAAAATTAGCCAGGCGTGGTGGCGGGCGCCTGTAGTCTCAGCTACTTGGGGGGCTGAGGCAGGAGAATGGCATGAACCCGGGAGGCAGAGCTTGCAGTGAACCAAGATTGTGCCCCTGCACTCCAGCCTGGGCAACGGAGTGAGACTCCGTCTCAAAAAAAAAAAAAAAAAAAAAAAAAAAAAAAATATATATATATATATATATATATATATATATATATACACACACACACACATGTGTTTGGAATACCGTATATACTTTTAATAAAAACCTGTGAAAATGTCCTTTCTCCTGAAACTAGATGGAGAAGGCAGTAGAGCTTAAGCAGTGCTGGAGTTTGGGGGCCCAGACTGAGCCTTGGCCTGTGGAGGAGTGCCACCTGCTACGTGGCCACTGTAGTCAGCCGAGAGTGCGTTCGAGTCACACACGCTGGCTCTGTTCCCTCCAATCCTCATGCAGTATCGAGTCAGGAAATGCAGAGTTCTTGGACTTGGTGCCTTTGGAGACCATGTGACCAGTAGTTATTCTGTGTTTCTTTCAACTCAAAAATTCTCTAAAATTTAGCTGAGAGAGAGCATTAAAGATTTCTTTTATAATTGCTTTAATCTTATTTGAACAAAACAATGGATGGACCAAATAGCAGTGGTTGGACCTATACTGGTTCATTAAAAGTATGCCTTTTATATGAAATAGTTCTAGAAAAAGTGGTATTTTCCATAGGTATATTTATTTCACTAGTAGTTCTAATAAAGATGGAACCGAATGTTTTCTTTAATGAAGTTTTCCTACCTGAACCTTTCATTGGCATGTTCTGATTTTGAATTGTTTATCTTTCTCTCTGTTGCAGTGTCTGCCAATGATTTTGGACAACAAACTGAGCCACCCATTGTTAGAGCAGCTCCTTCCAGCTCTCAGATACAGTCTCCACGACAATTCGGAGAAAGTGAGGGTAGCTTTTGTGGACATGCTGTTGAAGATCAAAGCTGTGAGGGCTGCTAAGGTAGGATGAATAGGGCTTTTTTACTTATGACATGAAATAGGGACATGTGTTCATCAAACAGAAAGAAAGTAGTTTTAATTCCACATTTTAAACTGATAACTGATATGATTTGACCAGTTATCTCTGTCAAAAATGTTATTTTGTGTTTTTCATCAAAGGTTCTAGAAATATTATCAATGTGTTTTCTTTCTGAAAGACATTAATGTAAGCACCCCTGCCTTCCATTGTATTTTCGTCATGTATGAAGGTTTTCAGTGAGATATTTGGTGTAATATTTGGATACTTGGCACCTGGTGAGCACTTCTGGAGAGTGTCTAGTATGAGCCACCCCCCACCCCCACCCCCCTGCCCCACACAGAGTGAAGGAGGGAGACACCTGCTTTATGAGGAGAGTGTCTAGTATGAGCCACCCCCCACCCCCACCCCCCTGCCCCACACAGAGTGAAGGAGGGAGACACCCACTTTATGAGAGATGTGCGTTTTGATGTTTTATAAACTACTGAAGTGATTGTTCTCTTTCAGCTCTAGTTCTCTTCAGCTTTTTGCCAAGAATATTGCTTATAATGTTCTTGACTTCATTATTATTTGGTACCATTGTGAACTTTCTCCACACAGTAGCTTCTCAGAAATTTACTTTGAGTGCTGTTCTGCTATGGCACAGGATCCAGAAACAGACTGATAACGCCAGAGTGTAGGGTCAGCCAGACAGATTTGTGTATTCATAAGAGAAGTGGTGCCGTGTGGCCATGAAAAGAACAAGGAGGAACTTTTTGTCGGGCTTCCTTGGAAAGGCCTCTAAGATATGGAAGTATAAAAGCATAGTGTAGATGTGGTCCTGGTGTGCTACCAGCTGAATAAAATGGAGACATATATATAAGTAAATATTGCTCAGATATGGGTAAAATATCCTTTGAAGAGAACGAGAATTTAGTGTCAGTTGCTTAGGGTGATGAGGTGAGGGGGAGACAGGGTCCCACTCTGATGCCCAGGCTAGAGTGCTGGGGTGTGATCTTGGTTCACTGCAACCTCAAGCCATCATCCCTCCTGAGCCTCCCAAGTGGCTAGGACCACAGGAGTGTGCCACCATGTCTGGCTGATTTTTGTAGTTTTTGTAGGGATGAGGTTTCCCCATGTTGCCCAGGCTGGTCTCAAACTCCTGGGCTCAAGCGATCTGCCCACCTTGGCCTCCCAAAGTGCTGGGATTACAGGTGTGAGCCACCGTGCCCAGCCAATGATGGGGATCTTGTCACTGAATGTAGTACATATTACGTTGTGTGTTTTGAGTTTTGATCTGTGAATTTTTTTATATTAGAAGAAAACAAAGGATATTTTGAGTGACCAATGTAGTATTAACACCCAATGTCATATGCAATTGAGTTACTTTGATGCTTTTGTTGAAAATCATTGACCATGTGTGTGGTCCTTTTCTGGACTCTGTCCTGTTGTGTTGATCCGTTTATTCTGTGTGGATCTTACAGTAAGTCTTGCAGTGTGCATTCTCCAGCTTTGCTGTTCTTCCAGAATTCTTTGGCTACTTCAGGTCTTTTGCATTTCATATAAACTTTAGAGTAACAGCCGGGTGAGGTGGCTAACACCTGTAATCCCAGCACTTTGGGAAGCTGAGGTGGGAGGATCACTTAAGCTCAGAAGTGTGAGACCAGCCTGGGCAACATAGTGAGACCTTATCTCTTAAAAAAATGTAGAGTAAGCATGTCAATTTTTTTTTTTTTTTTTTTTTTTTTTTTGAGACAGAGTCTCGCTCTGTCACCCAGGCTGGGGTGCAATGGCACAATCTTGCCTTACTGCAACCTCCGCCTCCCAGCTTCAAGTGATTCTCCTGCCTCAGCCTCCTGAGTAGCTGGGACTACAGGCACGTGCCACCATGCCCGGCGAATTTTTTTTTTTTAAATTTTAGTAGAGATGGGGTTTCACCATGTTGGCCAGGCTGGTCTCGAACTCCTGACCTCAGGGGATCCACCTGTTTTGGCCTCCCAAAGTGCTGGGATTATGGGCGTGAGCCACTGCGCCCGGCCAAGCATGTCAATTTCAATAAAAATACTGGCTGCAATTTTGATGGCATTTTTTAAAACAGCCTGTTAAAACTGTAGTTCTGTGCTTTTACACTGTTGGTGGGAGTGTAAATTAGTTCAACCATTGTGGAAGACAGTGTGGCAATTCTTCAGAGACCTAGAGGCAGAAATACCATTTGACCCAGGAATCCCATTACTGGGTATATACCTAAAGGAATATAAATCATTTTATTATAAAGATATATGTTTGCGTATGTTCATTGAAGCACTATTCACAATAGCAAAGACATGGAACCAACCTAAATGCCCTTCGATGATAGACTGGATAAAGAAAATGTGGTACATATATACTATGGAATACTATGCCGCCATAAAAAGGAACGAGATCATGTTCTTTGCAGGGAATGGATGGAGCTGGAAGCTATTATCCTCAGCAAACAAACGCAGGAACAGAAAACAAAATACCGCATGTTCTCACTTATAAATGAGAGCTAAATGATGAGAACACGTGGACACATGGTGGGGAACAACACATACTGGGGCCTGTTGGAGGGTGGAGGGTAGGAGAAGGGAGAGCATCAGGAATAATGGCTAATGGATGCTGGGCTTGATACCTAGGTAATGGGATGATCTGTGCAGCAAACCACCATGGCACATGTCTACCAATTTAACAAACCTGCACATCCTGCATTTGTACCCCTGAACTTAAAAGTTGGACCAAAAAACCCAGAAAACAAAGTAGACTTTAAGGCAATTATTGGAGAAAACTTTTTGTGAATATTTTTACTTTTTTTGTTTTAATTTTTTATTTTGAATTTTCAAACATATATAAAAGCAGAGAGACTAATATAGTGAATTAGATACACCCATCACCCAGCTTCAACAATTATTGCTATGTCCGATCTTGTTTTATCTAAACTGTATCCAGGCCACACTGCCGGACTATTTTGAAATAAATTCCAGACATCATATTGTTTTCTTTGTATTTCAGAATGTATCTCTAAAAGATAAGCACTTAAAACCACTCTACCATTATTTTATAAAAAAAGAATAACTCTTCAGTAAAACAAAACAGAAAACAGTAATAGGTAAGGAGGGCGGAGGGACCCAGTAGTGGGTAAGGAGGGCGGAGGGACCCAGTTGTGGGTAAGGGAGGGCGGAGGGACCCAGTAGTGGGTAAGGGAGGGCCTAGGGACACAAGGTAGGTAAGGAGGGCAGAGGGACCCAGTAGTGGGTAAGGAGGGCAGAGGGACCCAGTAGTGGGTAAGGGGGGGCGGAGGGACCCAGGGTCGGTAAGGAAGGCGGAGGGACCCAGTAGTGGGTAAGAGGGTGGAGGGCCAGAGGGTAGGTAAGGAGGGCGGAGGGACCCAGTAGTGGGTAAGGAGGGCGGAGGGACCCAGTAGTGGGTAAGGAGGGCGGAGGGACCCAGTAGTGGGTAAGGGAGGGCGGAGGGACCCAGTAGTGGGTAAGGAGGGCGGAGGGACCCAGTAGTGGGTAAGGAAGGCGGAGGGACCCAGTAGTGGGTAAGAGGGTGGAGGGCCAGAGGGTAGGTAAGGAGGGCGGAGGGACCCAGTAGTGGGTAAGGAGGGCGGAGGGACCCAGTAGTGGGTAAGGAGGGCGGAGGGACCCAGTAGTGGGTAAGGGAGGGCGGAGGGACCCAGTAGTGGGTAAGGAGGGCGGAGGGACCCAGTAGTGGGTAAGGGAGGGCGGAGGGACCCAGTAGTGGGTAAGGGAGGGCGGAGGGCCACAGGGTAGGTAAGGAGGGCGGAGGGACCCAGTAGTGGGTAAGGCGGGCGGAGGGACCCAGTAGTGGGTAAGGAAGGCGGAGGGACCCAGTAGTGGGTAAGAGGGTGGAGGGCCACAGGGTAGGTAAGGAGGGCGGAGGGACCCAGTAGTGGGTAAGGGAGGGCGGAGGGACCCAGTAGTGGGTAAGCGGGTGGAGGGCCACAGGGTAGGTAAGGAGGGCGGAGGGACCCAGTAGTGGGTAAGGCGGGCGGAGGGACCCAGTAGTGGGTAAGGCGGGCGGAGGGACCCAGTAGTGGGTAAGGAGGGCGGAGGGACCCAGTAGTGGGTAAGGAGGGCGGAGGGACCCAGTAGTGGGTAAGGGGGGGCGGAGGGATCCGGTAGTGGCTAAGGAGCGGAGGGACACAGTAGCGGAGGGACACAGTAGCGGCTAAGGGTGGAGGAGGGACACAGGGTCTCTGAGGGAGGCGGAGGGACACAGGGTCTCTGGCCCACCAGGAAGTTTGGGCGCCAGAGCAGAGGAAGAAGGCAGAACGTTTGCGTTTCAGTCCTTATCTTTGCAAGTGCAAGGCAGACAGCCATTTGGTTGTGAGGTGTCTGGAAAGGTTTGTGACGAGCATGCAAGCTAATTTCCCTTGAAAGTTAAGGTTACAGAATGACATGAGTATAAGAGGCAGTCTGGCTGGCCAGAGGACAGCTGTTGGAGCTGACGGGAGGGCATTGTCTATGGGCAGGAACAACCTGGCACATGAAGCCAGGCTGCCGGGCCTGGCGTGCACACCTCAGTAATGGGTGTGCTGGCCCAGTGGAGGGTCTTGTACATGCAGCTCTAGAAGGATTGAGAGTTATACTTTCTCTTTGTTTCCTTTGTCAGCTGTGGTAGGCCTGGGCTGCTGGGCTGAGCCCAGTGGGCCAGGAGATGTCAACCCTCTCCCTTCAATGCATTGTCTTCTTTTTATTTTATTTATTTATTTTTTTTTGAGACAGGGTTTCCCTGTGTTGCCCAGGGTGGCGTCAAAATCCTGGCCTCAAGCGATCCTCCTGCCTTGGTCTCCTGAGTTGCTGGGACTACAGGCGGGAGCCACTGTGCCCAGCCAATAAGTCTACTTCTATTTCTTCAGCAGTGTGTGGCCCGTGCAGCTCTGATCTGTGCATTTGTGTGATAATGAAAGGCAGCGTGGCAGACTAGATAAAAGTGCTATGATCTTGTACTTAATCACTCTAAGCCTGCTTCTTACCTTTAAAGTGGGAATACTAATATCTATGCTGGGGGTGGTTTCAAAAATACAGTAAATAGTGGCTCAGGCACTTGGTTCTGTGCTTGACATCCTCAGGCATTTCCAGACAGGTTGGTTGCCAACAGCACTGTCACCTGCAGGCCCGCTGGTGCAGTGTTCAGGGCTTGATACCTCGCTGTCAGAAGTAACCACCCGTTGGGGCTGGAGCCTGTGGCCAGGAGGCTTTCGTGTGTTGGGACAGGCAGAAGGGGCTCAGGATGGAGGTGGACAGTTGTTCTCTGGTCAGAATATGAGTCCTAGTATTTTTCTCTTTCTTGTCCTCTTAAACCGTGACAGCACAGCCTCTCACCCTTAGGTAAGAAATCTCCAGTCCCTTAATTTCCAAGGCTTCAGTCAGGTTTGGCAGAAGATTCTTGTCCCTGTGGCTGTAGGTGAGAGCTGGGAACCTTGGCCCTGTCCACTGTCCTGTGGCTGCTTGAAGTACTGGGGTTGCTCTGTCTTTCCAATGCTAGAATGTGAGTAAACTGCCCCGTGTGGGATTTGGGCTTATTGTCCTTACTACAGTAACTTTTTCAGAAATACCAAGAAGTGCCTGAGTGGAAGTATCCCCGGGGCGCTTCAGGAGGTAGTAATGACAGTGTCAGATGCTGCAGATTTTGTCTGAGTTGAGGGCGTTCATATGTCTATTTGAATTTGCAGTATGAGATCATGACCTTGGCAAGAACAACTTCAGTGAGGGTGGACTGCATTGTCAATGGGGTTGGGAGGTGAGATATGGAGGTGGAGGTGGGATGCAGGCACACTTAGGAGCAGGTCGACTGACAAGGGGGAGGGAAGGTGGGAACCAGGAGATGGGAACCTCAGGTTGAGTTTTGTGTGTGGGTTTTTGTTCTAAGAGTTGGAATGATGTAAAGAAGAAAGATCCAATTGAAAATACTAGAAAGAAGGATTGGTCCTTGGAGCAAGGTTCTTGAGAAAAATGCAAGGTCGAGGGTTTCGCTCACCATGCAGGTGAGGAGCCCGAGGCAGGGCTTGATGTGGTGCCATTCAATTTTGCTTTGTCATGTTCTGCATTTTTCTTTTGTCTTGGATTTCTTGTGCAGAAGATTGGTGCTTGCTTTCTGTAGGTAGTTCGAATGCTTTTGAGAAGAGGGACGCTATCACTATGATCAGTTCTGATTTTTGCAGGTTGTCTGGAGGCTGCATGTGAGATGGGTGCGGGGAGATGAGACTAGGCTGTGGGCGTCCATGATGATCTGGGCAGGCTTGTGTCAGAGAAGGAGTCAACTGTGGATGGGACAGGCAGCCCCAGGGATTCAGGAGTGATGCCCCAGCCTCTTAGATAGGAGATGGAGTGTCCACGTCAAAAACGTTGTATATATTTTTACTCACTTTTCACATTAATGGGCCAAAAGTTAAGGTACTTTAAGAAATTAAAAAATATTAATTGACAATCATAGCTATCATTGGAGAGTTTACTGTATGTTAATCATGGTGTTAAGTAATTTTAATTAAACCTCTTAGCACCCTAATACTTGGGTGCCTTATATAACAGTACTTTTAAAAATATAGATTTATTAATTCTAATTTCTCTACAGAAAGTCACAGATTTTGGTGTAGTCATTCGAAGTGAATTTTTTTAAATATAAAAATTAGTTCCTTTTTTGGTTGTGCTTGAAATTTTTCTTAAGCTGTTTCCAGGGTTACAGGCACAATTGATTATTTCCTTCTGCATATGTGCTTTTTGCACAGTTTTGGAAAATATGTCCCATGGAGCACATTCTGGTTCGTCTGGAAACTGATTCTCGACCTGTGTCTCGGCGCCTGGTGAGCCTCATCTTTAATTCTTTCCTGCCTGTGAATCAGCCGGAGGAGGTCTGGTGCGAGCGCTGTGTCACCCTGGTGCAGATGAACCACGCCGCTGCCAGGAGGTTCTATCAGTACGCCCACGAACACACCGCCTGCACCAACATAGGTAGGGAGTGCTGTTATTTCTCAGTTCTTGTTATGTTTTCCCCCAAAAGCATAATACAAATTACAGAGTTCAGTATTTGTCAATTTAATAAGCTTCATACTTTAATGCATTTCTGAATGATTTCCCTTAAAATAGTACTTTTGACTAATTGGGATTATAATTTCACTATCAGATAGTTAATTTTGTAGAAGAAACACATCCATTAATTCTTGTTTATCCTAAACATTTCAGCAAAGCTGATTCACGTTATTCGTCATTGCTTAAATGCCTGTATCCAGAGGGCAGTGAGAGAGCCTCCAGAGGACGAGGAGGAAGAGGACGGAAGGGAGAAGGAGAATGTGACTGTGAGTAGAACAGGGCCAGGCCGGGCAGATAGTGCCTCAGTGGCATCACTCCCATGGGCCATTATGTTAGGAATATTCCTATGTTTTCTTTGTTCCTTTAGTATTGTTAATTAAACAAGTTATTTTGGAAGGTCATAAATAACATTTGTGAAAGAATTGCTATATGTCCTTTGTAGTTCATTTTGGAGCTCAGGTAGGACTTAATACAGAAGAAAAATTCTTACCAGTCACATCTTGTCCCAGATTTTCTTTACCTTAAATGTCTCTGTATTTCAGTTCAATCCTGGATGTAGCATGGCTGGATTGGATTCTGGGTACTCCCATATTTTTGAAAGTATAATTTATTAAAGGGACAATTTCTTCAGAATCCAAAGCAACCAATTATATTAGAAGAAAATAACGTTTAAGACTTAGACAAACTTGTTACTTATAAGCATTATCTTAAGCTTCTAAACTCCTGTGCTTGTGGACGTCTAAAGTAAGATTTTGGGGTCATTTTGCAATGCCCACTACATTAAGAAACTAGACTTTAAAAGGAAATCACAAAACACAGTTTGCCCTGTGCTGAGGCACAGTGTTGGTGTGCTCCCCTAACAGCTGGTCCTGAGCCAAGTGCTTCTGGGTCTGACCCCACTGTGTCCTTCCTAGCAGGGGCAGCAGATGGCTCACCCAGGCCCTGCTCATGCCCCATGGTGCTTTCTCCTCCATCTCCCACCACACCGTGATGGGCCACCAGCCCAGCCCCTCAGTCAGTTATGCTGGGTTGAAATTGTTCAGAAGGCACTTACCAAAAACATACAGGAAATAGATGTGGAATAGAGAGAAGAGTTCAGTGAGAGTGAGAGCCACTTCCGTCTTCACAGCCGTTGGGCAGGCCACCTCCCTGGGCTCACTACACCCTCACTGCCAGTGTTCAGAGCTTCAGAGCTGGTTCTGCTCTTGGTCGGTGGAGTTTGAGTTTCTTCTCTCAGGGCTTCTCCCTCAGTATACGTTAGAGTTGCGTGACAGGCCTCGACAGCAGGGATTGTTGGTGGGTCTGGCTGTGTGTCTGTGCTGGTGAGTGGGCATGTCCGCTTACTGGCATGCAGCCACAATGCACTTACGTGTGGCTTGCCGCGTTGACAGCGTGGGACTGCTGGCTCTGGGTAGAAGAGGAATTTGTTAGAGTGTGTTTGTAGTTTACAGTGAACAGGTGAGTACTGTGCACTATCAGCATATGTTCAGGAAAGTGTAAGTAGGTCTATTTATTTTAAAACAAACTAAAGAAGCCCATGATCATAGTCATTATTCCAGCCTCTCAGGCTGTGTTCTGCCTGCCTGTAGGGTGGAGTTGGCCAACCAGAGACTGTGTCCTTTCTGTGACCTGATAGGCTGGGTTTTGGCGGCTGAGTTTCAGTAGCAGTCACCTTGGAGGAAAGCAGCCTTCACCATTCCCCTCCCCCTGCATCGAGATTTGTGGTGAAAAGTGATGTCTTTTAATAAAACAGAAGATACAGTGAAAGAAAAGGCATGTTTTTTAATAGGGTGTTATGTTCCCAGATGGAGACAATAGTTGATACGTTTTCCTTTTTAGAGGAGTTTTCTTCATGTAAACTGTTTCTTTAAAGGATGTAGAGTCAGTTTGGAATTTATATCGTGGTGGGCATTTAAAAATAAATTTACCTCCCTAGAAGATTCTAAAGTGGAGAGTAGAAGACGTGAAAGTAAGACGGATGTTCTCTACATTTTTGCTTTAGAGCTCTAATTCTGAGATGCTGTTACCTTTTAGTAGTTGCTATGATTAGATCCTTTCACAATAAAATTATTTTTATCTTAGGTTCTGGACAAAACACTGTCAGTAAACGATGTTGCATGCATGGCAGGTTTACTAGAAATCATTGTGATTCTCTGGAAAAGTATTGACAGAAGTATGGAAAATAATAAAGAGGCCAAACTTTACACGATTAACAAGTTTGCCTCTGTGCTTCCAGAGTATCTGAAAGTATTTAAGGTAAGTCTTGAACTATACTTGTAAGCAAGGTATATTAAGGTTACGTTTGTTTAGAATTTAACAAAAGTTCTCAAACATGTTTACCTCCCTGGATCTGTGTTCTCATCTGTAAAATGAGAGGGTTGGATTAGTGTTTACCTTGCAGTATAGTTTCTTTCTGTTGCCCCTCTTGAGGGTGGAGATCTTGTGTCTCTGTCTGCTTCCATATCCTCAGCACCCAGAGAAACGTCTTGGGTAAGCACATGATTCTTCTGCCTCCGATGGTCAGCGACATTATTTCAGAATCTAATTTGATTTGCAGGGGTTTAAGAAAGAGTTTCGTGAACATGGAGGTACAGTAGTACTCAAGTTCTGTGGGCAGTTAGGTACCCGAAGGCACCCAGTAAGCAAATATGTCCCTGAAGTATTTGAGTTGTGTGTGTTGTTGGGGCAAACAGTTGTGTGTGTGATTTCTTTTTTAAAAAAATTTATTTTGAATTGACAAAAGTTGTATATACTTTATTGTGTTCAACATGATGTTTTGAAATATGTACACATTGTGGAATGGCCAAATCGAGCCTCACATACTTACCATTTCTGTGGCGAGAATGCTTAAAATCTGCTCGCGGTGATTTTCAAGAATATATTGTATTGTTATTAACTGGAGTCACCATGTTATAGGATAGATCTTTTGAACTTACTCCTCTGATCTAACTGCAATTTTGAATCCTTTAGCTAACCCTTCCCACCCCCACCACTCTTCTCTGTGCGTGATTTCTATTTGCATGCAGGACCTTCTCATTCCTTGACTTTTTACTTCTGAAGGAAGTTTATATTTCAAAACTAAATTTAAAAATAGGCCAACAGCATGTAAAAATGCAAATATATTCTTAACTCTGAAGAAAGTGTGGTTTAAATATAGAAAGATCGTAGGTCTTATGAACCACATTTCTCTTCCTAAATGTTACTCTTGCCTCTTTTTCTACCTACTTATGTGACTTTGGACCATGTAGCTTTTCTAACCCTTTCAAGGCCCTGAGCTTCATTCTGCCTCTGACGTGAAAGCATGGCCTGTCTGCCTCTGACGTGAAAGCAGATTGTATTAGTTGCCAAAATTGTATTAGTCTGTTTTCATGCTGCTGATAAAGACATACCTGAGACTGGGTAATTTATGAAGAAAAAGAGGTTTAATGGACTCACAGTTCCATATGGCTGGGGAAGCCTCACAGTCATGACGGAAGGCAAAAGGCACGTCTTACATGGTGGCAGGCAGAGAGAAAATGAGAGCCAAGCACAAAGGGAAACCCCTTAGAGAACCATCAGATCTCGTGAGACTTACTACCATAAGAACAGTATGGGAGAAACCACCCCTAGGATTCAGTTACCTACCACCGTGTCCCTCCCGTAACACGTGGGAATTATGGGAGCTACAATTCAGGAGGACATTTGGGTGGGGACACAGCCAAACCATAATTTACCAGTAAATGGTAAAGCTCATTAGCTGGGCATGGTGGTTCACACCTGTAATCCCAGCACTTTTCGAGGCCAAAGCAGGAGGATTGCTTCAGGCTGGGAGTTTGAGACTAGCCTGGGCAACATAGTGAGACCTCGTTTCTACAAAATTTAAAAAATTAGCTGGGCTTGATGGCCTGTGCCTTTTGGTCCCAGCTATGCAGGAGGCTGAGGCAGGATTGCTTGAGCCCAGAGTTTGAGACTACAGTGAACTGTGATCATACTACTGCACTCACTCCAGCCCTGGCAACAGAGTGAGACCCTGCCTCTTTTAAAAAAAAAAAAAAAAAAAAAAAAAAAAGAAAGCTGAAATAATGACCTGGGACTGAGAAACCAGCATTATTTCAGAATATGAACAGAAGCCCATATAGGACACCAGGTAGGTTGGCGGACAGGGCAGTTGTGGCCTTGGGGTATTTGAAACCCTTAGAGGGTCTTGGGATTCAGTTAATTCTGAGTATGTCTATAAGAAGTCTCTCCACCACTAAGGAAAATTGCTTCCTTCTCTAAGTAAAGAGATGATGGGTGAGCCACACAGATGGAATTGGCCATCATTATCAGTATACTTGTAACATTAACGAGATATTTTCTTTTTTTTTTTTTTTCTCGCTCTGTCGCCCAGGCTGGAGTGCAGTGGAGTGATCTTGGCTGCAAGCCTCGCCTCCCGGGTTCACGCCATTTTCCTGCCTCAGCCTCCCGAGTAGCTGGGACTACAGGCGCCTGCCACCATTCGTGGCTAATATTTTTGTATTTTTAGTAGAGACGTGGTTTCACCGTGTTAGCCAGGGTGGTCTCGATCTCCTGACCTCATGATCCGCCTGCCTCGGCCTCCCAAAGTGCTGGGATTACAGGCGTGAGCCACCGTGCCCAGCCATTAACAAGACATTTTCTTCCCATATTGTTAGTTGGGGGTAAGGATGGGTCACTGTGAATGCAAATTAATTCCTAATCAAATTTTGATTTTGGTTTGTTTCTGTTTCATATGTATTTTCAGGAAAATTATTATTATTATCATTATTTTAGGATTCACCATGTCCTCATTCTCCCAGCCAAGAATATCTCTTATTGAGTGTTCTTGAGGAAGGGTGGATGTACCCCCTTTTACTTATTGTTTTAGTAATAATAATTTAGCTGCAATTTACTAAGCACTGAGGACACTCTAAATACTGTACTGGGATTCTGTGTGGTGTAGTTCACTTTGGTTCTTCCAACAGTCCTGTGTTCCTTTTGCAAAGGGAGAAACTGACTCTGAGAGCTTAACTCCTCTCCTCTGTGCTATGTCAGCTGTTGGGCTACAGAATCTGATTGGGTCTAGATTTGGTTCAGTAGCCTCAAAGCTTACTTTTTTTTTTCTTCTTTTTTTTTTTTTTTTTGAGATGGAGTCTTGCTCTTGTCACCCAGGCTGGAGTGCAGTGGCACAATCTCAGCTCACTGCAGCCTCTGCCTCCTGGGTTCAGGCGATTCTTCTGCCCCAGCCTTCCGAGTAGTTGGGATTACAGGCGTGAGCCACCATGCCTGGCTAATTTTGAATTTTCAGTAGGAACAGGGTTTCACCATGTTGATCAGGCTGCTCTCGAACTCCTAACCTCAGGTGATCCAGCTGCCTCAGCCTCCCAAAGTGCTGGGATTACAGGGGTGAGCCACTGTGTCTGGCCTTTTTTTTTTTTTTTTTTTTTTAAATATAATGCCCTGTTGCCCAGGCTGGAGTGAATGCTTACTGTAGCCTCTAACTGTTGACCTCACGCAGTCCTCTCACCTCAGGCTCACAAAGCGTTGGGATTAGAGGCATGAGCCACTATGCCCCACTGCATTTTCCCTTGAACTATACTGTCTTCCTAAAGATATTCTGATTTTGTTTTATAACATTTTCTCTGAATAATTTCCTTCTTTTGAGATTTGTGTTCAGGATACCAAGTGTATAGAGTTAATTTTTTTTCATTTCATCAGTGTTGTTTTTTAAAGTAGATTCAATTCATGACAGCATATGATTTTGTTTATCCTGCTTACTGGCATATTCCCAGGGTCTAGATTGGTACTGGGTACATAGCAAGTGCTTAATAAATATTTGCAAAGTAGTAAAATGTTATATAAAACTTCCATAACACTCACCAAGTAATTTTCTCTGCCCCTCAAACATGAGGCTGGTTTAAGTTTTCCTTTTGAACGTGGAAAGGACTGCCATGGTTCTTCTTGAGCAACTTTGGTAGTAAGTTATCAGGAATTTACGTAGAGAGACTTTCAGAATTTATAGTGCTTACATATGCTTTGTTTTGTTTTTCTTTTTTCGCTTTTAGGATGATCGCTGCAAGATCCCTTTATTCATGCTAATGTCCTTTATGCCGGCCTCTGCTGTCCCCCCATTCAGGTATTTGCTCTGTTTTTTGGTACGGTAGAAAAGTAGGAATCCTGTCCATTGTTGTGCTGAATTATTAATTCATGTCAGCAGACCATAACATTTAGCTTTCAGCTCACTGTGGCCTCTTCCTTCTGCCCTTCCCTCTCCCTGTGGTAGGGAAAATATCAGGATGTGATTTTCTTTTTTTTTTTTTTTTTATTGATCATTCTTGGGTGTTTCTCACAGAGGGGGATTTGGCAGGGTCACAGGACAATAGTGGAGGGAAGGTCAGCAGATAAACAAGTGAACAAAGGTCTCTGGTTTTCCTAGGCAGAGGACCCTGCGGCCTTCCGCAGCGTTTGTGTCCCTGGGTACTTGAGATTAGGGAGTGGTGATGACTCTTAACGAGCATGCTGCCTTCAAGCATCTGTTTAACAAAGCACATCTTGCACCGCCCTTAATCCATTTAACTCTGAGTGGACACAGCACATGTTTCAGAGAGCACAGGGTTGGGGGTAAGGTCACAGATCAACAGGATCCCAAGGCAGAAGAATTTTTCTTAGTACAGGACAAAATGAAAAGTCTCCCATGTCTACTTCTTTCTACAGAGACACGGCAACCATCCAATTTCTCAATCTTTTCCCCACCTTTCCCGCCTCTCCATTCCACAAAACCGCCATTGTCATCATGGCTTGTTCTCAATGAGCTGTTGAGTACACCTCCCAGACGGGGTGGTGGCCAGGCAGAGGGGCTCCTCACTTCCCAGTAGGGGCGGCCAGGCAGAGGCACCCCTCACCTCCCGGACGGGGCGGCTGGCCGGGTGGGGGGCTGACCCCCCCACCTCCCTCAAGGATGTGATTTTCAATGGGCCCTAAGTTAGTACGTGATGAAAGAAGAGACTGCATGGAACTGAAACTGTTACTCCACTTTAAGTCTGGGGTTACTCTTAGCACCTGGTGTGGGAGGTTCTGGAGCACAAGGTCACCGTTGGTCACATGTGGCCCTGAGCACCTGGGCTTTGGCTATTTGAGCTGAGATGTGCTGTGAGTACAAAATACATATGGAGTCAGCCTTGAGGCAAAAAGAAGAGTGTGAAATATTGATTACATGTTAAAATGATTTTGGATAGATTAGATTAAATAAGATTATGTTATTGAAATTAGTTTTACCTGTTTCTCTTTGTGTTTTCAAATGTGGGTACTAGAAAATTTTTAATTACATTTGTGGCTTTTGTGTCTCATAATATTTTTCATTAGAGCTCTACAATGTTGGTGATTATCTCAATAAAAATTATTTTTATTCATATTTGTGGAAGAAAAAGGAATATTTTGATGCTAAACAAAAATTGTTCTTCAAAAGTAGAAACTCTTGCTCTAGAATCTGACAGATGGCACAGAAACAGAAGGATGAGGGCTTTGTGTGGCTGCTGTGCCCTGCTTCTTCAGTGTCCAGAGCTGGTCTCAGGTCTTGTGGTGGGATGCAGCTGAGCAGCAATTGTGGGAAACTGTATTTATTCCTGCATTGGAGAGCATGGAAGTGCTAATATAATAACAAGGGCTTATGCACCGTCAGATTTTAGCTTCTTGGTTTTCCTCACCTTTTGACAAAGTTGGGGAGTCTCCGTTGAAATACTCAGTCCGATTTTCCGTCTGACATTTTCAGCTGTGGTGTGATTTCCACGCTGAGAAGCCGGGAGGAGGGCGCTGTGGACAAGAGCTACTGCACTTTGTTGGATTGCCTCTGCTCCTGGGGGCAGGTGGGGCACATTCTGGAGCTTGTTGACAACTGGCTGCCCACAGAGCATGCCCAGGCCAAGGTAGGTTGACATCATGTTTCCTTAAAATTAGGTGAGTGAGGATAACTGTGTATTAGAAATTACATGCTTTTCTAGGGACGTGTGTTTTCATTATCAGTTTCTCTCTCTCTTCTTTCAGAGCAACACAGCTTCTAAAGGTAGGGTGCAGATCCATGACACACGCCCAGTCAAACCTGAATTGGCATTGGTCTACATTGAGTATCTGCTGACTCATCCAAAGAACCGCGAGTGCTTGCTCTCTGCTCCTCGGAAGAAACTTAACCATCTTTTGAAAGCCCTTGAAACGTCAAAGGTAACTCTGTGCCCTGAGAGTTGAGTGGTTTCCTATGATTGTGGGGGTGACAAATCAAAGTGTGAAGCTTTCATATTTACAGTGCTATACAAGTGTTCTGGCTGGAACAGAATTGAGAGTGATCATGTCACCTCATTCAGTTGGTACAAGGCATGGAGCCTGGCCAGGGCAAGGTTGGGAGTCAAGTCCCAGTTGACACGTGTTCAGAAATCTCACATTTGTGTTGCACCTGCTAGGGCGCTAGGACTCAGGAGGATGGCCCCAGTGTCTCAGAACACACCCTCTGCAGGAGATGTGTCACATACCCTTTCATGTGGACACTCACTCCCTGCAGTCCTTGGCAGTTTTTTCTGGGAATGTTTGGAGAGCATTTCCTGGGAACCCATCATGCTCCCAGCTGTCCCACGGAGGCCGTCATCTCTTCCTCTCCTCCAGGAGCCAGCCCTCTGAACACCCTGTTACGCTGCCCTCAAGTGTGACTGTACCAGAAGCAAAGCCCCAGCAGAGTGGAGCCAGGCAGATGGGGAGGACGGGGCCTGGTCATGAGGCAGGGAGGGGACGGGTGGTGCTGCGTGCAGGGCAAGGGCTGTGGACGGTGAGCTGAGGCTGCTCACCTGGCTGTACATTTTCCCATACCACCCAGCACCTCATGTCCGGGTGCAGAGTCAGCAGACACTGGGCTTCACCAGAGCGGGGGTCTTTTCAGCTCGCCTGAGGATCAGGTGCTTCCCATTGTTCTTGCTGTACGGGGTGTGGTGGTGCCTTGTCAGTCAGCATGTGGCCCTTGGGTTTTTTCTATTACAGGCAGATCTGGAGTCACTTCTGCAGACACCGGGTGGGAAGCCTCGTGGCTTCAGTGAAGCAGCTGCCCCGCGAGCCTTTGGTCTCCACTGTCGCCTGAGCATCCATCTTCAGCACAAGGTGTGCCTGCTCCTGGCCCTCTATTAGGATGATACACAGTGCTCTTTTTGTTACTGATTTATCTTCTTGTTTTTGGACAGTTCTGCTCAGAAGGAAAGGTGTATTTGTCCATGTTGGAAGACACTGGCTTTTGGTTAGAAAGCAAAATTTTATCTTTTATTCAAGATCAAGAAGAAGACTACCTGAAGCTTCATAGGGTCATTTATCAGCAAATTATCCAGGTTAGAAGTCTTAAGACACAGAAAACTTTCTCTTTACCAAGTTTGTTATGTTTCAGGATTTCATTTTCTACTTTAGAGTGGTAATTTTAGACATTAGTGTTATTCTTAAAAACTTACAGGGACATTTATCTAACTTTCTAGTTTATCTTTTTGCAAAGCGTAAACTGCATACTTTCAGTGTAATTTTATACATTACATATAAGAGGTGTTCGATTATGTTTGTGGAATTACATAAAATATGTCTCTAGATTTCTTACAAAAACAAGAATTAATGTATCTTTATGAAAATTCCTTTATAAAACATCTTTATAAAAATCTGCTTTATAAGATAACTAGCACATGGATAGGAGAAGCTTTGTGAGGCTGGATTTACTCCCTTTTTAAAAATGGCCTTTGTTGCTAAGCTGTGTCTGTCTCTTACAGACCTACCTGACTGTGTGTAAAGATGTTGTTATGGTAGGCCTTGGTGACCATCAGTTTCAGATGCAACTCTTACAGCGGAGTCTTGGAATCATGCAAACAGGTACAGTCAGGGCTGTTTTAGAGCAATAAATACTCAGAACCAGTCCTTCCCTCCCTCCCTCCTTTACTGTGTAGCTCAGAACTCTCACTTTTAAGTGACTGATTATAATGCAACCTGGCATATCCCAAAAAAGGGATTTGTTAGGTGGTTCAGCCCGGAAATTAAGAGGTGTTTCTGTGTCAGACATGACTACATCCAGAGTTTGTGACAGGGTCCTTGGGATTCTGCCTGTCCTTGTGGTCAGCTTTGTTGCCAGGCTGACTTTCCCTGTGGATTGGGCTAGTGGCTATTTCCTGGCATCTGTGTGGGAAACCATCACCTTTTTGCTCTGCTCTGGTCATGTGCTCCTGTGGATGGGGGCGTGAGTCAGACATTATTGGGTGGTACCCCACCAGGACCCCCGGAAGTTGCTGTTACCACAGGGAAAGGGTTAGCACAGGGTGACCCATGGCAACAGTGAGTGAGAGGACAGCCCTCGAATCACATCAGATGATGACGGGAAAGGGTGTGGGGCCAGGGGGAGTGCAGCTGGGGTCATTCCATATCTCCTTGGCCTTCTGATCACAGTCTGGTAAAGAAGAGTACTGCTGAGCTGGGACCCTGGTCCCTGGCCCCTGACGCCTAGCCCCTAGCCCCTAGCTCCTAGCCCCTACTCCCTAACCCCTAACGGCCAGCCTCCCCCTCAGCCGCTTCTGTGGTGTAGCTGACTGCTGTGTAAACCTGTTTCTGGATGGTTTTTAAGTAGTATCCCAATATCCCAGTGCTGCATTTGATTCTCACTGAGATCTGTAAAAGCCTCAACATTTGATGTTGACATTTCTTTAAGCCTAGTTATTTGCTAGAAGAGATTGAAAATGATAACATTTAGTAAATTCAACATTAAGTTTTGAAAATTAGATTAAGTTGGTTGTCCAATTTCTAGTGGATCCATCTGTAGTCTCTTTCCCATAGCCTTAAATATCTTCATGGCAGATTCCAGAGGGGTCTGTGTGTGTGGACACCCCCAGTGTATCTGTCTTCATGACGTTGCAACTGAAGTAGATGCTAGGAGAACACTGGAGCCAGGATACTGGGCAGTGTCTTAGTTAATCTTTAATTATAAGCAAAATCATCCATCATTTGTTTAACAGATCTAAAGTTTAAGAGTAAATATTAAATAGACCAATATTATTTGCTTCAGCTTTTTTGTTTAATTATTATTATTATTTTTTTTTTTATTTTTTTTTTTTTGAGACCAAGTCTTTCTCTGTTGCCCAGGCTGGAGTGGAGTGCAGTGGTGCGACCTTGGCTCACTGCAACCTCCACCTCTAGGTTCAAGCAATTCTCATGCCTCAGCCTCCTGAGTAGCTGGGATTACAGGTGCCCACCACCATGCCTGGCTAATTTTTGTATTTTTAGTAGAGGTGAGGTTTCACTGTCTTGGCCAGGCTGGTCTCAAACTCAAGTGATCCACCCACCTTGGCCTTTCAAGGTGCTGGGATTACAGGCGTGAGCCACCATACCCAGCCTGTTTAATTCTTTATAATTCACTTCTGTTGTGAAAACAGCATTTTATACTTAAGCTTAATGATTGCAACAGTCAAAATTATTTATTTTTTAAACTTCACTTATCATTTAGGAATTATTTTCCCGTAAGGACCAAATCTACTTTTATTATTTAAAAAATTTACTTTTTGGAGGAGCTAATTATAACTAGAATTCTAGATCTCCAGTGTAGCCAGTTTCATTGTATAGGTATATCTGTTCTCTTAAAAATAAAACAGAACCAACAACACTGTTCTCTAATTCAGGTGTTGAGGGAACCACACTGCTGAACTTCTGTATGTTCACATGTGCAATGAACACAATTTTTAGTTTAGTGACTAATACACTATTACTGTTATTGAAGATATCAGTTTTAACTTAAATGGGACAAACGTCATACTTATTTATTTATTTTGGTTAGAATTTAGGTTAACCTGATCAACCTGGCTTTTGGTATTGGCTCACCAAATACCAAAGTGTAATAATCTCTTTTTTGTTACCATTTTATACATGTGTTAAGTGAGAAATGTGTAATGATTTCAACAAACTTGTGTGATTAGAAAACTGATATATTCCAATTTTCTTTCTAGTGAAGGGATTTTTTTATGTTTCATTACTTCTTGACATTCTGAAAGAGATAACTGGAAGTTCCTTGATTCAGAAAACAGATTCAGATGAAGAAGTTGCAATGCTGTTGGACACAGTCCAGAAAGTATTTCAGAAAATGTTGGAATGTATTGCACGGAGCTTCAGGAAGCAGCCGGAAGAAGGCCTGCGGGTACTCAGAACTCCCCAGGACGGGGTTCGCTAGATGGGCTTTTCAGGGCTGGCTACACCTACACAGATGCATCAGCCCTGGCTGTGCTGTTCACGCTCGGGTGACACGCAGTGTTGTGTGGGAGGTCCCTGCTGGCGAGGTGCACTGAGAGAGATGGAGTCCGTGTGGGAGTCCCCCATGGTGGATACACTGAGAGGGAGATGGTGACCCCTGTGCATGGGCTGGAGGCAGGAAGGGCAGGAGCTCCAGCTGTTAGATTCTACCCAATGGTCTTAGAACAGGATCCCAAGAGTTCAGGTTGACCAGACGGCAGGACAGGAAGCAGAGGACTGATTGCTCTGGGTTCTGAGCGCATAATTGTTAAGTTCACAGAGTTTTCCAAATAAAATATACCTTTCTTTTGAAAGATGCTAATTTTGATACTTGTAGAGTGGCAGACATCTTGTCAGGTGAAATGCTAATTTCTGTCATGAGTTACCTCCCTGTCCTATGTTAACCTTCTCCAGGTTGGAAACGAGAGTCACAGACCTTGAAGGGGCCCGTGGCTTCCCTTTGCTGGTTGAAAGCTGATGTGAAGTGAGATTGTTGTATAAGCACTTCATATAAAAACCTGTCTGCCAGATTTGCTTCATCCTAAAAACAATGTCATGTCAGTTCTCGTACCACGTGATGTTGTTATCAGAGAGAGCCATTACTTTTTCTAGGTAGTAGCTTAAAAATATCAATGAGCTATTATTTTTTAATGAAGACTTTAAAAAATGCTTAAATGGGAGGCTATTTATGAAATATTGAAGACTCGGTGTCCTTTGCTGATAGAGGTCATTGAAGGTTGTTGGCCATACTTTTTCTAGTCTAGTTCAATTTGAGTTCATTTGAAATGTTCCTGTTTTTGATGAATTTGTTTCAAGTGCCTGTGATCTTTTATGTAATTTGTGCCAAAACCTTTAGGTTTCCCATCAGACCTGTGTAGCTTTAGTCAGAATACATTGCCTCATAGCTGATGCCTTATTTTAATGTATTGATGTTTTGCCTCTCTCCCTCCTTATTCCTGAGGGTTTTTCTTGGCTTTGGGGAAAGAATATCATCAGGGCAGTTCCCAGTGGGCTTTGGTCCCGTCTATCATCTTCTGGCCGTGGTGCATAGGAGGTTTGAGTCAGCCTGGGAGTGGAATGTAGTGGGCACTGGTAGCAGGCAAACAAGATCAGTGACTCCTTGAGTCCTGGGGGAGGATAGTAAGAATACTTATTTTAAAGTGTTTTTTTGTTTTTTTCAAAACCATGGTTTTTAGTCATTAAAAGTGACGTATGTGTTTTCTTGTAGCTGCTTTATTCTGTTCAGAGGCCTCTTCATGAGTTCATTACTGCTGTTCAGTCTCGGCACACAGACACCCCTGTGCACCGGGGTGTACTTTCTACTCTGATCGCTGGGCCTGTGGTTGAGATAAGTCACCAGCTACGGAAGGTGAAGTGCTTTAATCCTGAAACTGCTGTGCCTCTTATTGATGACACAAGATGGTGTTTCTACTAGCAGTACATTCTCTACGTTTCTCAAAGTATTTTTTAAGAATTTTCAAACTTGAGTGAGTGGTGCACTTTCCTAGCAGCTACACCTCAGAGTTTGATAGCTAGTTAGTATTTTAGACTCGTGACTATTGTGAAACATATACCAAGGATATTATCACTCTTGATTAAAACAGAAATATAGTCCTTACATTTGAACATGCTTTTATGCTACATTCAGGAGATTTAAATGAGTTGATAAGTTTCTTAAGGTTATTTTCCCTCCTAAAAGGATAGAAGTAGTTGTAATCAGTGGTGAGCAGAATACAAGACTACTCTAGGAGTGCTTTTGTGGAATAGTTCACATATCTTTGCATGTTATATTATTAGCCTCCCCCACCTTTTTTTCATTTCTAAGCTAGGATGTTCAACCTTCTAATGTCAGTTTAGACTGGGCGCAGTGGCTCATGCCTGTAATCCCAGCACTTTGGGAGGTGGAGGCAGGTGGATCATGAGGTCAGGAGTTTGAGACCAGCCTGGCCAACATGATGAAACTCTGTCTCTACTAAAGATACAAAAAATTAGCTGGGCATGGTGGCACGCACCTGTAATCCCAGCTGCTCGGGGGCTGAGGCAGTCTTGAACCCGGGAGGCGGAGGTTGCAGTGAGCTGAGATCACGCCATTGGACTCCAGCCTGGGCAACAGGGCGAGACTCCGTCTCAAAGAAAAAAAAATGTAGCTAATATCAGTTTAAACAGACAAGTTATTCATTATTACTGACTATCTTATTTTCCTACCGGTAGCTGTAGATGAATTGAAGATGATTATTAATACAGAAGTTATTAGTCTATTTGGTTAAAGGATGTTATAATCAGGATGATAATTCAAGCCAAAACAAAAAGTGGTGTTTTCCCACATGGAATATTCAGGGTGTTGTTTTCCTCTTTACCTCTTAAGAAAATAGTAAAAAATCATGTTTTCATATAGAGAAAAAAACTTCTCTGTATGAAAAGATAAAAACTGACAGGGAAGGTCATTGAATTATATGCATTTTTAATATTTACGTGAATCATAAATTTTGTAATATAAAATCATGACTAATAAAAAGATGTTAACTAAATTCTAAAACATCAAATAGAATTTAAGGCCTTCCTTAAAGCTTGAAGGGAGATCATTTTGGTTTGGAAAGTAATTACTAGATTACACAATAGAATAAAAACTAGGATTTGTTTATTCCGGTGAGCTATGTAGCTAAAAATGATAAAAAAAATGTTTGACCTGTGAGTCACATCTGGCTCACCATCTGTTTTTTATCAGTAAAGTCTTATTGGAACATAGCTGTGCCCATTTGCCGTGTTTTTTCTGGCTACTTTTGTGCAGAGTTGAGTAATTATGACAGAGACCATTGCAACTCTGCCCACAAAGGTGAAAATATTTACTATACTATTTAAATATTTACTATTTTGTTACTTTACAGAAAAAGTTTGCTGACAGCTGTTGTATTTCCTTATGGATTTTGTCTACTTATTTTATATGTGATTGTGGGTTTGTCTCTTTTTTCATTTGTTCTGTCAATTTTCTTTTCATGTATTTTCTTGTATTTGGGAGCTTTTTCTTTTTGATGAATTGACTCCTATTATTGTGGAATCTCTCTGGCTCTGACTCCTCATGAAGTCTACTTTGATATTTTTACAGCCAAACCAGCTTTCTTGTGCTTTGTGTTTGCATAGCCTATCTTTTAAAACCTCACCCCCACATGGGTAGGGCTTAAAAAATCTAGTCCAACAACCTCTGACTTTTCTTTGCCGTGGTTGTAGTCCATTTGCCATGGTTATAGTCCATTTGCCGTGGTTATAGTCCATTTGGCGTGGTTATAGTCCATTTGGCGTGGTTATAGTCCATTTGCCGTGGTTATAGTCCATTTGCCGTGGTTGTAGTCCATTTGCCGTGGTTGTAGTCCATTTGGCGTGGTTGTGGTCCATTTGGCGTGGTTGTGGTCCATTTGGCGTGGTTGTGGTCCATTTGGCGTGGTTGTGGTCCATTTGGCGTGGTTGTGGTCCATTTGGCGTGGTTGTGGTCCATTTGGCGTGGTTGTGGTCCATTTGGCGTGGTTGTGGTCCATTTGGCGTGGTTGTGGTCCATTTGGCGTGGTTGTGGTCCATTTGGCGTGGTTGTCGTCCATTTGGCGTGGTTGTCGTCCATTTGGCGTGGTTGTCGTCCATTTGGCGTGGTTGTCGTCCATTTGCCGTGGTTGTCGTCCATTTGGCGTGGTTATAGTCCATTCTTTTTTTTTTTTAGTCCATTTGACTTTAATGAATTTATTGATAGGTTTGGGTTTAAGTTAATGTTGTTTCTTTTCTATCAGTCTGTCTGTTCTGTTAGTCTTTCTGTTTTTTTTTCTTTCCTGTCACTTTTATGATGAATTGTTTTTACTACGCCATTTTATCTCTGTTGACTTTATATTATCTTTTGTGTAATTTTTTTTTTTAGTGATTTCTCTAGAGATCTCAGCACGCATGTTTAACTTATCTCAGTACCTTCAGAAATTATGCTTGTCCATTGCATGGTAGGAATCTCCAGTTGTGTTCTCCTATCCCTTATGCTGTTGTTATTATTTTTATTTTAATCTGTCAATAGTCTTTTGTCTCACTGTTTAAGAAATGCATTTACAACAATCACTTTAAGATGTAAAGTATTTTAATGAGAAACAGTGCTATTTGATGTATAGTGATGATTGACTTAAATATTCAAATTTGTATTATAATCCTGGCAGAGGAAGTGTGGGAAGACTTATTGGAAGTGCTGTCTAGGCCAGGCACGGTAGCTCACACCATAATCCCAACACTTTGGGAGGCCTAGGCAGGAGGATTGCTTGAGGCCAGGAGTTCGAGGCCAACCTAGGCAACATGGTGCGACCCTGCCTCTATTAAAAAATATTTAAAAATTAGCTGGGCATGGTGGTACACGCCTGTAGTTTTGGCTGCTCGGGAGACTGAGGCAGGAGTTCAAGGCTGCAGTGAGCTATGATTTGTGATTGTGTCACTGCACTCCAGCCTAGGCAACAGAGTGAGACTATGTCTCTTAAAAAAAAAAAAGCAGTGTTGTTTAGTCATGCCTAAATGAAATCTCCTAAGATAGCCAAGAATCGGGCCTAACACAGTGGTGGAGAGATACAGGGGTAGGATAGGCATATTCATGTCTCAGCTATTACAGGTGGAAAACCAAGGCATAAGTTTCCACCTGGAGCAGGAATTCTGCACTTGGACTTTCTGAGGAGCATGTGGAATTCATGGTGAAAGGCTCATCGAAGCTCACAAGGCTGATAATTAAGAGCACAGGTCCAGGCAGGTGCCCTCGTGGCTCTAAACTTGCAGTACTTCACTGTGGGCTTCTGCCCTGCAGGGGGCACTGTGATGTGTAGGAACATTTTTGTTTGGCACAACTGGGTGAGGGGGTGGGCAACGTGCCCCAGGCATTGAGTGGGTGGAGGCCAGGGATGCTCTTCAGCCTCCAACAGCACCTAGCACAGCCTCCCAATCCCCCAAAGAACGAGCTGGTCAGGTCAGTAGTGCTGAGATTGAGAAACGCCAATTTAGACAGGAGTACAATGTTAAATTTATTTAGCATAAAAGCACATTATTTACAGTAGATGATAACAAGATAAAGACTTTTTGATGAAAGACTTATTGAGTAATATGTCTGTTTTTCTTTATTTTTGTCTCACTGAATAAACACTTTCGTTTATCTTTTTTTTTTTTTTGTCATATTGAGACAGGATGTCGCTCTGTCACCCAGGCTGGAGTGCCATGATACATGGCTCACTACAGCCTCAAATTCCTGGGCTGAAGTGATCCTCCTGCCTCAGTCTCCCAAGTAGCTGGGACTACAGGTATGCACCACCATGCCCAGCTAATTTTAAAATTTTGTTAGAGAGGCAGGGTCTTGTCATGTTGACTAGCCTGATCTTGAACTCCTGACCTCAAGCATTCCTCTTGCCTCAGCCTCCCAGAGCGCTGGGATTACAGGTGTGAACCACCACGCCCAACACACTTATGTTTATAATAATAGATTATTCATAATTATTGTAGACATTTCAACAGTTAATAAAAATAATTCTTTTGAATTTCTAGAAAGTTTTTCTTAGGTGTTGAAGAAAACCCAAAGCAATGTAATTTACAAGTAAGTAGCCTAGTCTCTGTTTACAACTTGCTGATTTGGAACTTTTTTAGGTTTCTGACGTAGAAGAGCTTACCCCTCCAGAGCATCTTTCTGATCTTCCACCATTTTCAAGGTGTTTAATAGGAATAATAATAAAGTCTTCGAATGTGGTCAGGTAATCACTTTCTCTTTACTGTCCTGAAATGCTCATCGTGGCTGTAAGCGCTCAGCAGCTTTTGTTCTATTCCTTTTACACTCAAGTTTTTCAAAGCTACATTCTTTTCTATGAGAAAAATGTTTCATATAATTTTTTCTCCATTTTATCAGTAATTAGAAATATTTACATTAAACTTACACAGAGAAAAATTCTAACTTTCTGTAAAGAATATTCATCTAAATAGTCTCTGGTTAGTTATGCTTCTCATAACTTAAATTCAGTTAAGGGAGAATATAGAATGTTAATGTTTAGTAAAATACTTCTTACCAAGTGTGCTTTCAAAACACTTGACAAGGTTAAATACCGGTGCCATTTTCGTTGAATACGCAGCTGCTACTCATTTTCCAGTCCATATGTCACTTGATCAGAATTACAGGGTTTGCTGTGGTGCATGCAGGGCTGACAGGTTACAGAGGGAATTGCTTTGCAGATGTCTGGTACCTGTCGAATTTTAATAGCAGATACATTCAATGAAAACTTTTAAAAGCACCATCTTTAGCAGCTATGAGTCATCTTTCAACAACATATTAAATCTTTTTTGTGTGCATTGAGGGTATACAGAGTAGCCTTTTTCACTCAGCACAGCATCCCTGTTCCCAGCAGCATCCTCTGGTTTTAATATCTCACTGTACAATCTGGCACACTCTCCATGAAAAGCATGGGGTGAGTTCAGTCACCTTCCCACGTCCCCTGCAAACTGGGGTTTGTGGTTGTGGTTGAACCTTGGCTGTACTTCTGCTATAATGTATTAGGGTCTATATGATACAGTAATTTTGATGTTTGTTGATTTTTTTGCAGGTCATTTTTGGATGAATTAAAGGCATGTGTGGCTTCTAATGATATTGAAGGCATTGTGTGCCTCACGGCTGCTGTGCATATTATCCTGGTTATTAATGCAGGTTGGTTACATTCCCCTCTGTCATCTGGAAGGTGGCTGGTGCACCTCACAGGTGCTGTCATGGGATTCCGGGGATCAGCCCCTGCACTTGGCTACTCCTGGCCAGCTCAGGTGTCCCCCAGCCTTTCCACTCCCTGCCTTCTCATGTGCTGGACACAGTGCTGTCCACCTGGGCTTCCTCTCCTTAGCCCACCCTGCATCTGTTTTTATATCAGCTTGCTCACTCTTCAGTGGTGGAGGTCCTGTTCATTTTCACCTGTTGCCACTAGGTCCATTTAAGTGTTCCTGTCTGTGCCTCGGCATTGAATTTCTGTTGATTTGATGTGTTACCTGTATCTTAAAATCTGAATTTATTTTGGTTGATGACGGATATTTTGGTGTTAATATTTGACCTATCTACTATTTCTCGTAAGCCTTAGCCTTGCCTATTCTGAATATCCCAACCAGTTCAAGTAGTACTGGGAAAATAATTGGAGATATGTATAAGATGCTTAGCTCAGTATAAAATGTAGTAACATCCCTGCAGGGTGACTGCCTTTACCTTTCTGTATTATTTGCTCAGTTTTACTAACGTTGAAATTATTTTCAGAGATGATACATTGTAGATAGGGAGTGCTTCTATTGAAACAAACTCTCCCTGTAAGCCTAAATGGATAGGATATCTGCAGATTGATAAGAATACTCCTTAACTGGTTTGACCCAGGTTGGGCATAAGAAAAGACTTCCCTCAGGGACTCCCCTGCATTGAGATCACCACCAGGAGGATGTTGAGGATGGATGTTGGATGCTGCCAGGTGCCTTGCCCTTAATACATCCTTAACTACCTGCGATAGTTAAACAGGGGAAGGACTCTGAAACAGGATTGGTTTGCTGGCATGGACATAATCCTTCCTCTCATGGCTTCATGGGGTGAGGTCCATTTGAAGTCTTCTTCCCAGTAAACGTTTGTTTGATCTTTACAACATCCCTAAAGAAGGGAGAATTACTATTCCGCGGGTCAGTATGTAGGTTACCTCAAAGGGAAGGATAGGGAGGCCCAGCTTAGGGAAGTTGTACCACATGTGTACCAGAGTGTTTGTCTTTGTGTAGTGATGTTAAAGTCTTTTCTGTCTTTTAATATAATTTTCCCAGGTAAACATAAAAGCTCAAAAGTGAGGGAGGTTGCAGCCACTGTTCACAGAAAACTAAAGACATTCATGGAAATTACTTTGGAAGAGGATAGCATTGAAAGGTAAAGGAGAGATATTCACCAGATGTGATCATCTAAAACTGCTCATTCTTCTTTGGATCTGCATGAGGTTGTATTTTCATTTCTGCTACTTACACCCAGGTGGTTAGGAGACTGGGGACTCTAAGGAGAGAAATGTTTCTGTTGGCAAAGACCTTTAGCTTACGTTTAATTTACTTGCTAATTCTGTCTTCAAAAACAAAACAAAAGTGTCATTTGCAAAATTCTACTGTAGAAAAGTGAGGGCATACAAACTTATTTTATTTAGTTTTAAAATCAGACATTATTTTTGGTGGTTGCTGCATTATTGAAACCATGGGCGTTTCCCAAGGATAGACACCTAGCGGACAAATACCCACATGGGGATGTGCGGTCCCTCCAGAGCCTCTGAGATGTGTGTAATTTCCCCCTTGCTGGACAGCCCATTGCTACGCACAGCCTGCAGGCTACCAGTGTATTCGTAGGGCTGCTTTGCAGCTGGGTGTTTTTGCTGCTGTGTGCTGTTTGGTATGCTCTGCATTTTACTATAGACTCGGTTTTGAATTGTGTTTGACTTTTAGATCAACCACAAAGAATTTTTCTTGCTATTTTATGAGCTAAATAGGTGAAGCGTTGTAAAGCTCTGCACTAGGAAATTCACCTTTGCCAGGGAAACAAACCACTCTCCATAGCTACTTCCTCTGGAGAAAGGTTTTCCAAATCAGAAACTCCTAATTTGTGAATAAACTTCCAAAGCGTGGCTTTTTATAGACTGTTGGCTTGTTCTATAGACACAATACACTTAATGCTCACTTCACTAGAAAATTTGGTTTGTAGGCTGGGCGCAGTAACTCAATGCCTGTAATCCAGGAGTTTGAGACCAGCCTGGCCAACATGGTAAAACCCCATCTCTACTAAAAATACAAAAATTAGGCTGGGCACGGTGACTCATGCCTATAGTCCCAGCACTTTGGGAGGCCAAGGCAGGCGGATCTCAGGAGGCTAGGAGTTTGAGACCAGCCTGGCCAACATGGTAAAACCCTGTCTCTACTAAAAATACAAAAATTAGGCCTGTAATCCCAGCACTTTGGGAGGCCGAGGTGGGTGGATCACCTGAGGTCGGGAGTTCAAGACCAGCCTGGCCAACATGGTGAAATCCTGTCTCTATTAAAAATTACAAAAATTAGCTGGGCATGGTGGCAGGTGCCTGTAATTCCAGCTACTTGGGAGGCTGAAGCAGAAGAATTGCTTGAACCTGGGAGGTGGAGGTTGCAGTGAGCTGAGATTGCGCCACTGCACTCTAGCCTGGGCAACAGAGCAAGAGTCCATCTTGAAAAAAATAAATAAAAGTAAAAAATAAAAATAAAATAATTAGCCGGGTGTGGTGGCACGCTTCTGTAATCCCAGCTACTCTGGAAGCTGAAGAGCTTAGTTAGCCTGGCTAGAGGTTTATCAATTTTTACTGATATTTTCAGAGAACTAGCTTTTGGTTTCGTTTATTTTTTCTGTTGATTTCTTATTTTCAAGTATATTAATTTATGCTCTAGATTTTACTGTTTCTGTTTTTCTTACTTAGGATTTAATTTGCTCTTCTTTTTCTGTTTTCCGAAGGTGGAAGTTTAGATGATTGATTTTAGATTTTTCTTCTTTTCTAATATGTACTTTCAATGCTATAAATTTTCCTGTAAGCACTGCTTTATTCCGCATTAAAAAACTTTTTTTTTCTATTTATCTTTTTGTCCTTTTTCTTCCCATCAGTTTTTATTTTGTTTTGTTTTTTGTTTTGAGATGGAGTCTTGCTTTGTCACCCAGGCTGGAGTGTAGTGGCACGATCACAGCTTTAACCTCCCAGGCTCCAGCGATTCTCCCATCTAAGCCTCCCAAGTAGCTAGAACTACAGAAGTGTGCCACCATGCACAGCTGATGAAAAAAATTTTTTTGCAGAGATGGGGTCTCACTATGTTTGCCCAAGCTGTCCTTGAACTCCTGGGCTCAAACAAGCCTCCTGCGGCCTCCTAACGTTCTGAGATTACCAGTGTGAGCCACCATGTTTGGCCTTTCCATCATTCTTGCTTCCCTTTTATGCATCTCACAAATTTTTGATAAACTGTGCTGTCATTTTTATTTAGTTCAAAATATTTTTAAATTTCTCTTGTGATTTCCTCTTTGACCTATTTAGTTGCGTTGTTTAATCTCCAAGTGTTTGGGGATTTTTCCAGCTTTCTGTTATTGATTTCTTTTTTAATTCCATTGTAGCCTGAGAGCAGACATTGTATTGTTTCTGTTCTTTTAAATTCGTGAAGGTGTGTCTTATGGCTCAGAATGTGTTCTCTCTTGGTGAGTGTTCATGTGAGCATGAGGAGAATGTGTATTCTACTGTTGCTGGAGGAAGTAGTCTGTAGACGTCCATTATATCCAATTGACAATGTTTTTGGGTTGAACTATGTCCTTCCTAATTTTCTACCTGTTAGATCTGATAGAGGGTGTTATAGTCTCCAACTATAATAACTGACTTATCTATTACTTTTTGCAGTTCTGTCAGTTTTTGCCTCACACAGTTTGATGCTCTGTTGTTAGGTCCACACATTGATGATTGTTACCATCTTTTCATTATGTAATGCTCTTCTTTATCTCTGATAATTCTTCTTACTGTGAATTCTGCTCTGCCTGAAATTAATACTACTACTCCTGCTTTGTTTTGATTAGAATAAGCATGGTATATCTTTTTATTCATTTCCTTTTTTTTTTTTTTTCCAAGATATGAGGACTTGCTGTGTTGCCCAGGCTGGGCTCTAACTCCTGGACTCCTGGACTCAATCTATCCTTCTGCCTCAGTCCCAATTGGCTAGGACTGCAGGCACACACCACCAGACCCAGCTAATGTAATTTCTATCTATATGTGTCTTTATATTTAAAGTGGTTTTTTTATAGACAGTATATAAATGGGTCATGTTTTTTGATCTTCTCTGACAATCTGTCTTAAAATTGGTGCATATGTACCATATTCAAAGTGATTATTGATATAGTTGGATTAATATCCACCATATTTGTTATTGTCTTCTATTTGTTCCCCTTGTTATTTGTTCCTATTTCTGTCTTCCACTCCTTTTCTGTCTTTTGTGGTTTTAACTGAACATTTTATGATGCCGTTTTCTTTCCTAGCATATCAGTTATACTTTTTTTTTTTTAAACCTTTCTTAGTGGTTTCTTTAGAGTTGGAATTTTTATTTGTTTTTATCTTTCTTAGTGGTTGCTTTAGAGTTGGAGTTTTCATTTATAACTAATCCACGTTTGCTTTCAGATGACACTATACCACTTTGCAGGTAGGGTGGTATATAATAACAAAATAATCCTAATCCTTGCCTCTCGTTCCTTGTATCATTGCTGTCATTCATTTTGCTAAGGTATAAGCAGACATAAGCATACATAATTGAATATATTGTTGCTATTATTATTTTGAACAAACTACATCTTAGGTCATTTAAGAATAAGAAAAATAAAAGTTTTTATTTACCTTCACTTACTCCTTCTTTGATGCTTCTCCTTTGTTTGTGTTGATCCAAATTCTGACCTATATTCTTTTCCTTCCCTCCAGAGAACTTCTTTTAATGCTTCTTTCAAGGCATGTCTACTGGCAACTAATTCTCTTAATTTTGGTTTGTCAGAGAGTCTTTTACTTCTACTTTATTTCTTTGCAGGGATAATGTTATGTAGTTTATAATTCTAGTTGATGAATTTTTTTCTCTCTGTACTTTATTTAATTTATTATTATTATTTTTTGAGACAGAGTCTTGCTCTGTTGCCTAGGGTGGAACGCAGTGGTGTGATCTCAGTTCACTGCAACCTCTGCCTCCTAAGTTCAAACGATTCTTGTACCTCAGCCTGCTGAGTAGCTGGTATACAGGCACATCGCCGCCACACCCAGCTCATTTTTGTATTAGTGGAGACAGGGCTTCACCATGTTGCCCAGGCTGGTCTCGAATTCTTGATCTCAAGTGATCTACTCGCCTCAGCTTCTCAAATTGCTGGGATTACTCCCCGTGCCCGGCCACTCTCTGTACTTTAAACATTTCGCTATACTCTCTTCTTGGCTCGTGTAGTATCTGAGAAATAGGATATAATTCTTTTTTGCTCCTCAGTAGATAAGGTGTATTTTTCCCTATCTGGTTTCTTTCAATACTTTTTCTTTGTTTGATTTTTCTGTAGGTTGAATATGATATGCCTAGGTGTAGTTTTCTTTTCTTTTTTTTTTTTTTTTTTGGCATTTATTCTATTCAGTATTCTATGAGCTTCCTGGATAAATTCTCAGTTATTATTGTCTGAATATTTCTTCTGTTCCTTTCTCTCTTCTGAAATTCTTATTATACATGTTAACACCTTTTACAGTTGTCTCACAGGTCTTGGATATTTCATTCTATCAAAACAGCTGCATTTTTGAATTCTGTTTGCTAATATTTTATTTGAGAATGTTTGCATTAGGTTTGAAATAAGATTAAATGGTTGTTGGTTGTTTTGTTTTGTAGTGTTTTGTTTTTGTTTTTTCAGTAGGACCTCTACCAGTTTTGCTCTCAGCATTAGTTGGTAACTTCTCCCTTTTCAGTGTTGTGGAGCAGTTTAAATCACATCTGATGCTGTGGAACAACATACCCCCAGAAATCTGGGATGACTTTTCCCTGTTTCTTCTATGTTAGTAGTTGGGTCTGATTTCCTATTACTGCCTGAATAAATTTTGGTAATTTACAATTTCTTGCATTGGTCTAGATTTTTAAATTTATTAACAAAATGGCTTGTGGTTTTTGTTTATTGATTTTAATAGAATAGAATTTACTCATTGAGATATACATATGGAAAAGAATGTAAATAATATGTGTACCACTGAATTAATTGTTATAAAATGCACTCACAAGCCAGGTGCGGTGGCTTACAGCTGTAATCCCAGCACTTTGGGAGGCCAAGGCAGGTGAATTGCTTGAGTCTAGGAGTTCGCAACCAGCCTGGGCAATGTGGCAAAACCCTGTCTCTACAAAAAATATAGAAATTAGTTGGATATTGTGGCACTCACCTGTGGTCCCAGCTACCCAAGAGGCTGAGGTGGGAGGATCACTTGAGCCCAGGAGGTTGATGCTGCAGTGAGCCGAGATCACGTCACTGCATTCCAGCCTGGGTGACAGAGTGAGACCCTGTCTTAAAAAAAAAAAAATTCAGTCACCACCTAAATCGAGGAATACACCTCCTGAACATGGTCCCTCTCTCCCTGTTTGAAGGTATCAGCCCACCCCAATACCTCAGTATAATTTTGGGCATTGTCCGGATGAAGAGCAAAGTGTGTGTGGTTTTATACTTGATATGAGGTTTATGTTTACTGTGGCTTTTAACACCATTTCTTTTTTGTCTTTTTTGATTGTACGTCTGAGACTGGCTCTGTGGCTCACACACAGCATTTGTGAGTGCTTGTGCATAGGAGTGTGTGTTTTAGAGAGGTGGAGTGCCACCTGATCAGTTCACGTTCGTTAATTGTGTTACCTCAACTTTTCTATGTTTTTACTGATTTTTTGTTACTTATTCTACAGAGACTTGTGTTAAATTTCTCATTATGCTTGTGAATTTGTCCAAGTATCATATTTAGGACTGCTTTTGCATTATATATTTTATGGCCCTGTTATTAGGTGCATATAAGTTTAGAACTGCTGTATGTTCTTGATTAATTGACCCTTTTATTTTAATAAAGGGTCTCTCTTTACTCCACTTTGTCAGGTACTGAGATAACAATGTTGGCTGGGCATGGTGGCTCGCGTCTGTAATCCCAACACTATGGGAGGCTAAGGTGGGTGGATTGCTTGAGCTCAGGGGTTCAAGACCAGTTTGAGCAACACAGCGAGACCTCATCTCTACAAAAAATACAAATATTAGACAGGTGTGGTAGCATGTGCCTATAGTCCCAGCTACATGGACAGCTGAGGTGGGAGGATTGCTTGAGGTGGAGGTTGCAGTGGGTTGAGATTGCGCCACCGCACTCCAGTCTTGGCAACAGAGCAAGACTTGTCTCAAAAGCAAACAAACAAAAAACAATGTTTTTCTGTGTGTTTGTCAGGTTCCAGGAGAAGACCAAAACCACGCAGTGATTCGGATAGGGAAAGCTCAGTGTCAGGGATTTTTTTGTTTGTTTTTGAGACAAGAGTCTCCCTCTGTTATGCAGGCTGTAGTGCAGTGGTGCGATCTTGGCTCACTGCAACCTTTGCCTCCCAGGTTCAAGTAATTCTTGTGCATCAGCCTCCCGAGTAGCTGGGATTACAGGCATGCGCCACCATGCCCGGCTAATTTTTGTATTTTTAGTAGAGACGGAGTTTCACCATGTTGGCCAGGCTGGTCTTGAACTCCTGGCCTCAAGTGATCCGCCCGCCTCGGCCTCCCAAAGTGCTGGGATTACAGGGGTGAGCCACCGTGCCCAGCCAAGTGTCAGGGATTTTTATAGGGAGTTGGCACGATGGGTTATTGGCTAGTGAGAGTTAAAGAGAACTCTAGAGAATACAGGACTAGCAGATGAAGAGAACACCTCCAACCCTAGGTGAGCGCCGCCAAGGAAGGAGCCCCCACCCGGACAGGGAGACCTGGCTTCCTACGTGGAAGAAATTGTTAGCGGCCTTCTGTGGGACCTGAGGACGTCCACTCACCTGGGTGGGTGGTGGGCCGGGGGGATGTGGAGCCATCGCAGGGGAGGTGCTGGGGAGCTGCTGGAGCCGGAGCTGGAAAGCCTACTCTCTTGAGTCCCACAGGCTCCTGTGTGTGGCTCGGATGGGGTGGGGGCTTGTGGGGTAGTTGTCTGGTGTGCTGCTTGTGCTGTCAGAGTCTGCTGGAGAAAGGGGGGCCTTACGGAAACCTGGAGAAAGTCCCCTCCTTCCCCAGTGACCTTCCAGCACCCCACGGTGATGGGACGTTGAACTGGGCACTAAAGCAGGTGGGTGGGTTTGGGCTCCTAGCGACTGAGTGAATGAAATGCATTCAATTATGTACTTTATTCTAAAAATGATTGAGTGTCCACTATGCTAGTTTTAATCAGGTTAGACTTTGCAACTTTATATTTTAAGAAGAAACCCTCTCAGCACTTTGGGAGGCCAAGGCAGGTGGATCACGAGGTCAGGAGATCGAGACCATCCTGGCTAACACGGTGAAACCCCGTCTCTACTAAAAATATAAAAAATTAGCCGGGCATGGTGGCGGGCGCCTGTAGTCCCAGCTGCTCGGGAGGCTGAGGCAGGAGAATGGCATGAACCCGGGAGGCGGAACTTGCAGTGAGCCAAGATCACACCACTGCATTCCAGCCTGGGTGACAGAGCAGGGCTCCGTCTCAAAAAAAAAAGAAGAAGAAGAAGAGGAAACCCAATAGACTATTGGCCTTAGGAGCTTGTTTTTAGGGCAGTGGTCTGATTTGGGGATGACAGAGGAGCACTTGTCCATTTCAGAAAATAAGTGGCAATGATGTAAATGGTCCATCAGGCACAAATATTAAACAAGATGACCAGAATTACCAACTGTAAGAATGTTAAATTGTTTTCACAGGATGTAGTAACAACCTCAAAAGTCTAAGCATTTTTCTTTATTAGAAATAATGTTGGCCGGGCACAGTGGCTTATGCCTGTAATCCCAGCACTTTGGGAGGCTGAGGCAGGCAGATCACCTGAGGTCGGGAGTTCAAGTCCAGCCTGACCAACATGGAGAAACCCCGTCTCTACTAAAAGTACAAAAATTAGCTGGGTATGGTGGCACATGCCTGTAATCTCAGCTACTTGGGAGGCTGAGGCAGGAGAATCACTTGAACCCGGAAGGCAGAGGTTGCGGTGAGCCCAGATCGAGCCATTGCACTCCAGCCTGGGCATTAAGAGTGAAACTCCATCTCAAAAAAAAAAAAAAAAGAAAAAAAGAAATAATGTTGCCAAGGAAGGCTTATTTGGATATAGAATAGTGTATACTATTCTGAAGATGAAAGGGAAGAGGAACATTGGTTTCTCACTAGGAATGCCTTCCATTTCCACTTATACTTAGTTTCAGGCTAACTACTTGAATTATGTTAGTTACATTGAGAGAAGAAAAGACCTGAGAAATTCAGAACTTACAATGTGGAAAAGGACATGAACAGAACACTGGGGATGGAGCGTTTTGTTTCTCCATTATTCACCTGCATGCCATCCCCTCTACTAAGATGATACACAGATGAAAAAAAGAGCTCCTCCCTTTAAGAAGGAAACATCCTAGAAAATAAATAGGTCAGGACTGTGAAATATTGGCTTCTTACTTAAATATGCAAGAAGCAAACTATAGAAAAACCAGTGTCTAAAAAAATCAATCTGACAAATTGATGAAACAAGAAAAATCAATCTAACGGAAGATAAACAATTAAGATTTAAGACTGTATTTTAAAATATTATTGATTTAACGTTGGACTAGAGACATTAAAGCAAGTAAACATCTTTAAGAATCTGGGAACCCCTTGCTCCAATTAATATTTTAGGCAGTGGAGCTTGATTTAAAAGTGCACGTTTTCTTAACAACTAATCTAGTTTTCAGGGCTAGTATTCTGTTGACTGGTCTGTCTTTTGGGTGCTAAATAAAAATCGGCATCTCATTGCATTTTAATTGCCTCATCCGATATAGCATATTGTAAACTGGACATTTTCTGAGGAGAAACAACATGCATTTGCCCATGCACTGGTGCATTTAAATGTCAAGTATGTTAAATTTATTGCTTTCATAAATTGTATCGATAGTAATAAATTTGTAATTTGAAATAAATTACAAATATAAATAATATATTTCTTAAGGTTTGTGTTACCTCATGAATTTTCCCCACTAATCATATTACAAGCAAATTACTTGCCAATATTAATTGTGCCTCTACTTGCAGGCAACGTTAATAGTAAAATAATGTAGGTGCCAACATTAAACCTTGAAGGGAAAGAGTACTCCCTGAAAATGGCCTCTCTTTTGTTATCAGGTATTGATAAATGAATATCAATTCATTTTATTCTGCTTTAATTTTAACAGTCTTTTTTTTTAAACGAATTTGAGGCTGGATGCTTTTTATAGCTTATTTAGTGGTATGCTTCCATCATCCATACCCAATGAAATTGGTGTGGATAATTTAAAAGTATTCATGTGTAAAACCACCCTTTAATAAATACAGACACTGTCTTTTTATCTTACGGTTTTTCTCAAAAAATTGATTCTGCTGTGTTTCTTGTGGCTGTGATCACCAACATGTGATCCTAACCTGACATAGAAGGAAAGGTGGCGAAGTTTTGAGTCCTCGTGTTTGACACATTTTACAGACGTTAGTGCTGAGGGGACTTGCACATGGTCTGGTCTGTGTGTCTTGTTACATATCAGGAGAACCCTGGCCCAGGGAGCTTTTTGTCTAAGCTTTTTGTCACTGTCCCTTCCAACTTTAAAATTCCTTCATTTTGTTTTCTTCATTTGTTCTTTAGTAGTTCTTATTTCTCTGATTTACATAGTGTGTTCAATTCTTGCTTCAGGTAATAGAAGAATGAGTAAATTTGTATTGCAGTAGTGTTCCAGTAGCAGGAGAAAAATGGCCTGGGTTTAAACCCAGACTGCCCTTCCCATCTGAGTGGTCATGGGCAGTTTGCTTTACCACTTTTGCCTCAGTTAGCTTATCTGTTACAGGATAACGATAAAGAGTCATTCTTGTTGCCAGTCTAGACTTAGGTCAGTGTAAGTAGCTCTTTACTACCTGGTAAATGAGAACACTTGGCCCTCCGTATCCATGGGTTCCACGTTCGTAAATCCAACCAACCATAGTTTGACAATATTTGGGACAAAAATGGATGGTTGTGCCTGTACTGAATATGAACAGACTTTTCCTTGTCATTATTCCCTAATATAATATAACAGTATAGGATAAACAATATAGTATATAGTATAACAACTATTAGTATAGTATAACAATATAGACGATATAGTATATAGACAATATAGTATAACAATTATTACCATAGCATTTACCTTGTATTAGGTATTATAAGTAGTCTAGAGATGATTTAAAGCATACAGGAGGATGTGGGTAGACTATATGCAAACACTATACCAGGGACTTGAACATCTGTGGATTTTAGTATCTGGGGGGTCCTGGAACACATCTCCCACAGATAGTGAGGGTTAACTGTACTTTTAACGTAACATTTTTCTCTAAAGTATTTTTAAATTCATGTTCACTTAAGGAGACAATATTATTTTTGAGTAATTAAAAATTAATTTTAGGCCAGGTATGGTGTCTGTAATTCCATCACTTTGGGAGGCTGAGGCGGGCAGATTGCTTAAGCTGAGTTCACTACTAGACTGGGTAACATGGTGAAACCCCATCTCTACAAAAAATACAAAAAAATCTGCTGGGTGTGGTGGTGTGCACCATAGTCCCAGCTACTTGGGAGGGTGAGCTGGGAGGATTGCTTGAGCCCGAGAGGTCAAGGCTGCAGTGAGCTGTGACCTCACTGCTGCACTTCAGCCTGGGTGACAGAGCGTGACCCTGTCTCAAAAAAAAAAATTAATTTTAGATTTTGGAGGGTTCATGACTTCCTGGGCCTGTTCTCCTCTGTCTTGCCTCTGGCTGCACTGCTGCTGAGCCAGGCAGTTGCTGGGCTGACAGGTGGGCGGAACCTGGTCTGTGGACAGAGAGCACTCTCTTCTCCTTGGGGGACTCAGGGAATGGGCAGGAGACCCTGAGGCAGCAGGTCCAGTAGAGGCCCAGCGAGGCTGGGAGAGTGAAGGGGCTGTGGGGCACCCAGAGTCTCCTGTGTCGCTGCATGGCAGCCTCCACATAGCTGTGCCCTCACCCCTGGTTCAACACAGGCAGAAATAACCACACAGAGGGTGGCCCAGGCGCTTCCAGAGTGATAGTGGTGGGTGAGTAATAAGAGTCTTTGAAGAAGAGTCAACTGTAACCCCGAAAGGACAGTCTAGAGCTCAAGTGTCACAGACACACTACAGAGATGGTTCCTGTGATAGTCAAATTCCAGAAAGGTCAATTTGGAGAGATGTCTCAGAACATAGACCATAAATACTCACGAGGAGAGGTCACGAGGGTGGGGATAGACTTGGGGGAAAAGGCCCGAGAGACCTAACAGCAAGGAGAAGCAGTGATTCAACAACGATAGGAAAAAATTCCCCAGAGCTTAAAGAAATATATGCAGATTCCCTTTTTTCTTTCACTACATTCTGGATTGATGGAAAAAAAAAATCACAGCTAAATAATTATGGATAAGATTCCTAAATTCCAGGAATAAAGAGAAAATCTTAAAATTTTTCTAGATTCATGCAGGCCAATACAGTGGCTGCTGAACACATGAAACCTGGTGAGTCTAAGCTGAGTGTGGCCCTCATAGAAAGTGCAAGCAGGTTTTGAAGACAGTATGGAAAAGAGAATGTGAACTATGTCATAAATAATTTTATATTGATTACAAGTTGAAGCATTTTGGATATGTTGGGTTAAATAAAATATATTAAGATGAATTTTGCTTAAAAAAATAAAAAGAAGCAAGGTCTTGATCCATTGTACCCTTTGACCTGTTTCAATGTGATTACTGGAAAATGTAAAATGACGCATGTGACTGGCATTGACATTACAGGGGCTGTGGTAGACAGCAGTCTGTCTCCAAAGGTGAAGACCAGGTAGACATGAGTCTCACTTGCAGTGCTGGACACAGGAAGACAATAGGATTGTAAGAGTTTTAAATCTCGCTGAGATTCATTTGGAGTGAAAGGTAGATATTTGTGTCCAGGAGGAATTCAGAGATGAGCTTTTCTTTATTGCTTCTCTGAGGAGACTGCTTTGGAGTGCCCTGTAATGGAACAAGCATTGGAGCCATGCAGGAGTTGTGGGACAGTAAAAAGGGAAGCCATGGTGAGCCACGCACTTTGTAAATATGTGTATTTGAAGGAACAGTGATATGCTACCTGTCTAATAATGATTCTTAAAATAGGCACACTGCCAGGGAAGTGAGGACAACGTCTGGCAAGGAAAAGTACTCAGTGCTCTCAGCCAAAGCCGCGGCCTAGGTGGGGCTGGGGAGGACGTGAGGAGGAAGAGTCTCGCCTTGAGGGACAGGGATGTAGGGCAGGGGAGTGGGAAAGTGAGGTTTTTCTAAAGGCTTCAGGTTATTAGAGGTAGTAGGTAAATGTCATGGTAGTAGAGTATCTTGGTAGGTCACATAGTTTTTATTTATCTTGTTTTCTTGTGTAATAGAGAAATAGGCTCAGAACTGTGGGTGCTGGAAAGGAAGAGCACACGTCCTGTTTGCTCACCAGCATAGCACACTGCCCAGTGAGCACGTTTCATTGCCTGGCAGTGCTTGGTGTCCACGGTCAACCCAAGCCTGTGCTCCAGTGCCATGTGTCCTGACTGCTGTGGGGATTCTGACTCCATTTTACATACAAGAAACAATTAATGAAACATCTATAGATTATTTCAACTTTGTTTTTAAATGCATGGTTGCAAACCATTTTTAGATTATATTTTTGAAAATGTACATTTGGATAATTTGGTCACTTTTTTCTGTAGCTAAATATTTCTTTATTTGTGTTTCAGATTTCTCTATGAATCATCATCAAGAACTCTGGGAGAACTTTTGAATTCATAACCAAGCCAACATCTCCAGACATGTAAAAATAGGGAAAAGTGATTCAAATTGAAATGCCTGTGTATTTTCCTATTGTTTTTAATGTTAATAACCCATATAATAGGGAAAGGGTGGGATTTTTTTGTGGGAATGTGGGAAGGTGGGGGTTATGGAGGAGATAACTCAAAACTTCTTCAATTTTGCCTAGTGCCTGCGTAAATAATATATTTAATATAAAGGACTCCAGGTATGAATGGTGTAGAAATCCATGATTCCAAGAAAAAACACTTTTCTAGCAAACCTGGTTGTTTTTAAAATGACTTTTATATATGTAATATTGCTTGGAAACTATGAGTAATAAAGCAATGACAACATCCATTTGTTTATTTGAAAGTATTAGGGGCCCGGCGCAGTGGCACACGCCTGTAATCCCAGCACTTTGGGAGGCTGAGGCAGGCAGATAGATCACTTGAGGTCAGGAGTTCAAGACCAGCCTAGACAACATGGTGAAACCCCGTCTCTACCAAAAATACAAAATTAGCTGGGTGTGGTGGTGAATGCCTGTAATCCCAGCTACTCAGGAAGCAGAGGTTGCAGTGAGCTGACGTCGCGTCACTGCACCCCAGCCTGGGCGACAGAGCAAGACTCTGTCTCAAAAAAAAAAAAGAGAAAGTATTACCTTTATGGCCAGGAGTGAGGTGCTGTGATACTCCCTGAGTGGAGAGCCCAGGGCAGGGCCCACAGCAGTCTCTGGGTCCAACCTTCATGTTGCCTCTATGGGTATTGGGATGGGTCCTGTGGCTGTGAACGTGAGCAGCACAGACACCAAGTAGCTCAGCCTAAAGGCAAACACTGTTACTCTGGTCTTTTCTTTCTGAGAGCTGTTCTGGTAGCAGTGGTGCTGACAGCCTCCTAGGCTGCCCTGACCTCTCGCCCACCTGGTGGATGCCAGTTGTTTCATGGCCCCATGCTCCTGGCCCTCTTAGTCAAAGATTCTGTGTCACGGTTGATCCTGTGGGCCCTTGTGGACCACCTCATAGTTGGTTGGAAATTAGTGCAGCTTAAATTTTGTGCTTGTTCTGTCCTCAGCCCCTGAGCAAAAAAGTAAAGAAATTCCAGTGTTTCTGTGCCTGTATTTCTCTGAGACGGTACAAGAAGTGGACTACTTACTGTAGTTATGAGCATTCAGGGTAAGGTTTTGCCAAGGGATCTGAGAAATGGAAGGTGGGGAGTGGAATAATATTACAGCTTAATTCAGATAATTTTGAAAATATGACTTTCTAGACATCCTGGCTGACTAAACCGTATTCTGAATTAGTGAGTGACATTGATAACGGAAATATAGTTCTATCAGATAGAGTCGTTTATTTGGAAGGGTTAGTGCAGATCTAAGACTGGCGACTTGAGTATGTGAGGGAGAGATTGCTGGTCTCTCCCCTGTTATTTATTCTCCTCTTTTTCCACAGAAATACTATCTCTGATTTTGTCTCTGGGTACGTGCCCCTCCTGAATAAAGACCACATTCACCAACATTGCTTGCACCTACATGTGGGCATGTGTCCAGGTGCTTCCAGTAAGATAATAGTGAAGTTGTCATGGGCACCTTACAAGTTATCTGTGTATCTTTACCTTTCTTACATTCTGCCTGGAATGGGGTTGTGATGGATGGAGCTCTCACTGCCATGTTGGACTGTGAGGATCTACAGTTTTGAGCTACATTCCTGAGCCGACATTGTTTAAGCCCCCAGTGTCTTTGGGAGAACTCAGTCTTGACAGTTGAAAGCCATAACTCAAAGCTAGTCTGAGGATGAATCCCTGTGATTGCCACCGGGCACTTGACATTTTAATTAGCACTTCTGCTCCCAGAATTCACCTGCAATGTTCCAACACCAATGTTACTTCTGCACCCAGTTAGAGGGGTAGGGAGAGGTTGGGAGCTGCCCTACCCCTGCTGTGGCACTCACTCCTCAGCCAAAGACTGGCAGAATCCTGGCCGCATGGCCGGGAAGGCAAGTACTCACCACTTTAAACATTTAAATATTCCCTGCATCAGGAGACATTCTTCACCACTCACCAAGACTCAAGGGGAGAGATCCCAGAACAAAAAAATAAATAGCTGTTGGGTGGCCAAAGACAGTAATAATTGTAATTTAAATTATTCTGATTTTCTAGATCAGTGGTTTTCAGGCTTTAATATGCATCAGAAACATCTAAAGTTTGTTACAACGGCTGCTGGGACCCGGCCCCACACTGTCACAGTCTTGAGGTTCATCCACACTGTGGTGGCTTAGCCATTCACCTATTGAGGGTTATTTGTTACAACGGCTGCTGGGACCTGGCCCCACACTGTCCAGTCTTGAGATTCATCCACATTGTGGTGGCTTAGCCATTCACCTATTGAGCGTCGTTTGTTACAACGGCTGCTGGGACCTGGCCCCACACTGCCACAGTCTTGAGGTTCATCCACACTGTGGTGGCTTAGCCATTCACCTATTGAGGGTCATTTGGCTGTTTATCCATTCACCTGTTGATGGTTGTTTGGCTATTTACCCACTCACCTATTGATTCCCCTTTGGCTGTTTATTGATGGTCCTTTGGCTATTGCAGATAAAGTTGCTAGGAACCTTCATGTATACAAGTCTGTGTGGGCTTGTTTCACTGGGTCAGTTTCTTGGAGTGGAAGTTCTGGTTAATATGTTAAGTCTACATTTAACTTTTAAACAAATCTCACAAACTGTTTTCCATAGTTGTTGTAACATTTTATATTCCTATCATCCTCCCTTACAATGGTTATTTTCAGTGTTTTTATCTTCATTCTGTTGGTTGTGTAGTGGTAACTCATGGTGTCTTTAATTTGTGTTGCCCGAGGACTGATGCTGCACACTTCACTTATGTATCTGTGTTGGTGAAATACCAGCTCAAGTCTCTCATCTGTTTTTGTTGTATTATTGCATTGTTTGTCTTGTTGCGTTTTAAGCCTTCTTTAGATGTTCTGGATACAAGTCTTTTATTAGGGTTGGGTATTACAGTATGTGGCTCCTATTTTTATTTTATTTTATTTTATATTTTATTTTTGAGACCGAGTCTCGCTCTGTCACCCAGGCTGGAGTGCAATGGTGCGATCTTGGCTCACTGCAACCTCTGCCTCCTGGGTTCATGCAGTCCTCCTGTCTCAGCCTCCCGAATAGCTGGGATTACAGGTGCATGTCACCATGCCTGGCTAATTTTGTGTGTGTGTGTATTTTTAGTAGAGATGGGGTTTCACCATGTTGGCCAGGCTAGTCTCAAACTCCTGACCTCTGTGCTGGGATTACAGGTGTGAGCCATCGCACCTGGCCCTATTTTAATTTTTTAAAATGGTGTCTTTCAAATAGGAAATTTTAATTTTGAAGAAGTCCTGTTTATCAATTATACTCTTGTAGTTTGTGCTTTTTGTGTTCTATATAAAAAGACATGTAAAAAACCATGTTTATTTGTTGTCCTGTATGAAATAACATGTTTTATTTTGGCTTGCATAGTTAACTGATGAGAATCTTTTTTTTTTTTTTTTTTGAGACAGAGTTTCGCTCTGTCACCCAGGCTGGAGTGCAGTGGCGCAATCTCGACTCACTGCAAGCTCCGCCTCCCGGGTTCACGCCATTCTCCTGCCTCAGCCTCCCGTGTAGCTGGGACTACAGGCGCGCGCCACCATGCCTGGCTAATTTTTGTATTTTTAGTAGAGACGGGGTTTCACCGTGTTAGCCAGGATGGTCTCGATCTCCTGACCTCGTGATCCGCCCGTCTCGGCCTCCCAAAGTGCTGGGATTACAGGCGTGAGCCACTGCGCCCGGCCGAGAATCTTGCTGTTATTTCTACATTGGTGTCTGTGGCTGCTTTTATTATCTCCTTATCGAAACCTAAAAGCTCTGCTCTTGTGTTTAGGTCTGTGATCCATTTTGAATTAATGTTTATGTATGGTATGAGGTAAGGATTTATTTATTTCTTTATGCCATATGGATATCTAGTAGTCCCTGCACCATTAGAAGGTAATATTTTTATCAAGGAACTCCATGACACATCTCTGGACCTGCCCTTCATCTAGACCAGCAGGGCTCAGCTGGGCATGAGTTTGCCCCTCTTTCCGTCAGTGGCACAGGTGTCTTGGTGGGCTGGGTTGCCACAAAATGCCTCAGGTAGGAGGCACGGGACAGCCCTTGCAACAAAGAGTCATTCCAGCCCAGTGGTCAATGGTGTGATGTTGAGAAGCTCTGCTGTGTAAGTGTATGTTTGAGCTGTTATGATTAGGTGTGTAATCCATTTTAAGTTAATCTTGGATGTGGAGTCCAAGTTCAGTTTGTTGTTTTTGGTTTTTCCCCATATGATTATCCCGTTGTTCCTGCACCCTTTCCTCCTCCATGAAATCACCTTGCATCTTCGTCAAGATGCAGTTGGCTATACCTGTGTGGGCTCTTTCTGGAGTCTTTTCTGTGCACTGAGCTATGGCCATCCTTACGCCAATTCCCAGGGTCCTTTTTATTTGAGCCGTACCTGTGTCTTAAAATTGTGAATTGCAAGTCCCCAATTGGCTTTCTGTTTTTTGATGTGGTTTTGGCTTTTCTAGCTCCTTTGCCTTTTCATATACATTGTAGAATCAATTTGTCAATTTCTACAGACGAAAACATGCAGTACAATTCTGATTGTGATTACACTAAATTTACAGATCAAGCTGGGGATTAACTCGCAAAAAGAGTCCGGCCACTTATGGAAAGAAGGCAAAATAATAAGTTATGATGAGAAAGAGTGATATTCCTTTATTATTTGTGCAGGCAAGGGGAAGAGCAGTTCCACTCTTCAGTTTGTGGAGGGAACGCAGGGTTTTACAGAAAGGGTTTGGAATGCGGAAGAGGCAAGGGGGACTAAGAGGTGCCAGGTGGCGTGACTTGCTTCAGTGGCCCTTCTTGAATTATTGTCCCATTTGGTGAAGGGGCCGGCACCATTGTGCATCCTACCAGGTTATAAATTAATCACAGTCAATCTTGTAGTCACTCTTCAGCCAGGAGAGGGTTCTGGCCTTGAAATAATCTTTTGTTGGAAAGAGAATTCCGGAGTTGCCTAGTCCCTTTTAGGACCCGACCCCTGAAGCTTCTAAGCAAATAAATGGCCAGATAAGAGAGCATGGTGTGTGCTTAACTAGTATCTGGGTAAATACATGTGCATAAAGCATGGGAGCATACAGTGGGAAAAGAAAGAAGAGTGGAGGGCCCGGGTTCGGTGGCTCACGACTGTAATCCCAGCACTTCGGGAGGCTGAGGTGGGTGGATTGCCTGAGGTCAGGAGTTCCAGACCAGCCTGGCCAACATGGTGAAACCCCATCTCTACTAAAAATACAAAAAATTAGCCAGGCGTGGTGGCACACGCCTGTAATCCCAGCTACTTGGGAGTCTGAGGCAGGAGAATCACTGGAACCCAGGGGGTGGTGGTTGCAGTGAGCGGAGATTGCACCACTGTACTCCAGCCTGGGCGACAGAGCGAGACTGTTTCCAAAAATAAAAATGAAAGGGAGTGGAGGTTCGCAGCACATTCCAAGGCTGTATTTCGAGATGAAAGGTAACACATATGCAGTTTGTCTCAAAGTTTTATCTTGAGACTGGGAAGGGGAAGAGGAAAAGGAAAAGAAAAAACAGTTTGAAACACAGTTTGAGGCTAGGCTGCTAGGCTGCTAAGCTCTTCGGGCAGAGGGAGAATTGACACTCAACAGTGTTGAGTCGTCTGATCCATGACCATTGTCTAGTTTTTCAGACATTTAATTTCTCCCAATATTTTGTCATTTTCATGATATAGGTCTTCCATATGTTTTATTAAATTTATCCCTACGTATTTTGTGTTTTATAGAGCTGTTGTAAATGGTAGTATTTTTAAATTTTCAACTTCTAATTGTTTATACTGGAATAGAGGAAGGCAGTTTCTTTTTGTATGTTGACTTTGTATTCTACTTTTCTAAGCTCATTGATGACTTGTGGTAGTTTATTTATAGGCTCTGTCATATTTTCTACTCAGACGATCAGGTTATCTAAAAATAAATGCCATTTACATCTTCCTTTCCAGTCTGGATGCTTTTATTGCTTTTCCTTTTTGTGCCGGTGAGAACCTCCAGTAAAATGTAGCCTGGAAGTGGTGTGAGCAGGCACTCTCGCCTTGTTCTGGTCTCCACAGCACAGCATTCAGTCTTCCACAGCTCAATAAACTGTAGGTTGTTTATAGATGCATTTTATCAGGATGAGGAAGTGCCTTTCTATTCCTAGTTTTCTGAGAATTTTTTTCCGTGAGTAGGTGTTAAAATTTTGTCAAATCCTTTTTATGCATTTTTTTTTTTTTTTGAGATGGAGTCTCACACTGTCGTCTGGGCTGGATTGCAGTGGGTGATCTTGGCTCACTGCAACCTCCGCCTTCTGGGTTCAAGCGATTCTCTTGCCTCAACCTCTCGAGTAGCTGGGATTACAGCTGCCTGCCACCATGCCTGGCTAATTTTTTTGTATTTTTAGTAGAGATGGGGTTTCACTATTTTGGCCAGGCTGGTCTCGAACTCCTGACCTCATGATCTGCCTGCCTCGGCCTCCCAAGGTGCTGGGGTTACCAGCATGATCCACCGCGCCTGGCCCACATCTATTAACTAACATATCTACCTTCAAAAAATACTGTATCCCTTCATGAGTTGCACACAAACTTAGCAGCTTACCTCCACCTTCTGTTCGCTGTGCTATCATTGTCATACATTTTACTTCTACATATGTTATTCCCAAAATTCATTGTCATTATTTTTGTTTTAAACTGTTAATTAACTTTTTAAAAGATTTAAACATGAGAGAAAATTGTCTTTTAAGTTTATCCACGTATTCACTATTTCTGGCAATGTTCTTTCCTTTGTGCAGTTTCAGATTTCCATATGGTGTCATTTTCTTTCTTTTAAAGAGCTTTCTTTAATATCTCTTTAGCATATATCTGCTAGTTATGAGTTTTCTCGGCTTTTGATTATCTGGAAGAGTATTTTGCCTTCATTTTTGAAGGTTTAAAAAATTTTAAAGACAGTGTCTTGCTCTGTCACCCAGGCTCAATCATGGCTCACTGCAACCTTGACCTCCTGGGCTCAAGTAGTCCTCCTGCCTCAGCCTCCCAAGCAGCTAGAGCTACTGGCATGTACCACCACATCTGGCTTTTTTTTTTTTTTTTTTTTTTGTAAAGACAGGGATTTGGGCCGGGCGTGGTGGCTCACGCCTGTAATCCCAGCTCTTCAGGAGGCCAAGGCAGGTGGATTACCTGAGGTCAGGAGTTCAAGAACAGCCTGGTCAACATGTTGAAACCTCGTCTTTACTAAAATACAAAAATTAGCCAGGTGTGGTGGCGGGTGCCTGTAATCCCAGCTACCCGGGAGGCTGAGGCAGGAGAATCACTTGAACCCAGGAGGCGGAGGTTGCAGTGAGCCAAGATCGCTCCGTTGCACTCCAGCCTGAGTGACAAGAGCGAAACTTTGTCTCAAAAAAAAAAAAAAAAGACGGGTTTGCCATCTTGCCTAGGTTGGTTTCTGAGGTATTTTTGCTAGAAAGAGAATCCTGCGTTGATATTTTTCTCCCAGGAGTTTAAGCATGTTTTACTGTGCCTTATTTGGTTACTGATGAGCATCCTACTGCCAGTCCCACCTTCGTGTCTCTGTCTGCCTTCATGATCTCTTTATCACTTTTTTGTTTGTTTGTTTTGTTTTGAGACGGAGTTTTGCTCTGTCATCCCAGGCTGGAGTGCAGTGGCGTGATCTTGGCTCACTGCAACCTCTGCCTCCCGGGTTCAAGTGATTCTCCTGCCTCATCCTCCTGAGTAGCTGGGATTACAGGCATGCACCACCAAGCCCAGCTAATTTTTGTATTTTTAGTAGAGTCGGGGTTTCACCATGTTGTCCAGGCTGGTCTTGAACTCCTGACCTCAAGTGATCCACCTGCCTCGGTCTCCCAAAGTGCTGGGATTATAGGTGTGAGCTAACACACTCGGCCTATCACTGGTTTTTAGCAATTTGATTATGATGTATTTGGGTGTGGTTCTCCTCATGTTTCTTCTGCTTAGGTTTCATTAGAATTGTTGAGTGTGTTGGGTTTTAGTTATCAAATTTGAAAAATCTTCTGGACCTGTGGTGAGCCTCAGTGAGGAGGGCCACCCTGCACCCGTCGCCGGCCCCGGTCTCCCAGGGCCTCACCCGAGTGATGCCCCGCTATTGCGCGGCGATTTGTTGTAAGAACTGCCGGGGATGAAACAATAAAGACCGGAAGCTGAGTTTTTATCCATTTCCTCTACATGACAAAGAAAGACTGGAAAAGTGGTTAAACAATATGAAGCGAGATTCATGGGTTCCCAGTAAATACCAGTTTCTGTGTAGTGACCATTTTACTCCTGACTCTCTTGACATCAGATGGGGTATTCGATATTTAAAACAAAGTGCAGTTCCAACAATATTTTCTTTGCCTGAAGACAATCAGGGAAAAGACCCTTCTAAAAAAAAATCCCAGAAGAAAAACTTGGAAGATGAGAAGTATGCCCAAAAGCCAAGTCAGAAGAATCAGTTGTATTAAATGAGACAAAGAAAAATATAGTTAACACAAATGTGCTCCCTCAACATCCAGAATTACTTCATTCATCTTCCTTGGTAAAGCCACCAGCTCCCAAAACAGGAAGTATACAAAATAACATGTTAACTCTTAATCTAGTTAAACAACATACTGGGAAACCAGAATCTACCTTGGAAACATCAGTTAACCAAGATACAGGTGTAGGTGGTTTTCACACATGTTTTTATAATCTAAATTCTACAACTATTACTTTGACAATTTCAAATTCAGAAAGTATTCATCAATCTTTGGAAACCCAAGAAGTTCTTGAAGTAACTTCTAGTTATCTTGCTAATCCAAACTTTACAAGTAATTCCATGGAAATAAAGTCAGCACAGGAAAATCCATTCTTATTCAGCACAATTAAGCAAACAGTTGAAGAATTAAACACAAATAAAGAATCTGTTATTGCCATTTTTGTACCTGCCAAAAATTCTAAACTTTCAGTTAATTCTTTTATATCTGCACAAAAAGAAACCACGGAAGTGGAAGACATAGACATCGAAGACTCCTTGTATAAGGATGTAGACTATGGGACAGAAGTTTTACAAATAGAACATTCTTACTGCAGACAAGATATAAATAAGGAGCATCTTTGGCAGAAAGTCTCTAAGCTACATTCAAAGATAACTCTTCTAGAGTTCAAAGAGCAACAAACTCTAGGTAGATTGAAGTCTTTGGAAGCTCTTATAAGGCAGCTAAAGCAGGAAAACTGGCTATCTGAAGAAAATGTCAAGATCATAGAAAACCGTTTTACAACATATGAAGTCACTATGATATAGAATAACTAGGTTTTAAAACTATGGCTGTTAAATAAGCTTTTTCCAGCCAAACCAAACTACATGTAAAGTGAACTTTTTCCTGTATAAAGTTCTCATCTTAATGAACCTATGAGAGTGTTGTGAAGTTATGAACTGTATCCTATTCTTGTAATGCTCATTTAAGAAAGACCAGAGAGTTGGGCTGGAGAGAAAAGCAGTTTTATTACTTGATAATTTTCCAATTTAAAATTTAGCACATAAAAGGATTCAGTTATAACATGAGAAAACAAAGAAGTGTTCAAAGAGCACAGACTAGAAGTCAGATTCAGGAATCAGTCCTGGTTCTACCACTGGCATGTGACTTGGGTAAGTTACTTATGATTGTGCCTCAGTCCCTAATTTGTAAAATAAGCACTTACTAGATTTCTAATTGTCTGCTTCTTTATAGTCCCTTCCCTTTTTATTAAGATATTTCTATTAGAACACATTTTCTGTAAGATAATATATACTTAATACTAGAAGTTGGCTAGAATTTGATGATATTAAACTATGTATTATTTTCAATATTTATTGAATTCTGTGGTGTTTGACCTTTTGGCTGTAGTTACATATTACAGTTATATTATCTGTAATAGAAAGGAAGATAAACCTTTTTTTTTTTTTTTGAGATGGAGTCTTGTTCTGTAACCCAGGCTGGAGTGCAGTGGCCTGATCTCGGCTCACTGCAGCCTCTGCCTCCCGGGTTCAAGTGATTCTCCTGCCTCAGCCTCCCGAGTAGCGGGGATTACAGGCGCACACCACCACATCCAGCTTATTTTTGTATTTTCAGTAGAAACGGGGTTTCACCATGTTGGCCAGGCTGGTCTCGAACTCCTGACCCCAGGTGATCCACCTGCCTCGGCCTTCCAAAGTGCCGGGATTACAGACGTGAGCCACTGTGCCTGGCCAAGATAGAACTTCTGTAATTTTATTCCAGTTGAACTAAACTAAGGAACCATCCATTAGCCCAGTTCTTAGAAGAGGTACTTCAGACTTGAAAGAATATGTATTTCGGTAACTTACATGTGGCTAGCCATCAAGTACATAGTCATCTGAGCTAAACGTTCTGTATTTACACAGTTATATTTATAAACCAAATATTTTAATAGGTTAATTTTAAATATATTTTAGAAATCACAGTTTGTATCTGTTTCTTAGTAGGTGTGGCCTTTAAAATATGTGCTTATTCATTGTTAAATTCCAGAATAATAGAGTAATACTTAATACTGTACATTCCCACTTATGTATATTTTATTAAAATTTATAAGCAAGAAATGATACATAAGTGGTCATGATCTTAGGGAGACAAAGAATTTCTCTTAGGAAAGAGAAGTGATGGTAATGTAAATAAAAATGCTGTTTATAGTCACATGATTTTAAGAAAACTGTAAAAGCAGAGATTTTAGTAATGACACAAATGTGACAAATAGATGTTTTCTTAAAATTGGCAGTCAATATAATTATGTTTCTGCCTATGATGTTGAGGAAGTTCTATAAGTTCTATCAGTCTGATTCTTAGTTTTCTTATCTGTTAAGTAGAACATACTTTTACTTACCTTAAAGGGTGGCTTTGAGAATTTTGTAAGGAACAAACATGTTTTTGGTTCTGGAATATAGGAGGTGCTCAATAAAAGTTGACTCCGAATGGCGAAAAAGAAAAAAATCTTCATCCATTATTTCTTCAACAACCTTTCCCTTACCTTCCCCTTTCCTAGCTCCAATTACATGTGCGTTATCCTGCCTGGTATTTTCCGTGGCTTCTTCGTGCTCTTTTTATTTCTTTCCAGTTTTTTCCTCTGTGTGTTTTTCACTTCCAGGAGCTACTTTTGAGTCATTTTAATAGCTCCTCATTAAGTTCATTTTTTTCTCTACCTTTTTAAACCATATATTACATATTTATAATAGCTGTTTTAATGTCCTTGTCTGTTCATTCAGTCATTTCTGGTCTATATCTTTTCTGGTTTCTCCCAGCTATTGGTTACTTTTTTGTCGTTGTTATTGTTTTGTGTTTCTAGTAATTTTTGAATTACTAGACATTTTTGAATAGATTTTTGAATAGTTGATGGATATCATAAATTTTATATCATTGTTTGCTGGCTTTTGTTGTATACCTTTAAACAGTGTTAGAGTTTGTTATGGCATATGGTTAAGTTACCTGGAATCAGTTGGATCCTTTTGAGGATTACTTTTAAGCTTTGTTAGTGTCGGTATAGAGCAACCTTTACTCTAAGACTAGCTTATTCCTACTACTAAAGCAATACCCTCTGGGTAGTAAAGGAATACCCTTCTGGGTACTAAAGACTGGCCAACTCTCCCATACATTGCAAGGTCCTTCTGGTCTTGCTACTGGGTATGTAAACTGTTCTTAGCCCTGTGTGGTCTCCAGGAACTATTGTGTCTACACCAGCCTGGTGATTCTTTCCCTGGTCTAGTTGTTTCTCTCCTGTTTGCATAGTTCAGAACTCAGCCAAAGACTCAAGTGAACCCCTCTGCAGATCTTTAAATGGTTCTTTCCTTAGCTCCCTTTCTTGGGTATCCTACACTGTAGATTTTAGCTCTCTTGACCTTCCCAAACTCCATTCTGTCTCTCTCTTCTTAACATAATGAGGCCACCAGACCCTGTGTGTCTCCTCCCTGCCTAGAAACGGCTTCCAGAGAGTACCTGATGTGATCGTAGGACCTACCTCGTTTGTTTCGTCCCCTCAGGAACCTGAGTCCTGCTGCCTGTTATCCAGTGTCAGAAAACTCATTTCACATTTGTGTGGTTTATTGTTTGGTCAGGCTGGAGGGTAAATTCACTCCCTTGCTACTTCACCATGATGTGAAGAGGAAAAATCTTGAAAGTAGATAATTCTAGTAATTTTTTATTAGAACATTATGAATGTTACATTGTTGGATAGCTATGGGCTTTGTTTTGGCAGGTAGTTACATATGAATCAGTTTGGTTCATTTGAGGCTGTTTTTTCATATTAATAAAAAGTATTTTTAAAATGTGGTAGAATATATATAACAATTTGCTATTTTACACTTTCAGCTCAGTGGCATTAAGTACATTCACATTATTGTACCACCATTACCACCATCCATCTCTAGAATTTTTCGTCTTCTGAAGCGGAAACTCTGTGGCCCTAAACACTAGCTCCCATCCTCCGTCCCCTAGCCCCTGGCAGCTACCATTCTACTTTCTGTCTTCATGAATTCGACTACCCAGGCACCTCGTGTAAGGGGAATCATAAAATATTAGTTCTTTTGTGGCTGGCTTATTTCACTCAGTGTACTATCCTCAAGGTTCATCTGTTGTAGCATGTGTCAGCATTTCCTTTTTAGGGCTGAATAATATTTCATTGTATGGCTAGTCCACGCTTTGTTAATCCAGTCATCCATCCATGGACACTTGATTTGTTTCCACCTCCTGGCTATTGTGAATAATGTTGCAGTGAACATGGGTGGAGAGATGGCTCTGTGAGGTGTGCTTTAAATTTTGGGGGGTATGTACCCAGAGGTAGAATTACTGGATCATATGGTAGTTCTATTTTTAATTTTTCGAGGATCTGCCATACTCTTTTCCACAGTGGCTGTACCATTTTACATTCCCACTAGCAGTGCACGAGGGTTTAAATTTCTCCATATTCTTGCTAACATTAGTTATTTTGGGGATTTTGTTTTATGTTTTTGATAACAGTCATCCCAATGTTTGTGAAGTGGTATTGAGGCCTGTTTTTAAACATAACTGTCAGCGCTAGAGCAGCCATTATTCCACCAGAAGTTCAGCTCTCCTACTGAGGTGAGGCCCCTCTACGATCTTGGCTGAATGACGTGGGGAATGACTAAGGACATTGCTGTGGCTGATTAGAGTCTCACATTTCTGTGAATTCTTTATTTTTATTTTTTGAGATGGAGTCTCACTCTGTCACCCAGGCTGGAGTGCAGTGGTGTGATCTCGGCACACCGCAACCCCCACCGCCTGGGTTCAAGCAATTTTCCTGCCTCAGCCTCCCGAGTAGCTGAGATTACAGGCGTGTGCCACTACGTCCTGCTAATTTTTTGTATTTTTAGTAGAGACGGGGTTTCACCATGTTGGCCAAGCTGGTTTTGAACTGCTGACCTCAGGTGATCCACCCGCCTTGGCCTCCCAAAGTTCTGGGATTACAGGCGTGAACCACTGCATATTTCTGTGAGTTCTGAGAACTGTTTGTCTTACAACTTCCTGATAGTTTTGTTTTGTTTTTCTAAAATCTAGCTTTTACACAAGAATGGCCTCTTACCCTTTTCAGATTCCTCAGCCCTTTTTCTCCCCAGCTTTCTCCTCTGCAGCTCCAGCCACCTCTGCATCCCACAAACCTGGGTCGCCATCTCCTCCAGTTAGTGAGACCTCTAGGCTTTGTGTGTGGTCCTTCTCGCTGTGTTCATGGCCCAGAAATGCCTCTGGTTGAAAGCCAGGGTGACCACAGGGCTCACAATCTTGCATGCTTGCACCCAGTGTCTGAAAGCAGCTATTTAATTGTTTTGTCCATTTTTCTTTTTTCTTTTTTTTTTGAGTTGGAGTCTTGCTCTGTCGCCCAGGCTGGAGGGCAATGGTATGATCTCGTCTCACTGCCACCTCCACCTCCCGGGTTCAAGCAATTCTCCTGCCCCAGCCGCACCCGCCACCGTGCCCGTCTAATTTTTGTATTTTTAGTAGAGGCAGGGTTTCACCATATTGGCCAGGCCCGTCTCTTGGCCAGGCTGGTCTCAAACTCCTGACCTCGTGATCCACCCACCTCGGCCTCCCAAAGTGCTGGGATTACAGGCATGAGCCACCGTGCCTGGCCTTGTTTTGTCCATTTTTGTAGTTGGTTACAGTGGGAAGTTAAATGCAATCCTTGTTACTCCATTTTGAACAGAAGTGGAAGTTGCTTTTCGTTTAGTTTATCTTCTTGGATGCATCTATTTTGCCTTCTTGGTTTACTCCCTTGTTTTGGTGGTGCACATGGTCCAGTTGCTTCCTGAGAAATGGGTTGTATGGAAAGTTAATTTTGGGAAATCTTTAATGTAAAAAATATGCTATTATACTTGCTTGCTAGTTTATCTTAGTATAGAATTCTAGGTTGGAAATAATTTTTCCTCTTACTTATGATGGCATTGTTTTATTATCTTTTATCTTTCAACAGCTGAGAAGTTTAATGCCATTTTGATCCTTAGTCTTTTCCCCACCTCTTTATCTGGAACTTTCAGAATCTGTTTCTTGTACCCACTGATCTGAATTTCCCTGGGATGTACCCTGAGGTGATTCTGTTTTTCAACATTATGCAGGTTACTCAGTGCCCTTTGTCACATCTTTGCATTCTAGGAAATTTTTTTAAATTACTTGTCTGATTTCCTTACCACCGTCTTGCTTTCTGTTTTTTCTCTCCATCTGGAACTTCTGTTGTAGTCTCATTGCTTCCATGTTCTCTTTTCCCAGCTTGTATTATCTCATCTCTCTGTTTCATATTAGAGGCGTTCCTTGAATGTCTTGTCATCTTTGCTCATTTTTAAGATCAGGGCACTAAAAAACAGAATGAAACTCTTGACCATGTCAACTATATGGTCGTAATAGGGTAGCCTGGTTAGATCTTTTAATCAGAAAACTCTTCCTGTTGGTAGTTTTAAGTCTTTTTCTCTTGGGCTGGCCAGATTGTTTTTGTTCCAATCTCCTGCTTGGTGAAGTGTCGACCTAGCAGCCGGTATTCTGGGTGCAGAGTGAGGGGAAAGAGGTACGGACTCTTCTTATTCAACAGTGTCAGTGTTTACTAACCCCCTGTTTTCAGTATGGTGCTGCACCCTCAGTTCAGAGAGCCTCTATCTCATATGCCCTGGAAAATAAATCTCTAGTTGCCTACCAGAGAGGGCATGGGGATCTGAGGCTCTGTTTACACCTTTACTTTCTCTTAATTTTATTACGGTGGAACATTTATCAGCTGCATGACAGGTTTATTTGTACCTTCATCCACTGCCCACCCACTGGCTGATTTTGAAGCAAGTCTCAGATATCAAATAAAAACACAGCCACAGTACCGCTATTACATCTAAAAACAGTTATGTAAGTAAGATGTTAACTATGTTAATAGGCAATTATGATAAAAATTGTGTAAGATCATCCCATATCTCAAATTCTTCAGTAGATATCTGTTCTTACAGTTTGCTAGCTTGAATGAGATCCAAATAAGGTTTATATACCAAGTGTCTTATGTTTCTTGTGGATTCCACTCCGTCGTTTTAAAATACTGCTGGTACTTGTTTTGTACACTTGTGTTTGTCCTGTGGGCTTGCAGAGGTGCTGATTGCATCCTTGCAGCATCATTTAACACGTTACTCTGTCTCTGTTTTTCCTGAGAGTTGTCGTTAAATCTTTATCATAGTTTGTACTTCTCAATTTGATTAAATTCAGGTTTGTTTTTGTTTGACAGGGTTCCTCATAGGGAATATTGGCTCCTCCCTTAGGATGTACCTACCTCACAATAGCCTCTCTTTTTGTGATGTTATTAGCTATTGATGATAATTACCTCGATCTGTTAATTCATAAAAGTTTGCAAAAAGTCATACTCTGAGAATTATATTTCTTTTTTATCAGCTGGAATATTTGGTTTGCTTGCCCCCTTGTATAGATTGTATAGGAAAGGAGGGGAATTATTTACCAGTATTCAAAAATAGTGAGCATCTTCAAAAAGCGACGAATGAGAATTGTTAAAATTAGTGTCATTTGATGAGTTTCAGTCCATCGTAGTTATTGTCCTTATTGGAGCCCATATTTTCTGGCCAGTGAGAGCTCATTCAGTTTGGCCTGTAGTCCTCATAATGTGACCCAAGCAGTTTTTGGGAGCCTCCCTGCTTCCTGATGTGTTGAGTAGTCCCAGGCTCCTCTTGTACATTTCGTGCACTAGACCTAGAATCAACTGTTTCTCCGAGGACTTATGGTTTGAGTGGAAAATGGCAGTTGGAGACCATGATCTGGCCTCTAGGAGTGTTATTGCTAACGGGTTGGTCATTGACCGTTGTTTCTAGTGCTTTTCAGTAATCAGAGCTAGAAGATTATATAAGTATACATTTAAAAAGTATACATATATAAAATTATGCATATAATTGTATGCATGAATTATTTTTATGATAATATAGTTATATGAAATTTTTGGGGATAAACATGTGAGTTCATACTGATCATTCCAGTTCAAATTTAGGACTTGAGAATTTTAACTTAACCTCATTGGTCTTAGCTGTTTATATCCTTTTAACTGAGCCAAAAGTCTGAGTTCTCAGTGACACCAATGTGATTACTCATTCGGTTCAGCAATACACTCACTGTAGTCTAAGAGTAACATTGCAAACACTGCCACCATCAATGTGATTCTTGAAACAGTTTAAGATTTTTTTGCAGTTCTTTTGACCTTAGGGGTATATCCCCTTAGGGAACACAAACACAGCTCTTTCTGTATGGCTGTTCTGCCCCCAGCTGGATACATAATCAGATATATTTGTTTAGTTTTACCACCAATTTGTAGGTGTTGTTTTTAAAATCTGTCTATATTTTTATATTTATATGGTACCAAACATCAAGTTTTCAAAAAGGTATATTCAAATAATACATATTTCTGAATTTCCAAAATAGGTAATGTTTTTTAAAAATGTATGGTTTATTCTTCTATTAAAAAATAAGCAGGCCAGCCGGGCGTGGTGGCTCACGCCTGTAATCCTAGCACTATGGGAGGCCGAGGCGGGTGGATCACCTGAGGTCAGGAATTCGAGACCAGCCTGGACAACATGGTGAAACCCCATCTCTACTAAAAATACAGAATTAGCCTGGCATGGTGGTACATGCCTGTAATCCCAGCTACGCTGGAGGCTGAGGCAGGAGAATCGCTTAGAACCTGGGAGGCAGAGGTTGCAGTGAGCTGAGATTGCGCCACTGTACTCCACCCAGTCACAGTGGCTCACAGCTGTAATCCTGCACTTTGGGAGACCGAGGCGAGTGGATCGCTGAAGCCAGGAGTTCAAGACCAGCCTGGGCAGCATGGCAAAACCCATCTCTACAAAAAAATACAAAAGTGTGAAAATTAGCCAGGTGTGGTGGCACGCACCTATAATTGCAGCTACTTCGGAGGCTGAGGTGGGAGGATCAGTTGATCCCGGGAGGTTGAGGCTGCAGTGAGCCATGATGGTGCCACTGTACTCCAGCCTGGGTGACAGAGCGAGGCCTGTTATACTAACATCCTTTCTTAGACAAATGGAAACATACCAGATACATTGTATTTTACCTTTTTTTTTTTTTTTTTTTTTTTTTTTTTTTAGTTTTTAGCTTAATATATTCTGGAAACCTCTTCAACCTGTAACATAACATGGAGCTCTCATTTTTTTTCACAGCAGACTGGTGCTCCCTTATGTGCATGAAGCAATTTATCTAACCAGTGCCTTGCGGAGACTTTGGGTGTTTTCACTTTTGCTTTTGCCATAGTACCGCAATGAACAGCCTTGTGTGTATTTCTTCTCAGGCCTTCACTGGTATATAATTGGGATAGAGTAATGAAAGAGATTGCTAGAGGACAGGAAGTGGATTTGTGATTTTTTTGCATAATTGCCTAGTTCCTGTCTCTAGAGGTTGCACCATTTTGCCTCTCATCAGCCATGCATGAGAAGCCTGTTTCCCTCAGCTTGGCCAACAGAGTATGTCATTGAGATTTTGGATTTTTGCCAATCTGATAGGTGAGAAATGGTATCTCAGTGTAGTTTTAATTTGCATTTCATGATGAATGAGTCAAACTGCTTTTTGAACAAACTCAGTGATTTTCCTTATTTACCGCCATTCTCAGCGTAGCTGAACAGACTCAGTGATTTTCCTTATTCACCACCATTCTCAGCGTAGTTGAACAGACTCAGTGATTTTCCCTTATTTACCACCATTCTCAGCCTAGCTGGTGCTACCCACTTCTGTCCCTGGGCCTGGGGACAGTTGGATGTGTTTTTCCTTGTGGGATTGCTCCCCCAGCTTAGGGTTTGGCTTTCCTTGAGTATGCAGAGACAGAGACTGCTCTGTCTGATTTCCCCTTTTATAATATGCGTGCTAGTATCTGTTCTCCCACTTTGTTCTTACAGGTCTATGCCTTTTTAAAAAAGCATTTCGTGTCTTACTGGGTTTTGCGGGTAGCAGAGGTAAATGCTTATGTTCGATCTACCCATCTTTAGTAAGAATCCAAAAGGAACTTCTGTGCTGAAAGCCACCACAAACGTCAGCTATTTTCATGATTAAGGGGGAGAAAACCCACTTCCAGGTCCTCCACAGCACAGTTCAGAACTTGGAGTAACAGTTGTGGTGGGCACTGCTGTTTGAAAGGGGCACTGCTTTTAGTTTTTTCCTCTGCTTCAAGTTGTGAATCAATTTCACTTGAATCAATTGTGGCAGTCAACACAAATCAATTCCAGGGCACGTGGCTTCAGCATGAGCGAAGTTCCTGGTTTGTGTGGATTCTTCTACTTGGGACTGGGATGAGTACATTTTGGGGGTGCTCCAGGGTGTTTTTTGTGCTGGGAGACATCAACTTCATGTTGCCTGGGACTTTCCCAGGCAGTAGCCTCCCACGCAGACCCCCACAGCCCAGTGTGTTGTCACATCCCAGGTGAGCCTCATCCTGTGGGAGTCACTGCAGCGTTGCCCTTTCTTTGAGTCAGAAAAGTAGCATGAAGAAGTTTTAAAATCTCACCATATCCATTTTTCTTTATTTTCCTTGTTGAGATGTGTGTTTTGTAGAGATAAGTTACCTTAATCATAACGACAATATTTTAACTTAGCCTCATTGATCTTATGTGTGTATATCCTTTCGAGATTATGTAACATGGCGTAGTGATATTTTTATGCTACCTTATCTGATATTATCACATGTACCCTTCACTTTTTTTGATTTGGTAACATCTCAGTAATGTATTCCGCCCAAGTTTTTTTCCCTGAAGAGAGCATTTTTCCTTAGGGAAACTAACCTTCAAGAACGGATTTAGCTAATTCCATAGTGTCCCACATGGTGATGAAGCTTAAAGTGTTTAAGTATAGTCAGTGTATTCTATACGGGTGTATCATGGGATTTATTTCCAAATGAAAAGTATTCTCACGTACTCTGATTTTAAGGGGCTTATGTCTGTGTATGCTGTAGAAGATGCTTAGTAAATGAGTGGGTTGTCAGGAAAGCCCCAAGTTCGGTCTTTCTCTTGGAACCTTTTAGCTGATAATCAGCATCCTTAATTCAGTTCTGTGCTCTGCTGTTGTTAGGAATAGGTGTGGTTTTGCTGCCGCTTTTGAAATGAGATTGGCCTACTATGACAGAAAGCCTGGGGTCCTCGACAGAACCTTGTCAGCACGTGTGGGGTTATTTAACTGACATCTCTAGCTTTTGGAAGTTGAATATGGAAGTGGCTGGTATACCCCTCCTCCCCCCTGTACCTTTGAGAACTCCAAAGTCTTGAAGACAGCGATGCAGATGCCTAGGTGGCAGCCACTGTCATCACGTTCGGGAGGAAACAGTGTCTGTGGTGAGCGTCAGCAGGTGCATCCTGGGAAAGGGCTGAGTCGTGGCAGCAATGCTCCATTCTCACAGCCAGGTCCCTTACCAGGGCCGTGCAAAGAAGCTGTGAGTAAAATAACTTTTTTGGATAGAATTGGAATTGGTTTTCCCTGGAAATATTTTTTATACACATTTTTTAGTACACATTTTTTATAGAAAGAGAAAAGAGGTACCTCTGACTTACATTTAACAGCTTCTTGCATGTCAGGAGCCCTTTAACTTATTAAAAGCCTCCTTGGATCTGCTTTAAATTACTGCTGATGAAGCGCCGACTGTGTTTTCATGTGATGAAGTCAGCAAGGATGTCCATGTTGGTGCAGAGGGTTGCTTCCTATTGAATAAGGAAAGTGAAAAATCTCAATGTAGCCCCCTAAGGCCATAACCCAGCCTTTCTGTCTCCTCAACTTGAGGCTGAAGAACACTGACATCCTATTGAGCTACAGTGTTAACAAATTTATCTTTGGTGCATGGGAGGGAAAACAGCAACTCAACTTTTGCTCCTGCCTTCCAGGCCCTGGAATAAGATTACTTTTCCCACCCCACCCCAATCTTTCTGAAAACTAGCTGTTGGAAGTATCTCAGTGCAAACAGGGGACATGTGTGTCCATGCACGTGTTCATCTGTGGGTCGCAGCAAAGGGGGTACACTTGCTGTTTCTGTTACAGCTGTCAGGCTAATGCTGGGCATGCTTCCTAACTTCCCTGTGGGTTTCTTATTCTGTAAAGGGAATGGATTGAACACGTATGAATCTAAGAAAAATCAGAATTCAGTATTCGTGAAGCAGTGATTTCCAAAAGTTGTGGTCTCATACCCTGTATTAGGGTTCTGCAGAGAAACCAGTAGGAAGGGTGTGTGTGTGTGTGTGTGTGTGTGTGTGTGTGAGATACTTGTATTAGGGTTCTGCAGAGAAACCAGAAGGCAAGGTTGTGTGTGAGTGTGTGTGTATAAAGTGAACTGGGCTGGGTGTGGTGGCTCACGCCTGTAATCCCAACACTTTGGGAGGCCGAGGTGGATGGATCACCTGAGGTCAGGAGTTCGAAACCAGCCTGGCCAACATGGTGAAACCCCGTCTCTACTAAAAATACAAAAAATTAGCCAGGCGTGGTGGTGCGCGCCTGTAATCCCAGCTACTCTGGAGATTGAGGCAGGAGAATTGCTTGAATTCAGGAGGTGGAGGTTGCGGTGAGCCGAGTTGCACCACTGCACTCTAGCTTGGGCAACAAAAGTGAAAATCCATCTCAAACAAAACAAAACAAAATAAAACAAAACAAAAAGAGGAGCAGTTATGAAGGCTGAATCCTATGGTCTTCTTTCTACAAATTACAGACCCAGGGAAAGTTGCTGGTGTAGATTTCACTCTGAGCCTGAAGGCTTGAAACCAGAGGCAACCAATAGCAGAAGACGACCGATGTCCCAGGTCAGCAGTCAGGCAGAGAGGTAGAATTGAACCTTCTGCTGCCTTTTTTTCTATTCGGGCCTTCAAGAATTGGATGAGAGGCACGAATATTGGGCAGGACATCTGCTTTTCTGAGTCTCCCAGTTCAAATGCTGATCCCTTACAGAAATTACCACAAAGACACAAACCACTCGCTCACACTTGCCCCTAAGACACACTCCCCACTAAAAACACTCCCCCTTTACACACATTGTCCCCTCACAGACACTCCCGTCACACATTAACCTCTCACACCCCCCCACTTACTGACAGTCCCCCCTCACTCCCTCCCCAACACTCCCTCCTCACACACACTCCCCCTCACACACACTCCCCCTCACACATACTACCTCCTCACACTGCCTCACACACACTCCCCCCACAAACACTCCCTCCTCACACACACTCCCCCTCACACTCCCCTCACACACACACCCTCACCCACACTCCCTCACACTCTGCCTCACACACACTCCCCCTCACAAACACTCCCTCCTCACCCACTATACTCACATACTTCCGCCTGAACACATCCTCACATTTCCCCTCACACACGCTCCCACTCACACACACTCCCCCCTTATACACGCTCCCACTCACACTCCCCCTCATACACACTCCCCCCCACGCACACTCCCCCTCATGCACACTCCCCCTCATACAAACTCCCGCTCACACACACTCCTCCTCACACATACTCTGTCCTCACACTTCCTCCTCACAAACACTCCCCCCTCACATGCGCTTCCTCCTAATACACATTCCCCCCCCACACTCCCTCCTCAGAAACACTCCCCCCACACACTTCCTCCTCACACACAGTCCTCCTTCACACACACTCTCTCCTCAAACTCCCTCCTCACACATTCCCCCTCACAGACACCCCCCCCCACACACACACACGCACTCCCCACTCACAGACACATGCCTCTCACAGAGACATTTCCCCACGCTCAGACACATGCCTGTCACAAACACTCCCAGAATCATGTTTGATCTGAGTACCCTGTGGACCGGTCATATTCACAAAAAAGTAACCATTGCACACCCCTTTGTAGTCTAGAAGCATTGAAAACCCCAAAGAGTTTGTTTCTGTGGTTTGCATCAATCAATATTTAATGTATTAGAAATTAAAGCTGAGATATTTAAAACATTTATTAAAAAACAATAAATCTATTACCTGCTAATATTATTTTTTGTTTATGGACAGGGTCTTGTTGTGTGGCTTAGCCTGGAGTGCCTGGTGCCTCACCCTCCTGAGTATCCGGAACTATAGATGTGAGCCACCATCCCCAGCCCTTGCTAACATTCTTTATGAATATGTGTTATTTTTCAAAACTGTATTTTCCCAAACAAAAGTAGCTAGTGAGCAGGGTGGTATTGTCTTACATATTTTCAAATTTCAGCTTAATTCTCACATCTGTTTCTACATTCACTCTATTGTGATTTATTGTTTTGGTTGAAGTTTATGAAGAAAATCCCGCCTCACACAGATGTATATTTGGAGAGTGCAGAAGTATTTATTAGCCTTTTAGATAATTGTGGATATTCTTCTTTGATGCTACATTATGTGTTGGCACTGGGGATTCCTTAAAGTTAGTTCAGTGTGGAATGTGAAACCATCAATAAAATTGCCACCGTCTGTGCCCCTAAGATCTGTCGGTGGACCTGCACTTCACATAGATATTTTACTGTTTGTGGTTCTGTAACTGTTCATTGGGGAAGTATTGGTTGCCTGAGTTATGCAGCTCTCCCAAATGTTGACACATTTTGTTATAAAATTTTTTAAAATTACATTTGTTAATATCACCACTGATCTCAGAAAAGTCTTTAAGTTTTGGAAATCTATCAAGCTCACATCATCAATACATGTTTTCCAAAATTCCAATTTTTGCTGGAAAGCTCAGTGTTATCATTAGCAACAGATACTGTCACTTGTTCTTGAACTGAAGGAGTTGTTTTTTGTTTGTTTGTTTTGAGACAGAGTCTTGCTGTGTCGCACAGGCTGGAGTGCAGTGGTGCGATCACGGCTGCTTACTGCGGCCTGGACCTCCTGGGCTCAAGCGATCCTCCCGCCTCAACCTCCAGAGTAGCTGGGACTACAGGCACGTGCCACCACACCTGGCTAATGTTTGTATTTTTTTTAGAGATGGGTTTTTGCCATGTTGCCCAGGCTGGTCTTGAACTCCTGGGCTCAAGTGATCTGCCCACTTTGGCTTCCCAAAGTAGTGGGATTACAGGTGTGAGCCACTGTGCCCAGACCTGATTTTTTTTAAGTGCCAAATGCCACCTATGAATAGCTGCAGATCACCTTCCAGCACCCTTACAGGGAACATGGCAGCCCATGAAAAGTGGTGGGTTCAGCCACAACGCACATCATCCAGATTATGGTAGGAATCTTCTTGGGACAAATTCCTTCCTTCAGTTACAGCAGAGGAATTTCGTACGTCCTTCCTTGATAACCAAAAAGACGTGCACTCAGGGTCAAGCTTTAGTAAGTTGATAATTTTATTTCCTCATCAAAGATATGCTTAAGCCAAACTGACCTTGTGTTTTCTGTGGCAAGGGCCATGGGGAACAGGATGCCCGTAGGTGCGGTTGCTGTTGCTCCCAGCTCCCACCCTGCTAGGTCCCTCCATTGCCACAAATGCAACCCAGTAAAGAGCAGACAATGCATTACAATAATTGTGAAGGCAGTTTCTACTTTGCGAACCCCTGAAGGTGTTGTGGAGACACCCAGGGGTCCGCGAACCACTTTTGGAAGACCATGGATGATTCTTCCCATCCCAGGAACTCATCTGCAGGTGGAAGGGTGGAGGGTGAGGGTCGGCATCTGGAAGATCCTACGCCTCTGTGAGCCAGCACTTTCCCCATGAGCAGTGGGAGGTTTGCTGAAAGTGTTGAGCGTCTGGGGCAGGTGCATCAAGGCTGGGCATCTCGTGCCTGCCGCACCATCTAGGAGGGACGAAGCCACTGGCACTTTCCTCCCGCTGGCCTGGGCTGATCAGCAGTACTTCAGCTTGGCGTTCATCTCCGGGTGGAGCTGGAGGCCACTGGCGCTAGCGGGCTGCCCTGGTCCACTTTCCTCCCACCTGGCTTCTGAGTGGGAAGCCAGCACTGGGTGTCTTGGGCCCACGTGTCCTCAGTCAGTCTCCTTCTACGTCTCTGCTGCCTCTCCCCTTTCCTGCTCCATCCTCCATCACCTTACCTTCCTGACGTGCTCTGTGGACCAGAACCTTGATTGCTGACTCTCAGAACTTCATGGATGCCAACCCACCTGGGGCCTGGGAACCCAAGGGGGCTCTTCATGGGGGTTCATAGGAGAGAAGCCTCTGACTACACAATGCTGCCTCTGAGGCCAGCCCTGCCTCACAAAAGGGACGTTCTGCAGCAGAGACAGAGTCTTTGGTCTCACTGCCTGGGGCTGGCTTGCATTCGCTGCTCAGGACTAATGAGAAACCTGTCCATGGCACTTAGGTGCTCAGCACCTTTCTCACCAGCGGGATCCCACAACAGTCCACAAAGTCAATGCCGGCCCACAGGCCACCTGGCTGAGCTCAGAGCCGCCACCTGGCCCAAACCAGCCAGGTGTGTGGTTCCTGTCTTTGGAGGAAGGTCATTGTTTTGAAAATCATGATTTTAAAATTAAATGTGATATTTTCTTCAGGAAAGCCTAGAGGAAGCCTTGTGTTTGCAGGCTGCAGAGGCCATTAACAGGCACCTCCTGGGATCGTTGAGATGTCTACACAAACGTCATGGGTGAAAGATGGCAACACAGTGATGGCCTTTATTCTGTGTCTGGAAACTCCAGCCAGGAAAAGGTTCAGAGTGCTAGGAGGCTTCAGGCTGGAGAGAGCGCTATGCAATGTTGCCTCACTAATTATCTGGGTTTATAGCACATTCTGGCCTTAAAGGAGGAGGAGGCAGCATTTTCAAAGGCTCAGAAAGACTCCCTGTCCCACAATTGCTCTCTTGCCAATGCCTGAAATTCTTTGTTAGCAACGTATTGCTCCAATCTAAGCATGGCTGTCTCTCCTAGGTCTCCTTTTACAAGTGCAGTGATTCTGAGAAAACACTGAGTGGCTGGAGCTTCTGCTGAACGGTTTAATCAGCTCCCCATTATTTCTGCACTAGGAGGAACCTGGGTCCCAGCTGGTACTTGGGGTACAGCTGGCCAGGTAGGGTGAGTGGGGGTCCCCTGCCCTCTGAGGGGCAGACAGTGTGGGCTCCAGATGATGGGCTTATGTTCCAAGAGAAGACAGAAGCCTTAAGTTTTGTTTGAAATCCTCTGAATTTTATATGTTGGTAACTGATTCTTTTTTTTTTTCTTTTTAAAATTATTTGTTTATTTATTAGAGACAGGGCTTTGCTCTGTCACCCAGGCTGGGGTGCAGTGGCACCATCATAGCTCACTGTAACCTCAAACTCCTGGGCTCAAGCTGTCCTCTCACCTCAGTCCCCAGAGTAGCTAGTACTACAGGCATGTGCTACCATGCTTGGCTAATTTTCTTATCTTTTGTAGAGATAACGGTCTTGCTGTATTGCCCAGCCTGGTCTTGAACTCCTGGCTTCAAGTGATTCTTCCACCTCAGCCTCCCAAAGTGCAAGGATTACAGGCGTGAGCCACTGTGACCAGCCAGAAGTCACTTCTAAGATCAACTTACAAAATACTGTGACTTCCATCTCCCTGACATTCTTTTTTTTTTTTAAAAATTATTATTATACTTTAAGTTTTAGGGTACATGTGCACAATGTGCAGATTAGTTACATATGTATACATGTGCCATGCTGGTGTGTTGCACCCATTAACTCATCATTTAGCATTAGGTATATCTCCTAATGCTATTCCCTCCCCCCTCCCCACACCCCACAACAGTCCCTAGAGTGTGATGTTCCCCTTCCTGTGTCCATGTGTTCTCATTGTTCAGTTCCCGTCTATGAGTGAGAACATGCGGTGTTTGGTTTTTCGTCCTTGCGATAGTTTACTGAGAATGATGATTTCCAATTTCATCCATGTCCCTACAAAGGACATGAACTCATCGTTTTTTATGGCTGCATAGTATTCCATGGTGTATATGTGCCACATTTTCTTAATCTAGTCTATCATTGTTGGACATTTGGGTTGGTTCCAAGTCTTTGCTATTGTGAATAGTGCCACAGTAAACATATGTGTGCATGTGTCTTTATAGCAGCATGATTTATAATCCTTTGGGTATATACCCAGTAATGGGATGGCTGGGTCAAATGGTATTTCTAGTTCTAGATCCCTGAGGAATCGCCACACTGACTTCCACAATGGTTGAACTAGTTTACAGTCCCACCAACAGTATAAAAGTGTTCCTATTTCTCCACATCCTCTCCAGCACCTGTTGTTTCCTGACTTTTTAATGATTGCCATTCTAACTGGTGTGAGATGGTATCTCATTGTGGTTTTGATTTGCATTTCTCTGATGGCCAGTGATGATGAGCATTTTTTCATATGTCTTTTGGCTGCATAAGTGTCTAACTGATTCTTAAAAACTCAAAATTCCAAACTCCCTGCCAGTCCCGATGAGAACTTCCTGGACTGCAGGAAATGCAGGAAGAGCTTTCTGAGAGAGCAGCACCAGGGAAGGCACCCGACTCACAGCTTGGAGCACTGTGACATGCTGCCACACATCACCACATGCCGCCACACACCACCACACGCCGCCACACACTGGAACCCGAAACACAGACCCTTTGCGGGTGCAGCCCAGGCTGGTAGATAAGGAGGGCTTGTGTGAAAGAGTGTTTTCCTCCTGCTGAAGGACGAGGGGCCGGCCAGGGGAAGAGAGTTCCAGAAGCAGGGACAGCCTGTGGGGCCCTTGGCAACTGAAAGCCTGTCCTGCCGGATGGTGTCTCAGAAGCACGTCTTAGTGCGGAGCATGGGGAGGCTCTGGCCAGGCTGAGCTCTTCATCCACGGAAGATGAAGCCTGCATGGCTCAGGCAGAGGCGAGAGGTCCCCTGGGCTCCTCTGGGTGGGCTGCAAGCCTGGGCCAGACCCCTGGCTGGGCCTTGGAGATTTTCAGGGTGAGCTGGGCTCTGAGCTGCAGGACAGCATCTGCCACACGGGAACTGGGGTGGGGCGGGGATGGAGCAGGTGGGTGTGGGGCAGAGGAGGAGGCAGAGACCTGCCCAAAGAGGGGCAGACCTGGGGGTGCTGAGGCGGTGCCCCTTAGCCACCAGGAGGAGGCTGGGCAGGTGTCATTGGGCAGTGGGCCCCTGAGGGTGGGAGAGGCGCGCTGCGATTTCGATGCTGAGAGAGGAAGTTGAGGAGAGGGCAGCCTGACCAGGCGTCCTGTTTGGTTTGAGTCCTGACAGTAAGCCGGAGTGTCATAGCCTGAGACAAAGCTGCAGTCTGCACCATGACTCTGCTGAGAAAAGGAATAGTTTCTAGTGCTTTCTCTTAATTGGGATAGAAAAAGCAATTTGTTAGATTCTTAGGTACAAGCCTCAAACCAGGGATTGTACTGTGTTAATTTGTCCAGTAAGAATCCCAGACTGGAGGAAAGTGGCCCTCGTATCCACCACCTGCTCCCGCTGTGCCAGACGAGTCATTCTTGAAGATACACTGGGGCCAGGCCGGTGACGGGAATCCCCACTGGCAGCGTTCAGTCATTGTGGTGTGCAAATTTCTGAAATACCAGAAAAATTGACGTCACTTGAATAGAAATTTACACTACAAAATACACTGATATTAAGCACAGTTTGATGAGTTTGAACAGTGTGTTCAACCACATGACCTGTGCTCCAGTCAAGCTGGGGAACGTTTCTGCCACGCCAGGAAGCACTCGCCTGCCCTTTCCCACGCGACGCACAGTATTCAGGTTTCTGTCTCCATGAGGTGGCTCTGTCTGTTCTCGGGCTTCGTGAGGGAAGCGCACAGTAGGCACTCGTGTCTGCTTCCCTCACCCAGCACACTACTGTTAAGATTCACCCATTTGTTGCACGCATTAGTAATTTGTTTCTTTTCATTATAGAGCAATATTCCATTTTTAAAATATACCACAGATTGCTTATCCATGGTCTTGCTTTTGATTTAATATTTAAGTAAGGAGGGAGAGCTCTAAGACGTCACTTTGCTCTTCATGCCTGAATAGGTGTTCTTCCTATTGGGGAACTGAGAGGTAGTTCTGCACAGTATTGAGGGTTAATATTCCAACCACACACCTGGGTGCCTGAGAAATAATGTAGCATAGGCTTGGAGGCCCACTGTGACTGGAGGACATTGCGGTGTCCTGCCTCGCAGGGGCTAGAATTAGTCTGGTCTTTGTCCTAGATTTCCTGACACCCTTCACGCCAGCCTTCCCAGGCCCAGGCTCTCTGGCAAATGGCCACAGACCCTTTGGGAAAGGGAAGGGAGTTAAAAGAGCGCGTGCTGGTGAAATGATCTGTATCCTTCCTGAAGCCCCAGGCTCTGTGTGTTGGGTGATTCCTTAGGAAATGGGTGAGAAGCTGTAACTTCATTGTTAGGCCTAAGTGAGACCTCACTTGCTAGGCCTGGAGTTGCTCTGGTTATATTGACCAGGTAAGCATGTGGTAGACTGCCTGGCTGTTTAGGTTCTCGGCCCTGGGGCTGGTGAGTAACCCCTGGAGACTCCTGTGGGTCCTCTTAGTTGTCAGCTGGCAGTGCCCTCGTTGCTTCAGTGGTTAGCGGTGATGCCTGGTCTCTGTGCTCCGGGTGGAGACTCCCATAGTTCCTCTTGGTTGTCAGCTGGCAGTGCCCTCGTTGCTTTAGTGGTTAGCGGTGATGCCTGGTCTCTGTGCTCCAGGTGGAGACTCCCATAGTTCCTCTTGGTTGTCAGCTGGCAGTGCCCTCTTTGCTTTAGTGGTTAGCGATGATGCCTGGTCTCTGCGCTCCGGGGTCTTTCTGTCCTTGTTGAATCAGGCACTGTTTCTTCAGTGTTCGCAGCACCTGCTGCCCATGGGGAGTGAGCACTGGGGTACCTGTTGGGGATGGCTATCTCCTCACTGCTTTATTTCCCAAAGTTTTATAGTGGGAGCGTCTTCTGGGTGCCCATGACACATTACCCTGAATGCCAGGTTTCCCACTGCCATCCCAGTGAGGCCCAGACCTCGTGGGCTAAGAGAGACCTGCCGCCTGAGTCCTGGCAGACTCCTGGCCTAGGGCTTTGTGGGTGTCATCCAAGGGTGGATTTGGGAGAGGTTAGTCAAACACCAGTAAATAATGCCTTTAAGTGAATGTGATTTCCTCCGTCTTACACATTTGGCATTAGGAACATGCCTCAGAATATGGTAGCTGCTGTAAATATGATGTTTTCAATGCAGAAGACAGATCTGCAGGAGCCAGGCTGTCTGGGCAACCTTGCTGGCTCTCCCACTCAGTAGAGATGTGACTATGGGCCGGTTTGTGAAGTGGAGATAATAATGGAACATCCTCCTTGGGTTGCTGCGAATAGTAAGTGAATTAATGCTTGAGTAAACCTTTCAGAACAGTGTCTGCACAGAGGGGTAGAGTAGAGATAATCAGCTCCAATTCTCACTTTGTGGTTTTTCATACTGCATTTTCATTAGTGATTCCTGGGGTGCACGAAAGCCACCACTTTTTGCATGTGTGTTTTGTATTTGAACTTTTATGGGATGTGTGTACCAAGTTGAGGACCATATTGTCGTCAAATATGAATATTGGGGGCCTGCTACCAACCGATGGATCGGGAAGCATTCCGGTGTTTCAGCAACTGAAGTGTCCATGTGTCCGCATGCTGGCTAAGGTTGTTTCTTGTAGATACTGTTTTTCAGGTATCTGAAGAGTTTCTGTTGGAAAGCTAGCTAAATATCCTTCAATAATGGAGTATATCATTTAAACACAGCCTGTCTGTACTAGGGAATATTATGTAACCTTTACCTGAAATGAGGCAAACATATCTATACTGATAACAAAAATATCTCTAAGTCATATGCAAAGTAAAATTTTTTAAAAAGCAAGTCAAAACAGTACAAAGAGTATGATGTCATTTATTTTAAAAATGACATTTGAGCATAAGCAACGTGTTTGGGTAAAACTGCTGATGGTTCTTACTTCTGGGAGAGGACTGGGAAGTGGGGGTGCAAGTAAAGGAACTCTCACATTTTCCTCTGTGTGTTTCTGTACAGACTGAACATTTTCCAAATGGGAATGCAGTAGTATTATTTGTATAATAAAGAAGAATTGAGCATTTAATTCAAGAAGCAAGAAATAGAAAACTAAAAAGGGAACAAATGAGTAAATATGTGAGGATACATTTATGAATTTAAAAAACTCCCAAAGATATGATTAAATAAATGAGTAAAACAACTAGAAAACTTCTAGAAAGTCTGGCAGAGAAAAGAAAAAGAACACAAGTAATTAACATCTGACAGGAGGGAGGGAATGTGTTCCAATACAGAGGAGAGGCAACACGAGAGAATCGCCGGGAAGAATCAGAGGGGGTTTGCGCTACCCAGCATTGAAGGGTGTATTAAAAAGCTACAGTATGGAAGTGGTTAGGAATAGGCAAATAGGCCAACGGAAGAGAACGAGAAGCACAGAGCACACACACTTACGTGGGTTATTTGTGTATAATGAAGTCATCCCAAATAAATGGGGAATGACAGATTTTCACTAAGAAAAGTTAGTTCTCTACCTTATATAATGCATAAAAGAAATATTCCAGATGGAATACAAATCCACATGTAAAACTAAAACCATTCAAATATCAAAAGATAATGATTTGACAGGTAAAGAGCTTGGAAGTTATCACTGCTGTCCCCACAACAAGAAAAAAGCTCAGCAAATGGAAAATCAACAACTCTTCTCAGATCCATCAGAGAAATGAGGTCATGGGGCAAACTGCTATCCTGAAAACTGGAGAGACAGGTGAATGCAGAGAATCAGAACTTACCTGAGAAGCCAGGAACAGAAGCTGCTGCTGGAGCCAGTACTGTCAGGACACTCACAGGCCAACTGACAAATGTAATTAGCACAGAAATGAGAAGCCAGGCATGGTGTGCACCTGTAGTCCCAGCTACTTGCGGGGCAGGGGCAGAAGGATCTCTTGAGCCCAGGAGTCTGAGGCTGCAGTTACTATTTTCAATTACTAAAGCAGTTTTTTAAAAGTATAATCCCCACTTCTGGAAAATGATGGTGTAATTGGTATACATTGTTTTAGGGCAGCATTAAACTGGTTTACATTAGTACATGATGACACTGAAATACATATTGATACATATCCATTGTCATAAAAATGTTCACACCTATTAACTAAAGAATCTCAGTTTAGAGTATTTTGTCTAAAGAAGATAAACATGTTTTAATGTTGCAATCGCCTGACTGTAATTTCAGGGTTTGGGGTTCTGGGAGCATTGGGATGGCTTGAAGCCAGGCTGAAGTTCACATGGGGCAGCTTTGCAGGGACTGTTCCACCCCTGCCCACGAGAGCTCCACACTCCAACTCCTTCGTTCCCCATACGCAGTCTCTCAGGGTCACCGTCGAGGCCAGGAAACACCACCTTGGACAAAAGTGGCCCTAACATTGACTTCCCTCCCTGGATATTTCATCTTATCTGAGTCTTAGGGTGATCTTTAAATATCTTGTAAGCTTTTAAAACTTTTAGGATGATTGCCTTCTCCCCCATATGAATTTTAGTTTACCAAGTTCTAGAAAATCCCATGCAATTTTGATTGAGATTACATTAAAGTTATAACTAATGAGGGGGAGGAGGATGGTTTTTACATTAACTTCCCAGCCATGAGCATGGCATCTCTTTAATTAGTTTTTTAAAAAAGATGTGCTTCGGCTGGGCGCGGTAGCTCACACCTGTAACCCCAGCACTTTGGGAGGCCGAGGTGGGCGGATCACGAGGTCAGGAGATCGAGACCATCCTGGCTAACACGGTGAAACCTCATCTCTACTAAAAATACAAAAAAGTAGCCGGGCATGGTGGTGGGCGCCTGTAGTCCCAGCTACTCGGGAGGCTGAGGCAGGAGAATGAAGTGAACCCAGGAGGCGGAGCTTGCAGTGAGCCGAGATCGCGCCACTGCACTCCAGCCTGGGTGACAGAGTGAGACTCCGTCTCAAAAAAAAAAAAAAAAGATGTGCTTCATGGAAGTTTTCTTTTTTCTCATAAATGTCTTCGTATTCTTTATAATGTTTATTACTAAGCATGTAACAATCAATTTTTTTTGCCATTGTTAATGGAATTTTTTTTTACTCTTGTGTTATCTAACTAGTTATTGCTAGGGAATAGAAAAGTTAATTTTTTTTTTTTTTTTTAGATAGGGTCTCACTCTGTTGCCCAGGCTGGGGTGCAATGGTGTGATCACAGCTCACTGCAGCCTCGACCTCCCTGGCTCAAGCAATCCCCTTGCTTCAGCCTCCCAGGTAGCTGGTAATACAGGCTTGCGCCACCATGCCCGACTAATTTTTGTGCTTTTTTTTTTTTTTTTTGAGACGGAGTCTCTGTCGCTGAGACTGGAGGGCAATGGTGTGATCTCAGCTCACTGCAGCCTCCGCCTCCTGGATTCCAGTGATTCTCCTGCCTCAGCCTCCTGGGTAGCTGAGATTACAGGTGTGCGCCACCACACCTGGCTAATTTTTGTATTTTTTGTAGAAACAGGGTTTCACCAGGTTGGTCAGGCTGGTCTCAAACTCCTGACCTCAGGTGATCCACCTGCCACGGCCTCCCAAAGTGCTAGGATTACAGGTGTGAGCCATTGAGCCCGGCCTAATTTTTATACTTTTTTGGTTTTTTTGAGACGAAGTCTTGCTCTGTCACCCCAGGCCAGAGTGCAGTGGCGTGATCTCAGCTCACTGCAACCTCTGCCTCATGGGTTCAAGTGATTCTCCTGTCTCAGCCTCCCAAGTAGCTGGGACTGCAGGCGCACACCACCATGCCTGGCTAATTTTTGTATTTTTTTTAGTAGAGACGGGGGTTTCACCATATTGGTCAGGCTGGTCTTGAACTCCTGACCTTATGTAATCCACCCGCCTCAGGCTCCCAAAGTGTTGGGATTACAGGCGTGAGCCACTGCACCTGGCCTATACTTCTTATAGAGATGGGTTTTCATCATGTTGCCCAAGCTGGTCTCGAACTCCTGGACTCAAGTGATCCTCCCACCTTGGTCTCACAAAGTGCTAGGATTACAGGCATGAGCCACTGCGCCCAGCCTAGAAAAGTTAAAAATCTATGTTGATCTTGTATTCAGAAAAATTAGTGTTTTTTTTGAGACAGGGTCTTGCTCTGTCATCCAGTGCAGTGGTGTGATCTCAGCCCACTGCAGCCTTGGCTTCCTGGACTCAAGTGATCCTCCTGCCTTAGCCTCCCAGGTGGCTGGGACTATAGGTGCGTGTCACCACACCCGGCTAATTTTTGTATTTTTTGGTCAGGGTTTTGCCACGTTGCCCAGGCTGGTTCAAACTCATGGACTCACACGGTCCACCCACCTCGGCCTCCCAAAGTGCTGGGATTACAAGCGTGAGCCACTGTGCCTGGCTTATGTTTAAATATATTTTTAAAATTAGAGAAAATAGTACAACCAATCTCATTGATCTTCACCTTTTGTTGTTTTTGTTGCTAGAATATTATTTTATAGCAAATCCCAGACTTTACCTAATTTGACCCACAAATACCTTAGTTTGTGTCTCTAACAGACTGTTTTAAAAAATAAAACATTTTGGCTGGGCGCGGTAGCTCATGCCTGTAATCCTAGCACTTTGGGAGGCCGAGGCGGGCGGATCATGAGGTCAGGAGGTAGAGACCATCCTGGCTAACATGGTGAAACCCCGTCTCTACTAAAAATACGAAAAAATTAGCAGGGCTTGGTGGCGGGCGCCTGTAGTCCCAGCTACTTGGGAGACTGAGGCAGGAGAATGGAGTGAACCCGGGAGGCGGAGCTTGCAGTGAGCCGAGATTGTGCCACCGCACTCCAGCCTGGGTGACGGAGCAAGACTCCATCTCAAAAAAATAAAATAAAACATTTCAACTTAGCAAAAGGTGAAAAATTATCACATAACAAATTTCTGTTAAATGCTATATCAAATATAAATAATAGGCCAGTGTGGTGGCGCGTTTCTATAATCCCAGCACTTTGGGAGGCCAAGACAGGCAGATTGCTAGAGCTCAGAAGTTACCAGCCTGGGCAGCATGGTGAAACCCCATCTCTACAAAAAAAATACAAAAATTAGCTGGGTGTGGTAGCACATGCCTGTAGTGCCAGCTACTTGGGAGGCTGGCACATCAGGCCATGTTCCGGCCACAGGTTGTTGCCTCCAACCCGCTGAGAGCAGAGCTGGCTGGAGAGCTGACGGGAAGCTCCACGGTGTTTGCCCCTGGTCTGGGGAAGAGCCTGCTTCCAGGCAGGCCAGATGTTCTCCTCCTCAGGCTTAGTGGCTTGTGGGTATAGCAGGCATGGAGTGAACTGGGCAGTGGCCAGCCTCCTGGGGAGGCACAGATGTTGGTGTGAATGGCCAGGAGTGGGGGCAACTCCCAAGACTCTGGCTTGGTTTTTCTATTGCTTTGCCAGGAGACCTGTGAGTACTGTCTAGAACATTCTGAGAAAGTCCCATAGAATAAGATGTCTTCCAGCAGATTCATTAACCAGTGTGCCGGGAGAGTATGACTTTTGCTAAGTTGCAATGCTGGTGAGGTGAGATTATCACAGGTTGCTTCTCCCTCCCTCTGCCTTAGTAAAAGAAGCAACAAAATGCCTCAGATGCCAGACACCTCTGCACCCACACCCTGAATAATAGCCAGTCACCTCCCCGCTGAGTGGGCTGGCTGCCCTCCCAGCTAGGGTTAGGAGGCCTCAGAAGTGCTGGCTTCAGGCTAATAGAATCCACAAATGGAGAATTCGGTGAATTGGGATGGCAAGAATGGGACCTTGAACTCTGGAGTGAGACCGAGTGGATTTGAACCCTGAACCCAGCACTTACTGGCTGTGGGGGTCTTGGGAAGATGATTTAGACCTCAGCCTTGGTCTCCTCATGTGTGGAATGTGAATGAGAATGGCGCCTAACTATTGTCATAATCACTGGCACCTAGTCAGTGCTTTATGGAATTAGATATTTTTCTTATGACCAATGGCTGGACTGTTTATTAATAACAGTAAGACTGAGGCCTGCCGACTTACATAGGTCACCAAGTCTCTCAATGCAGGTGACTGAAAGGGTCTGGCAGCTGGGCCCACAAAAGACTTTATTGGAAGGTAGGGAGCCCCCAGAGTCAGGAAAAGATGCAGATGCAGACCTGAGCATGGGACTCAGGCCTCGGCACTCATTGGCAGTGACGCGGTTTGTATCTGTGTCCCCACTCAAATCTCATGTTGAATTACAATCCCCACTGTTGGAGGTGGGACCTGGTGGGAAGTGACTGGATCGTGCAGGTGGTTTATCATGGTTTAACACCATCCCCCTTGGTGTGGTCTTGGCAGCAGTGAGTTCTTGTGAGATCTGGTTGTTTTAAAGTGTGTGGCACCTCCCCGTCTCTCTTTTCCTCCTGCTCCAGCCACGTAAGACGTGCCTGCTCCCCCTTCATCTCCCACCATGATTATAAGTTTCCCGAGGCCTCCCCAGAAGCACAGGCCACCTTGCTTCCTGTATAGCCTGAGGAACTGCTGGTCAATTAAACCTCTTTTCTTTGTAGATTACCCAGTCTCGGGTATTTCTTTATAGCAGTGTGAGAACGAACTAATACAGGTAGGCCCGGGTGCTGCTGCAGGCCTGAGGCAGCTCTGGTCATCTCCTCCTGTGTCACTCCATGCATGACTCACATCCTAGGGAGAGAGCATTTGCTGGCCTGCATATGCCATGAGCCTTTACCAGGTGGCCTGTCCTGAGGGAAAAGGGTTCAAGGGCAGAAGTCCCACAGATAAAAATGGCAGTGCTGTTTGCCTAAATGGGAAAGGGGATGTGCAGACAGAAGCATCACCACCACTGACACTTCCATCACCACCAGCTCCACCTCTGTTACAACTTCGCCACCATCACCATAACCACCATCACCACCTCTACCACCACCTCCACCACCACCAGCGTCACCACCACTAACACCTCCACCTCCATCATCACCAGCTCCACCTCCACCACCATGACCACCATTATCACCATCTCTACCACCACTAGCTTCATCACCACTAACACCTCCACTTCCACCTCCACCACCACCACTGTATTAGTCCATTCTCGCACTGCCATAAACCCCTGAGACTGAGTAATTTATAAAGAAAAGAGGTTTAATTGGCTGATGGTTCTGTAGGCTGTACAGGAAACATGGCTGGAGAGGCCTCAGGAAATTTACAATTACGGTGGAAGGTGAAGGGGAAGCAGGCACATCTTACATGGCCAGAGCAGGAGGAAGAGAGAGAGAAGCAGGAGGTGCTACACACTTTTAAACAACCAGATCTTGTGAGAACTCTATCATGAGAACAGCACCAAAGGGGGAAATCTGCCCCCATGATTCAATTACCTCCCACCAGGCCCCACTTCCAACACTGGGGATTTCAATTCCACATAAGATTTGGGTGGGGACACAGATCCAAACCATATCAACCACCACGACCACTTCCATCACCACCAGCTCCACCACTACCACCATGACCATCTGTATCACCACCAGCTTCACCACCATTGCCATCACCATCTTTAACATCATCTCTACAACCACCCTCCAGCACCACCACAGTAACCACTACCATCACCGTATCAATCACCACTTTCTTCAACAACACATCCACTGTCAAAATCACCACCACCTTTCCCATCACCATCAGTACCACCATCAGGATTACTGTCAATATCAATACCACCACCACCAACACAATATCAATATCAGTACCACCACCACAACAGTCACCACCTTCATCAACACACCCACCATGGAAATCACCATCATCTCTACCATCATCACCACCAGCAATACTGCCAATGTCAATACCACCACCATCACAATCACCATCACCACTATTACCATCTCTATCACCACCTTCAGCAGCACCATAATAACCACAACTAACACTGCCAATATCAATACCACCACCACGACCTCCAGCATCACTTTTACTACCACCACCAATACCCTACATAGTCACCATGATTACCACCGTCACCCCAACCACCATTGTTGCCACCCCATCACTGCCACCATGATCACCACCATCCCACCACCAACACTGACACCTTCAACATCAACACCACTGTAACAATCACTCCTACCATCACCTCCACTTCCACCACCACCACTACCGACACCAACACTAACACCACCCAAGATGGACGGTCCAGACTTCCACTCCCCTTTTTGTTGTCTGCTGACTGGCAAAATATTGATAATACAGTAACATGCTAAGGCCAATTCTTCAGACATTTGGGGTCTAGGAGCAATATTTTTAAAACCACCTTTGCAAAGATTATAACTGAGACAATTATTACAGCGAAAGAGATTTGACCTAACTGACTCCATCTTGTTTCTAACCTCCAAGCTGTCCTTGTTCATTCCTGGCCGTAGGCCAGACTAACTCTAGGAGGAACTTAGTTTATGGTTTAGCTTTGAAACAGAGATGATAACAGTCCTTTCCCAAAACAAACCCCCTTCCTGCCTGGGGACTAACAAATTAGCCACAAGATTAGAATTATGATTTAGGAGTCATGCAGCTGGAGGCTGCAAGATTCTAAACCTCCCCACGTTGCTCCTGGGAATAACATCACTGTTGTAAAATCTGGGATCAGTGCTTGAGATATTGCAGACCCTGAATTCTGATGTACCAGCTGACACCTCCCAGACTGGTATTTGTCTCAACCAGTTCTGCGATCCCACCCAGGAACAGAAGACAGCAAGAAAACCCCACTTCAACCCCCTCTGATTCCATCTCCAACCCGACCAATCAACACTCCCCACTTCCCGAGCCTCTACTCACCAAATTATCCTTAAAAACTCTGATCCTCAAGTTTTCAGGGAGACTGATTTGAATAATAAAACTCCAGTCTTCCGCACACAAGCTCTGCGTAAATTACTCTTTCTCTACTGCAATTATGCTGTCTTGGTAATTTGGCAGTGGGCAAGGTGAACCCCTTGGGCTGTTCCATTTGGGGGGGTGCAGCTTCCGATTCCCCACCCTGCAATTGCACCCTGGAGTCAGTGACACTTGGTACTGAACAGAAGTGTCACCCTTTTGAGGCAGGACGTTTCCCGCAGGGAAGAGGTGTCCACAACAGGACAAGACACCAAGGAGTGATGGACCTTCCTGACTCCTCTCCGCTAAGCAGAGGGAAGCTTTGTGGGGCACTCTTCTCTGAAGCGGCAGGGGCAGGAATGACTTGCTCTTGCCCTGTAGATTGGGCTCAGTCAACATCATAAGCAGAAGACTGAGCTACCGTCTCCATGGGCTGACATCCACTTTCCATCACACAGACTGGGATTAGGTGACTCACTGCATTTGCCATTCAACTAGACCTGGGTTGTGTTTAAATGGTGAAAAATGGCCAATTAAAAGTGGCCAATCTGGCAGTTTTGACTGTTCTAATAAGTCATTCAAATTTCATCATGGTTGGCCAGAACCACTATGTCATTTAGCAAGAGCCAAAATGTTTGTCTAGCATGAGTAACTTTGAGTGTATTCATTAGTACATGTTCAGGCACCTTTGTTCTTGAGCATGGAGTGTGTGGAAGTTGCATCTGCACTTGCCCTAAAACCTCACCTGAAGTCCATCCCTCTCATGAAGCCATTCCTGATCAAGCGGAGACTCAGCATCTCCCACAGAGAATGTTAAATGGGAAGATCAGAGCCCCAGCCTTCAACCTGAAGAGGAGAATGCCACGCAGGAGCCGGTCAGTCCTGTCCACGTGATGTGGGCCTTTGGGATTCAAACAAAGCCTGCTGCGCCCCACTGCACCCCAGGGTTCTCATGCCAGCCCTCTCAAGATTGTTTCTTAGAATCAGAGGCCCAGCCACCCCATTTGAAACACTTTCTGGTCCTCGTTAAGGACTGGTCAGCTCTGATGTAACCCAGAGCACTGACTGACACAAAACCATTGGATTGGCCAACAGTTTCACCTTTGTCACCAGTGGGCAACGTTCACGTTCACGATCACGGAGCTGGTGCAGCGTTCATGATCACAGAGCTGGTGCAATGTTCACGATCACGTTGCTGGAGCCGCGTTCATGATCATGGAGCTGGTGCACCGTAGGACTGGAATTTGAGCCCTGACCTTCTGTGTATTCCCCTGGTACACATCACTGTTGTCCCATTCGACCGGACACGTCTGGCAGATAGGATGCCCTTGAAGGAACATGCGTGACTCAGGAACTGTTTGACACAGGCCTTTCGACCTTGAAAATCTTGGAATCTTGGAATTAATCCTTGTAATCAAAGAATAACCCATGATTACAAATGTGAGGGATATGTTATCACTGCATTGAAACTACAAGGTTGCACTGTATACAGACCCTGGCATGCTATGGGCATACAGCGTGCATATCAGCAAGTGTGACAATGATGGGTTAATTTCATAAGTAGGAAGGCACAAAGCATAAATGTATGTAGGAGACATTCCCCCTAAAGGGCTGGGAGAATATAAGAGCATGTTTGAAAGCTGTACATGTGGTACAATGTTCACATATGTGCCTTGTACAGCATTCAAACGTGTTCTTACACAGACAGACACAGACACGCCTCTGCACCTGTTGGGTCAAGCAGTAAGAATCTAATGGTGACCACCTGTCTGGCCAGAACGGTCTTCCTTTTGGATTAGAAGTCTGGGCTATATCAGCTGGAGTTCTGGAACCAGCCTTGGTTTGGTAAACAACATTTTTCTTCCTCTCTCCACCCTTTGCATTTCCTTTCCTTGAGTTTCCTTTTTTTTTTTTTTTTTTTTGAGATGGAGTCTTGCTCTGTCACCTAGGCTAGAGTGCAATGGTACGATCTTGGCTCACTGCAACCTCTGCCTCCTGGGTTCAGGTGATTCTCCTGCCTCAGTCTCCCGAGTAGCTGGGATTACAGGTGCCCACCACCACACCTGGCTAATTTTTGTATTTTAGTAGACATGGGGTTTCACCATGTTGGCCAGGCTGGTCTTGAACTCCTGACCTTGAGTGATCCACCCGCCTCGGCCTCCCAAAGTGCTGGGATTACAGGCGTAAGCCACTGTGCCCGGCCTCCTGGAGTTTATTTTATCCAGTGTTGACCTGCCCCCTCTCGGAACCTGGGTTAGCCTGCCTGGTGCTTGAGGCAGGGAGCTGGCCACGCTGCGCTGCTGTCTTGTAGGTGCTTCTCAAGGTGCTTTTTGTTGTGATTCCTCCAGTGCCTCTGGTTTTCGCTTTCCCTTTTCTTGGGGCTTGTTTGTGTTTAACCAAAGTTCAGGGCCCTTGGGGTAAAACAGGACCTTGTTCAGGAAACTACCATTAAGCAAGCAGCAAGTCAAACAACGAAAGTACAAACAAGCCCAGGCCCCTCCCAAGATACACAGTCCTCCAGGATGTAGGCTCCAGACTCTGGGTCCTTCTCCACGCCCACCGTTCACGCCAAGGGATGCGGCAGTCCGACGGCCTCTGGGAATCGCAGGGCCTTGGTCTTGGGAGCTGCTCTCCTGCAGTGTAAACTCAGTGACTCTCATTCAGGCAACAGACCTCTCCAGGTCGTCCTTGTTCAGGCGGAGCACTTGGTTCCTCAGACCCCCATCTGTACCAGAGAAATGGCGTTAAGGCCTCACAAAGTAGTTTTCACTGAAGAGAATCCCGTGTCCTACCCTTGTGCGTCCGAATCACCTCACGGACCTGTCATGAAGAGGCTCTCCCTTCTGCGGGCTCACTCTGACCTTTCCTTTCCCCCGTGGTTTCCATCACTGACTCCATAGTCAGATGGCTCAGGACCTCCCAGGACGCACCGGCCCATCGAACCATCCAGGGGTGCCGCTGTTCCCAGCCTCCCGACACCCCCACACGGACTTCTCTTACCACCTGTGTTAGGCCATTCTCGCATGGCTGTAGAGTAATACCCAAGGCTGGGTAATTTGTAAGAAAAGTGGCTTAATTGGCTCACAGTTCTGCAGGCTGTACTGGAAGCATGGTGGCATCTGCTTCTGGGGAGGCCTCAGGGAGCTTCTGATCATGGCAGAAGGCAAAGGGGAGCAGGCATGTCACATAGGATGGGAGAGACAGGGAGAGAGAGGGAGAGGGACAGAGGGACAGAGAGGGAGATGGAGGGAGAGAGAAGGAGAGAGAGGGAGGGAGGGAGAGGGAGAGAGTTAGGGAGAGGGAGAGAGGGAGAGAGGGAGAGGCAGAGAGGAAGAGAGGGAGAGAGTCGGGGAGAGGCAGAGAGTTAGGGAGAGAGGGAGAGAGTTAGGGAGAGGGAGAGAGGGAGAGGGAGAGAGTTAGAGTTAGGGAGGGAGAGAGTTAGGGAGAGAGGGAGAGGGAGAGAGTTAGGGAGAGAGAGGGAGAGTTAGGGAGAGAGTTAGGGAGAGAGGGAGAGTTAGGGAGAGAGTTAGGGAAAGGGAGAGAGTTAGGGAGAGAGGGAGAGGAGGAGAGTTAGGGAAAGGGAGAGAGGGAGAGGGAGAGAGTTGAGGGAGTTAGGGAGAGGGAGAGAGTTAGGGAGAGGCAGAGAGTTAGGGAGAGGTATCACATGGCTTTAAATGATCAGAACAGGGAGTCGCGGAGCTCACTCATCACCAAGGGGTGGCTCAAGCCGTTCAGGAGAGATCCTCCGCCATGCTGCCATTGCCTCCCACCAGACCCCACCTCCAACTCCAACACTGGGGATTACAATTCAACAGGAGATTAGGGCAGGACAAATGTCCAAACAGTATCACCACCAAGCCCACATTTGGGGTGCGCCTCGCTGTGGGCTTACAGCCTTTTTCCTGGATGGATATTGCTGGGGGGGGGGGTTGCATTTGTTTTGAGGCAAGCGCTGCTGTGTTAAAAATTAGAGTCTAGTCTACTACAAATAATGAGTCAGAAGCAGCCCCATCTATCCAGTCCTTGCTGCCATCCTTCTCCCAACCAGCGGCTGTTTTTGTAGGATCCGCAGGTTTACACACGGGCCTGACTTTGTAGGAGGGAAGGGCTGCCCGGGAGCTACCGTGACCTCTATGCTGCCGCATTCTGCAAGAAGGTGCTTTCTACGGGGAGGTGGTCCCCTGGGCGTCTGGGTGTGAAGGATAAGCTGCCACCCACCACCCCCTCCGGGCACAGGTGGCTGCGACAAACAAAGAGGAGCTTTCTTGAAGGATGGGAGGGTGAGGGGCCCCAGCAAGGAGATGACGGAGGTCTGAGGACAGAGGTGTCCGTGAGGAGGGCACTTAAGACAGTCAGCCCCAATATCCAACTCTGAATTGCAGATGTTTGGGCTACGATGGAACCTCCCCGCTGCCATCCCAGCCCCCATTCACTGTCCACAGGTGCCAGCCTTGCCCAGGCTGGTAAGGGGCGCGGAAGGCATGGCCCTGGTGGCCAGGCATGGAGGAGAAAACCCACAGGGCGCCGAGCAGATGTCCTTGGAATGAGAACGTGGCAGGAAGGCACGCGGGAGGGCTCAGGCCTCTCTGTCCAAGGCAGAAGCAGGTGCGGAGGTTGGGGGCCCAGGTGGGGTCGCCAGGACAGGGACCCGGCAGGGGGTGGTCCTGGGGTAGCGTGTGAGGGAGGTGGGCTGTGGAGAAGCGCAGGCTCCCTCCCACCCGGAGGCCCCTACTGGCCCCCTTTGTCTTAGGACCTCTTGGAAGTGGCACTGTCTCCTGAGGAGGACACGCGACATCCCCCAGGACCCCGGGCGGGACGGCGGCGAGGAGACCAGGCCCGCAACAGGCCTCACCCTGCTCTGCCCCAGAGCCCGCCTGGCCCCAGCCCACGCCCTGGGCCCTCCGGGAGCTTTCCTGGGACCGAGCCTGGGCGCCGCCCGCGCTGCAGGGGAGGTCGACTGGGTCCACCTCCGCGCGCCCCGATGCGCAAGTGGCCCGTTACGTTTAAATTAAAGAAACGGTTGGAAGGCGTTAATTCGACGCGCGCGGGGCCCCGCGGGTAGAGGCCGCCTGCCCAGGTCCCCAGCAGAGTAGGTTCGGGCCTTCCCGTCCGGGCCAAGGGCGCGGCTTAGGCCCCCGCCGTCCCCAGGGACAGTGCGACCCCCAGCACCGGGCCGGGCGGGGAGCGGCGGCAGGCGGGGAGGGGATCGGAGGGCCAGGCGGGGGGCAGGAATGCAGGTGGGAGGGGACGCGCGGGGCGGGGGGCGGACGGGGCGTTCCGAGCGGGGAGGGGCGCGAGCCGGGGCCGGGGAGTCCAGGGCCGGGCGTGGGGCTCCGGGCCGCGGCGCCTGCGAGTGGGGAGGGAAGGGAGCCGGGCGGGCGGGGGGCGTGGCCGGGGCGAGCGGGGCTGGCCGGGGGCGTGGCCTGAGGGCGGACGCGCGTCCGGGGGCGGGGCCCTGCCGCCGGGGGCGGGGCCGGGGCGGGGCCGGGCGCTGTCCGGTGCTGAAGCTCGGCCCGGCGTCGCCGCAAGAGCGCGAGAGGCGCGGCGGGAGGAGCCGGCGGCGCGCGCCTCCCTGGGCCCGGACTCGGCCGCCTCCCGCCGCCTCCCGCGCGGCCATGGACTGAGCGCCGCCGGCCAGGCCGCGGGGATGGGGCCGCCGCTCCCGCTGCTGCTGCTGCTACTGCTGCTGCTGCCGCCACGCGTCCTGCCTGCCGCCCCTTCGTCCGTCCCCCGCGGCCGGCAGCTCCCGGGGCGTCTGGGTGAGTGGGGGGCGCCGGGGGAGGGGCGCCTCAATGAATTAGTTGGGGGCGTTGTGAGAGGGGCGCCTCCGTGAGGGGGTCTGGGTGGGGAGAGGCGCCACCCTGAGGGGTCGGGGGGAGAGGCGCCTCTGTGAGGGGTTCGGGGGGGAGGGGCGGCGCCTCAGTGAGGGGGTTGCGGGGAGGGGCGCCTCTGAGTGAGGGGGCATGCAGGGAAGGCGCCTCAATAAATGAGTGGGGGCGTTGGGGGAGGGGCGCCTCTGAGAGGTTCTGGGGGAGGGACGCCTCAATGAATGAGAGGGGGGCGTGGGGGGAGGGGCGCCTCAATGAATGCGGGGCGTGGGGGAAGGGGCGCCTCAATGAATGAGTGGGGGGTTTAGGGGAGGGGCGTCTCGGTGAGTGACGGGGCGGGTGGGGAGGGGTGCCTCAGTGAGTGAGTGGGGAGCGCGCCTTGGCGAGCGGGTCGGGGGCTCCGGGGGTCTCGGGGTTCCAGCGCGACACCCCCAGGCTCTGGGTCTCAAGCCCCCGGCCACGGGTCGCGCGCCTCTCTGTCCTCACTGGGGGCTCGGAGCAGGTCTCGCGCCCCTGCCTCAGTTTCCTCCCCGGCGCCGCCTCCTGCCTCTACCCCGGCTCCTGGGCCTCACGCCCCGAGCCCCGCCACTCGGCACTCCCCTGGCCCTGGAGCGCGCGGCCCTGGTCCGGCGTGGGTGCGCCCCCCGCTCGTGTTCCGCCGCGTGTGCCGCGAGGGGCCGGGCCTCGGATGTCCCGCTGCACCCGCTTCTACCTGCGTCCCCCGCACCCCCCCGCGGGCAGCGCCGCCGAAATCAGAGGACATTTTTCCTCCGTGGCAGCCGCGGGAGGAAAGGGAGGGCGGCAGCTTCACGGCAGCGAGGGAGTGGAAGCCGCTGCTTTCCCAGGCGGACGCCCCTGTTTTAAACCCATAAAACCTCCAGTCCCCGGCACCTCCTTTCCTGCTAATCTTGTTTATTAAGAAGATTTACCATAAAGCCAATGTTTCCAGGCGGCTTCGGGGCCAGAATTACACATGACAGGTTAGGATAATCGGTGTCCACGGGGTGCAGAAGCAAACGCAGGCGGGGATGGAGGGGGGTCCTTCGCCGTTGCCCAGCGCCGCCTGCACCCACCTCAGTGCAGCTGGGCTCCGGCACCTTCCTCTCGGCCTCTAGGCCCTTCTGGTCTCCAGTAGTGCTTTATCGTCAAAATCCCAAACAAACAAAAACTGCAGAGAACCAGGAGTCTTGACACAGTCTCCCTGGACTCCTGAGTTGACGCTCCCCTCCCTCAAGCCAGAGTCCCCTGAATTCCTCCCTTGCCTTGAGGTTTCCTCACACTCCCTAACCTGCTTGTCTCTGTTAGAAGGAACACAGGCGCTGGGAAAGGAGGTCCTTGCTCACCTGCCTTGGAGTCCTGGGAGGGAGTGTCTGTGCTGGTCCCGCACCTCTGGGATGTAGCCCAGTCACTGTGCCCCCAGGGCCCAGGTGAAGCCCTCACCCTTCCATGCTGGAGCACGGGGGAGTCCTGCATGGGAGGCTTGGGGGCCTTGCTCACTCTGCCTCCTCCTGGTGCCTTGCCCCCTATCAGGAAAGAAGGCCCAGCTGTGCACCAGTGGCCTCTTGCTGGGGTTGTATTCCTTCCTCCAGCTGGCTTGACCTGGCCAGTCACCTTATGGGAGAGTTGTTTGCTCTGAGGCCAGGTGCCGCCCTTCACCTACACATGAAGCACACATGGGCGTGGAGTGTCCCAGGGAAGGTAGGTCATTATGGTGTGAGCTGGAGGCTGGTCCTTGACTGCTTTCCTTGCCATTGCAATGGCTAGTTCACAGCATTCTTCCAAAATCACAGAGAAAGTCAGAAAGGTGGGGGGTAGCTGAGAGAGGCAGCAAAGGAAAACCCAAAGATGGAAGTGCATGAAGAGAGGAAAGCTGCTAAACTGAATGATAATGCCCAATGCAGCAGTGTTATTTTGGCTACCAGCAAAGTTGACTCATATAATTAAAACTGGTGCCATGTTTCCCTCGGCTCTGATCACGGTGTCACTGGTAACAGAAGGCTGTGTCATAAAGAGACTTATGGACACACTTATTTTGTGGGAAAACATTAAGGATGCAGACATCGTTGAAATTGTTTCGAGGACTCCAGGTGAAAGGCATCACCTACATTCTCAGGTAATTGGAAACTGCCCCAGTGGTATAGACAAAGAGTGAGATGTATATGTGGTCTTCCCATTGCAGGAGCCACCTTGGGGCAGAATGTGGCCATGTGTCAGCTACCTATGTCCCCTCCACCTTGTACCATCCTCACTCAGTGTTGCTGCCATTTTGTCAGAACACAATCCACGGAGAATGCAAGGAGAAGCTTTCTTACCTGTGCCGGGCAGGTGCTGCTATTTTTCTTTCTCTCCTGTCTGGATCTTGTTTGGCAATGGTCACGCCAACTACATTGTTCCAAATAATGAGGCTCGATTAAAGATGCACAGAGCGGCCTTAAATCCGGCCCAGCTGTGCCATTTGTAATCTATTTATTTATTTACCTATTAACATTCAACTTCACGTTGAGGCCTCCAGAACACATGTGGTTCAAGGAGATCCAAGTTTTTGCTCCTCTGTTACGTCAAACAGCCTTGTAGGTTAGAACTAGAGGTTGATGTTAACAAGACCTAAAGACCAATTCTTTTTATATAGGATGCCTTGTCTTGAGCAAGGGGCCTTTCTCATGTTGACAGTGAAGGAGCTCTTGATGAAACCCAGGGTCGATAACTGCTGTCTCTGAGTTTATTCTCGTGGCCTTGAGCCGCACTCCACGATGCTGACTTATTTCCAGAACAGCTGTTGGCAGCACCCTGTGGTAGTGGAAGTCTCACTGCTTCCTCTCTTTTCCCCTGATTTATTTAGTTTCCTGCCCTCCCATCACCCACTCTGCCTGTTCCTTTCTGGTCGGAAGGGCTCCCTTATGGCATTAATTAATTATCTGTGAGACCATTATCGAAGCTGAACACAGGGGAACATGGCATCCTTTCTAGTGACACGATTCAGCTTTGCTTGTAGCCAAAATAACATTGCTGTGTTATGCAGGGCTGTTCAGACAGCCTGATGGTCTTTTCTTCATATGCTTCAGTCTTTGAGTTTTCCTCCCGACCGGCCCGCCTTTCTCTGTGATTTCAGGGCATCCTTTGTGCAGGTCTCAGTGCTTTTTCCTTAAGTTTAACTTGAACATAAGCCCTTTGTTAAGGGCTTTACGCTGTTCTTCACTTACATGGAGGCTGACTTGTGAACCTGCTCAGGTGGCCCCTATGTTTAGGGGGGCAGTTTTATAAAGGCCCCCCCTTCCTTTTGCTAAAGAAGCACAACTTTCACTTGCCAATGATAGAGTCAGCCTTTCATGCAGATTTTGCTTCGAGAATCCAGATTCAGAACCAGTGGGTGCACCTGGCTGTGAAGACAGGAGATTGTTCATTTTGCTCCTTTGTTTTGGCCTTCCGATTTGCCTACACAGACTTTTCATTCACCAGGGAGCCCACACAGAGCCGAGAGGCAGAGCCATCGGAGCAGGACTCTGCTGGCTTTGTGAAGGAGATGGCGTGATTGTTTATTTTTAAATCAAAGGATCCTTACTGCCACAAAAGCACAAATCTATCTTTACTTCTTGGGGTCCAGAGCCTCTGATTCCGTTTGGTTGGATGGTAATGAGCAACCTGTCCCTTCCCCCAAGAAGAGCCTGCTCCTTGCACATCTGTGAGCTTCTCTGCCTGTTGTTCCCTGTCTCTCCTGCTCGGTCTCCATCAGCCTAAGGGCTGATGTTCTGGGCAGAAGGAATGGGGTGTGTTGTAACCCTAGGCTTCTGGAAGAAGGAGGTGCCAGACAATGGGTTCACTCATGAAGCTAGATTCAGGAAGCAGGATGTAGGGTGTCAGGCTCAGAAGGGATGGGCAGGGAATGGAAGAGCTTTTAAAATGACTTCTTCTCAGTGCTGAGCTTAGCTGTGTGTTAGCGTCTGGCAGCTCTTCTTCCAAGCTGATTTGTTTTTGTACCTGGTGATCAAGGTCAGTGGTGCCTGCCAGGGAGGGGAGGTGGGGGTGGGCAATCACTTTGTCATAGTCCTCTCTCTGCTTTACTCCGAGATGGTGTTGGGCCCCATCATGGTGCACAGCGGGAATCTCTGTGTGCTATGAAACATGTCAGCATGTTGGGTCTCCAGCTTCCTGTGAAGAATAGGGCTATCGACACAGGGTACACGGGACAAAGGTTAGCTGGTGTGATGTGCAGTCCAAGGCTCAACATCCCAAGGCCCCATCTTCTGATGAACTCTGTGGTAACACTGATCATTTTATGTGACAATAATTTCTGCATTCTGGGTTTGTTTTGTCCTAGTGTTCATGCGGGATTACCTAATTTTTGGATGCAGTTACTCATCGACTTTTCTTTAGATTTTGAAAGTGAGGAATATGGGACTAGGAAGGGGAGTGAAGCCTCAAGGAGACATAGGGGTTCAGCTAAGCTGTCATCAGACATGGTCTCATTAAGAAAGTTCCACTCAATGCAACTGGCTTTGCGGGTGAGCCATGACTACTGCCTCTTGGAGGGTTACCTTAGAATTTCAAATTCCTCATGAAAAAGTGTTTGCAGCCAAACATCACCCAAACTAATAATAGCTCCCTGGCATTGGGTGACAGATATCTAAGATATGCCTGGATATGTGTAAATATTACTAGTTTAAGGATTCTTTTTTTTTTTTTTTTTTTTTTTTTGAGATGGAGTCTCGCTTTGTCACCCAGGCTGGAGTACAATGGCGCAATCATGGCTCATTGCAGCCTCGAGCTCCTGGGCTCAAGCAATCCACCCATCTTAGCCTTCTGAATAGCTGGGACTACAGGCACATGCCTCTGCACCAGGCTAATTTAAAAAAGTTTTGTCTTAGTTTGGGTTCATGAGTAAATATAATAACTAAAAAATGAACAAAAAATATTAAAAATGAATTTTTTTTTTTTTGAGAGAGGACGGTCTTGCTATGTTGCCCAGGCTGGTCTTGAACTCCTGGCCTCAAGTGATCCTCCTGCCTTGGCCTCTCAAAGTGCTGGGATTACGTGCATAGCCACTGTGCCCGACCAGGTTTAAGGATTCTTTGTGCGTGGAGCGGTGAAGAAAAAGCTTAATAAATGGCAGAAAGGGTTTTCATCCAGCCGAATCCCAAGAGACGAAGGCCAGATGAGCCTCGGCTGAGAACCTCTCTTATCTTTCCTGACATGATGTTCCACTTCTCAGAGAAAGCAAACAGCTAAATTCATGGCAGATAACCCTCCACACCACATAAAAGCACCTGGCAGCTCTTTCCACATTAGTTTAAGTTGACCTTCATAAATGTAGACCCAGCTGGACTTATTTTTTAATCTTAGTTGATAGAAGGCCAGAAAACCTGAGAAGCAGAAAACAGTTAATCCACTTTTCTGCTGCTTGGAAACAGTGTGGAAACAGTGTGTTGAAGGAAGGGCATTTTTTTCTTTTAATTCCTGTTATCTCTAAGAACTCTGCCACAGCCACTATTTAAATACCTAGAACAGGAAGTAAAAATGGGTGAGGCTCCCTTGGAAACACCTGCTTCTGCACATTTTAAATACCTTTTTTGTTTGTCACTCTACATCACGAGGCTGGTAAGTGGGTGGCTTTTGCAGGCAGCTGGAAAACTGGACCTCGGACTACCGAGCTGCATTTGTCTTGAACGGCTTCTGTGTGTGTAACACAAAGAAACGAGAGATGATGAGTGTTTGGTGACAGTTACTCAGTGTTAACTCTCATCTCTGGAAGTGGTAAGAGGGCATTTCACTTCCTTTGTTTTTGTCTGTTCCCTCTAATAGTCCTAACTGGGATTCAGAAAACCAAGGGCATTCCCTGGGTAGTGCCAGGACTAGGACTGTGTCTTGTGAGGGTGATTCAAGGCCATGGCAGGTGACAGGGGATGAACTAATAGTTACAAAACCGATTCTGGAGCTTTCTTTTTAAAATTTAATTTTAAATTATCATAAAGTAAAATGGACTTTTCTTTTTTGGTGTACTGTGTTACATATAGATTCAGGTGGCCACCTCCTCTGTCAGTGTACGGATCATTCCATCACCCCCAAAACTTCCCAGTGTGCTCCCTTCACAGTGACAGCCTCTCCCATCCCTGTACCTCTGGGTACCCCCAAATCTTGAACCCCTGAGCCTTCCATGTTCACTGACATGTATTCCCCAGAATAACCCGCATAGGTATTTCTATCTTCAATTTACAGATAGAAAGACTGAGTCTTGGAGTGGTTAAGGAATGTACCACAGGACACCTGGTGGGTAGTCCTGGGATGGGGTCCTAGGTCTCTGGAGCCTCCTTTCTCTCCCAGTGGTCATCCCAGGATGGGCCGAGGATTCTACACGCTGTCAGAACATGTCTCTCTGGTTGCACAGAACAAGGACGTCTGTCTCGTTCTTACAGGAGTGGGGACCATTTCACTTGTCAAACTGCCTTTCTCTTAGAAGCTTCTCAACCTCAGGCCACGGAGATTTTAAAGTGCTCTTTGGCACCAGCAGGGGATTGATTTTCTGAGTTGGGTTTTGTTTTGGGTGTCAGATTCAAATATTTGGTGTGCCTTCTGAGGGAATTTTGATGTTTGGAAATGGGCGACTTATTTTTGGAGACTTTTGTCCTTCCCATAATGGCAGGGAATGAAAATGCCACCCTTAGGATTCACTACTCGATGTGTCCATAAAAATTTTATGTTCCGAATGCTTTCTGGGCTTCCGTCAGGTTTTTAAAAACGTGGTGACACAAACACCAAAGAAGTGAGCTCTCATCTCAGACTTGTCATAACAAAAACCCACTTCAGAATAAGGGATGAGAGAGGGATTACTTTCCTAAGAACATTTATTTAAGAGTAGGTTCTGTTTAGGTTTGATGTTTAGAGTGGCAAGCAGGCAGGGGGTTGGTTCAGGGACTCCCTACTCTTTTCTGAACTATGCTGGTGGAAGGAAAGTGTAGAATTTTCTATCATGTGATGTGGGTGCTCCGTCACCACGTGGTTCTGAAAGGTCATTTTGAAAAGGCTTCTGATGCAGTGTTCTGTATACAGCACAAAGGGCATGTTTAGAAATGGTTTGTTTGGCGGAAGGAATTTTCAGAAGGAAGGCTGACCTGGTTTCTGAAAGGAAAGGACTTCATATTAATCATGCAAGTGAATTCTGGTTCCAAATGTGAAATACATTCAACTTGTAAATGGATGGAGCCGCTAATAAAATTGGCAGTCAGAGGCTGTGATTTTAATCCAGCTCAAAGCAGCAGTTAATCTGTGGTACAATTTGAGGCTGACCCCACAATGTGTACATTCTCTGAAATAGCCGCTCTTCTAGAGGACTCAACTGTGCACACCAGCGCAAGCTCCATTTCTTAGCCGGAGGCAGGGGATGGAACATAGGTAAAGCAGTGGCAGGAGCTGCTGTCTGATGACTTCCCACCTCAAGTCCATTTTGTCCCTCACATCTCTTTTACTAAGAGTTCTTGAATCTCTTTCTCTGCTTTTCCTGAAAACAGGCCAAGGTTGAGACCACTGGACTTCCATCTGATTTGAGTGTTCTGCACTGAGATACAGCTGTGGTTAGAGCTGCTGTGGGAAGCACAGCCATCAGTTCCTATGGAGCGGCACCCATTCTTGTGGTAGAAGACTTGCGGCATCCATGTGCCTGCTTTGTTATGCTGTTATGGTCCTTGATTCTATGAAATAGCCAACATGAAATTATGATCAGTTAAGGTAACAGAAATGGGGCTTTTTCACTGAAATAGAAAGAGGATTCTAGCAGAGTCAGAAACTGCTGGTGATTTCTGCAAATATGGTAGGGAATAGGGAATATGTGGCTGTTTCAAGAGCACAAATTAAATGACAGTACTGCTTCCATGCAGCGTGTTGACAGATTGAGAGGTCACCTTATCTTTCCAATCAGATAATCTTTACAGTTTGCACTTGCACTCATATTAGAAGTCAAGAGAAATGGAAAGACTTCACCTATAATCTCTCTGGATTTACACCTTGAGCAAAATACCTGGTTCTTCATGTTTTTGAGAGGATTACCTGAGATGGGTGGGAGAGTCCTTGGTAACCACAGAGTTTCTGATAAGTCATAGTGGTTGTTATTTTTGGATGCTCCAGGTTTCTACAGTTAATGTTGGAGGTGGTGGCTGACAGGATGGAATATTGTTATTGTTAGAAACAATATTACTTTAGAAAATCCAAGTCTCAGATGAACTGACAATAGAGATTATTGCAAAAGCATTGCCATTACCTTTTAAAGAGTAATATCATTTATATTTCTTAATAGGCATATCCAAACAGGTTACATCAATAAGGATGAGGCCTGGTTTTGTTGTGATGATGAGAGTAACTGATGGTGACAGCCCTTTGGAGTTTATTTCACATCATCCCTTTGATGACTGTAAAGCCCTTGAATAAAAGAAGTGGGACTTGGCCAGGCGCAGTGGCTCACGCCTGTAATCCCAGCACTTCGGGAGGCTGAGGTGGGCAGATCATCTGAGGTCAGGAGTTCGAGACCAGCCTGGCCAACATGGTGAAACCCCGTCTCTACTAAAAATATAAAAATTAGCTGGTTGTAGTGGCAGGTGCCTGTAATCCCAGCTACTTGGGGGGCTGAGGCAGGAGAATCACTTGAACCTGGAAGATGGAGGATGCAGTGAAATGAGATTGTGCCAGTGCACTGCAGCCTGGGCAACAGAGGGAGACTCTGTCTCAACAACAACAACAACAAAAAAAAAAAGAGAAGAAGTAGGACTTAAGGGAACAATAGACACTGGGAATGCCTAAAGAAGGGAGGGAGGAAGGAGCCAAGGGTCAAAAAACTACTTATCAAGTACTGTGTTCCTCGTTTGGGTGACAGGATCATCATAAACCCAACAGTCGGCATCACTCAATACACCCACGTAACAAACCTGCGTATACATGTACTCTTTGAATCTATGATTTTTTTTTTTTTTACAGAGACAGGGTCTGGCTCTGTAGCCCAGACTGGAGTGCAGTGGCATAGTCATAGTTCACTGCAGCCCTGAACTCCTGGGCTCAAGTGTTTCTCCCCACTCAGCCTCCTGAGTAGCTGATACTACAGGTATGTGCCACCATGCCTGGCTTGAACTCCTGGACTCAAGTGATCCTCCTTCCTTGTCCTCCCAAACTGCTGAGATTATAGGCATGAGCCACCATGCCTGGCCTCTGGAATCTCAAAAAAAAAAAAAGGTGACTTAAATAATATTCATACAAATTTCTTACAAGTTTGAGTAGAAAGTATAATAAAAAGAGATAGTACATACACTTTTTTTAGATATGCTAAACACTTTCTTTTAAAATGTTTTATTATGTAATATTTGATAAATGCAAAATTCAGAGCACGTTTTTTAGTATACTTGGCATGTCTAGGTTGCACTGTTTTTAAGTGCCTGAATTTTGGTCTTGTCAACGAGCTTGCCGGGTGGGTGTTGTTCCCTTTGCTCTTCTGAAGCGAGGTGAGTGTCTGGCTGGCTTGCTTTGCCCTCTGGCCTGCAGGGTAAGGGTGGGCAGTCTTGCTGTGCCCATCTTCCTGGCCTGTGGGGATGGCAAGGGGAGAGGGAGGTGGCCGGGCAGTGCAGGGTCTGTGTTAGGGCCCAGTGCACTATTCAGAGTTTGCACAGGGCCCTTTCCCTTACTCCATCCACTTAGGATTGTGTCAGAGTCCAAGGGGAGACCTGTGGGCCCTGGATGGGCCCTGTCCCTGTCATCACATCCCATACTTGGGGATCGGTGGCTCTGGTGGACCCCATTCCTGTGGTCACATCCTATCCTTTATCTGTCTGTTTTATCAGGTTACAACAGTCTTCCTCTTAGAGGAAATGAAGACAAGGTGAGTGCTCACTTTGCTGTTTGGGCTTTCTTAGGAGCCCACAGTGTTGTGCAGGCCCCATGCTGTCTGTGGCATTCGGGAGGGCTGGGAGCCCTCAGTGTTGTGCAGGCCCCATGCTGTTTGTGGCATCAGGCAGGGTGGGGAGCCCTCAGTGTTGTGCAGGCCCCATGCTGTCTGTGGCATCAGGCAGGGTGGGCAGCCCTCAGTGTTGTGTAGGCCCCATGTTGTCTGTGGCATCAGGCAGGGTGGGGAGCCCTCAGTGTTGTGCAGGCCCCATGCTGTCTGTGGCATCAGGCAGGGTGGGCAGCCCTCAGTGTTGTGCAGGCCCCATGCTGTCTGTGGCATCAGGCAGGGTGGGGAGCCCTCAGTGTTGTGCAGGCCCCATGCTGTCTGTGGCATTCAGGAGGGCTGGGAGCCCTCAGTGTTGTGCAGGCCCCATGCTGTCTGTGGCATCAGGCAGGGTGGGGAGCCCTCAGTGTTGTGCAGGCCCCATGCTGTCTGTGGCATTCAGGAGGGCTGGGAGCCCTCAGTGTTGTGTAGGCCCCATGCTGTCTGTGGCATCAGGCAGGGTGGGCAGCCCTCAGTGTTGTGTAGGCCCCATGCTGTTTGTGGCATCAGGCAGGGTGGGGAGCCCTCAGTGTTGTGCAGGCCCCATGCTGTCTGTGGCATCAGGCAGGGTGCGCAGCCCTCAGTGTTGTGTAGGCCCCATGTTGTTTGTGGCATCAGGCAGGGTGGGGAGCCCTCAGTGTTGTGCAGGCCCCATGCTGTCTGTGGCATCAGGCAGGGTGGGCAGCCCTCAGTGTTGTGTAGGCCCCATGTTGTTTGTGGCATCAGGCAGGGTGGGGAGCCCTCAGTGTTGTGTAGGCCCCATGCTGTTTGTGGTGTTTGGGAGCTCTCAGTGTTGTGCAGGCCCCATGGTGTTTGTGGCATCGGGCAGGACTGGGAGCCAGATGCCCTGTGCATTTCCATCTTGCTCCAGAACCTCTGTCTTGACCACTGGCTGTCAGCCATGGCTCCCCATGCTGTGCTTCTGTGGGACCTTTGTGGTGTGTTCCTGTTCCTTATGTTCACTCAGATCAGCAGCATGTTACTCCCCGGAGGCCTCTGCGGGAGAGGCAGGCAGAGGTGCTGGTGGGAGGCTCCTTAGCAGCCCCCATGTCCCTGGTGGTGCAGGCTGTGGGCCCCGGGGCTTGTCCCGAGAGGGCCCCTCATGTTTTCAGCCCTTTTTCTGGCTCACACTTGTGCCTGGAATGTGCTTAAAAAAGGCTTTGAGGCAGAGTTGTGTGGAATAGAGAAACTGTGACGTCAGAAGCAGAACTTTACAGAGATGTTCGTTCTTGCAAAACGAGTGTGGTCTGAAAACGGCTTCTTCTGCATGAGCCTGACAGGGTTGCTGTGCAGGCAGCCCGGGCTGGCAGTGCCTGGCTGTGAGTGACTTGGTGTGTTTGCAGACACACAGCTCTGTCTGAGTGACCACACCAGGGGACACACCTCACCCAGGCCTGGGAGTTCCTGCTTGCTGCTTATTTGGGGTAAGAGGCAGGCTCTTCCAGCGGGGAAAGTATTGACAGCATATGGAATGGGGATGTTGCAAACTCAGAGAACATTTTTTAAATGAGTTTTTCATTGCTGTGAGCTTAACAAGAAGGAAGCATTTTGATCACTTGAAAAAGGAAATGTTTTCAAGTGGAAAATATTTTTAAAAATAAAGATTAGATTCTTGGTTTAGTTTTCTATAAAACAATCTACTTATTTTTAAATTTTTATTATAATTTCTAGTAATACTGAAATTATTATTGGTTATAACTATTTTGTCTCTTTGGGAAGTAAGATGTAGTTCTCAAGAGATGTGTTGATTTAGTGCCCTTCTGAGAAAATAAAAACATGCAACTGTGTGAAAAATTTGGATACTTATGTAGTTATGCCTCTTGTATCCTCCACAGGTTCTGAGGGGTTGAAATATAGATGTAAAACCTGGCCGGGCACATTGGCTCATGCCTGTAATCCAAGCACTTTGGGAGGCTGAGGTGGGAGGACTGATTGAGGCCAAGAGTTTGAGACCAGCCTGGGCAACACAGTGAGACTCTATCTCTACAAAAAATGTAAAAAATTAGCTGGGCCTGGTGGCACACACCTGTGGTCTCACTTATTTGGAAGGCTGAGACAGGAGGATCACTTGAGCCCAGGAGTTTGAGGCTACAGTGAGCAGTGATAAAAAGTAAAACCCATCTTATGGGGCTAGCCAACTACATTATTGACAATATCAGTCAATAGCAAATGTTAAAAAGTGACGTGTTTGGTTTATTGGTACTTTTAAATAATATATAACATTTGTTTAATGATTTAATATTTTTCATAGCACTCTGAAAGAACGTCAGATATTCAGGGTAAGTCAAGCACTATGAAAAAAAAGAATGTCCCAGATTGTTACAGGTGATTTCACATAAGATAACATGTTTGACAAAGATTGTAGATAAAATAAGTACGAACTCCAAAATCAAAGCCTCATTTTGAAAGATTCTACCATGTGTGGGTATATTGTTAGCATGTTCCAAATGTTGAAATAGTTCTTCTAGACTATTAAAAGATGCTACTTTCCTGTGTAAAATAAATGACAAAAGGGAAGAAAAATATGTCCTTTGAAGAAAGGATGGAAGTCTGTTTTAATTTGCAGCCTGAAGGAGAAGAGGGTGAGTAGTCTGGTGGTGGCCAGTTCTGCCGTGTAAATCAGTGGCTCTCACCTCTGCTGCTGGGACTAGGTGGATGGCGGACAGGGACGTTGTTCGACATCCTGCAGTAGGCAGGACACTCCACGGAGCCACCCACCCAGTGTGCCAGCAAGGCCTGTCCAGCAGCCTGATGCATGTGGAGGAAGCTGCCGGGCATGCAGTCCTCACATGTAGCAGAGGAAGAATTTGGCCTAAATTATGGCAGAACAAACTTTAAAAGAAAGAAAGAAGTATTGGCCCCTTCCATGCCACCTTCCAGTTCTGGCTAGAGTAACTGCCACAACTGAAAATCTGATCCTATCACTCTTCTGCCAGAGCTGCCCCACATCTAACCTTAGGAAGGAAGCCCAAGCCCTGGACAGGGCTCTTGGGCCCTCACTGGCAGGAGGCTTCTGCCTCATCCCCCTTGTGGCCCCTCCTCTCAGTGTCTCAGTGTCTGATGGCGCCACCAACAGAAATGTGCATTTATTTACCGGATACATATTCTTATTTACAAGTTATATATGTGCTCTACTGAACTCATTGTATGTTTATAATAAAAAATTCAAAACAAATTTAAGAGAATGAGAAATTAAACATCACTAATGATTAAAATATTTTGCTGAAGATACAAAAACTTCTTTGTATTCACTAAAATTTTTATTAATGTGATTAATAACATTTTAGATACTTAGTTTTTAAGTGTCTAATCTGGAGAGCTTCAATCTATGGTTATTTGCTGTCTCGATGCACAATATATGCTGAGAACAGTGCTCATCACTACTGAAAATATGCATAAATCTATAATTGAGAAAGTCCGAACGATGATTTTTAATCTTTCTGGTTGCCTTCTTGTGGGTCTAACTGTGATGCTTTCCACTTCAAAATGTGTCTAAAGAAGAGCTCCCATTGGAAGTACAGATTTTCTTGTATTTGTCTTATTAACAATCCACGATTCCTTTCTAAGAATCTTTTCAAATCTCTGGATTACGTATAGTTAAAATGGGTCACCTAATCCATAAATCTCTTCACAGGCCCATGGAAATTGCAGCATAGTTTGAGAATGACACAAGGGGGCCCACTCTTCTGGCACCAGATCCCAAGAGGCCATTTGCTGTGGGGTCTCGTGGGGCTCCAGCATTAGCCCATATATCAAGCTTAATTTTTAGGACATCTAAGAGTGGGCATATGTCAATATATATGTTCAGTAATTTTTGCTGAATAAATGAATACATCAATTACAGACTCTCAGAGCTGGAAAAGAGTCTCTGGTCCAGTTTCATCGATTCATAAGTAACTTCCACATAAGGACATTCAGACCCAGGCATGGGGAGTGACTTGCTGTTGACCTTCCTGGACAGAGACCCGAGCTCTTGGTTGGTTGATTTTCAAGGAAAGAACCCCAGAGACATGAAGCTGTGGTGAGCACTGGCAGTCAGAAAGGAGAAGTGGTCACTCCTCCAGACCGCTTCTAGCTCTGCTACTCTAGGATTGGATTGAAGACCCCTATGCTGACTCTTTATTTTTAAAATTGATACCAACGAATGACTTTTCACAAGTAACATAATCTTTTTCTGAAAATTGTTTGACTTTATTTAAAAATCTATTCTGGCCTCCTCAGCACCCAAAGTTGATGTTTTCTGCATTTCTAGGAAGCAGATTCCCTTTCCCATCCCCCCTCCATTTCTCTGAACATCTTGAATTGTTTAGCTGGGTATAGTGTTAGTGACATACAAAGAAATGTTGATGATCAGATGAGGCATCTGTACCAGAGGATGATCATTAATTCCCATTAAGTATTTTTATAAAAGTAAAATGAGGGAAGAAATACATTACTGTGTGCCTCAGAAGACTCTTGTCCATTCATCATGCATCATGCTAATTACTCTTTTAAATTTAGATTCTTAGTCTAAGAACATTTCAAAATGAATTAACAACTATTCCTCAGCTTAGAAAATGTCATGGAGTGAGATTTATTTATTTAGTTGGAATAAAATGTAAATCATTCAGAAAGTATAAACTCATACTTGCAAGCTTACTATACTGGCAAAATCAGTGGGCTGATAATATGTACTATAGTCTCATCTTTATTTAGAAACTGCTGTTCCTATATCAGCTTAATAATTTTTTACTGAAGAACAAAGTGTAAAGCAATTTAAGTGGCAAAGATCTCTGAGTGCTGTGTCCAGTAGTGGTGGACTAAGGGAGTCAATGACCCTGGCACCAAAAACAGATCTGGACAAAATGTATGAAATAATGAAGGATCACAGTGATGAGTCAGAGGGCAGAGACCCAGGAGAAGGGTAGGGATGTGGCACTTAGGGTCAGTGTTTTCCAGAGGTGTCAGCCGGTCCTGATCAGGAGCCTCGGAGAGCTGTTGGGCAGAGGTCCCTGGTATGCCTCAGAGACTCGAGTTAGGACCCAGCAGGCTGCACCCAGAAAGGGTTCAGCAGACAGCTGTCTTCGTAGGCACAGAGCTGGCTCAGTGCCCTGGTGGGTCAGGGCTGTCAGGGCTGCTGGAATCCTCAGCCGCTAGATGGGGCAAAGTGGATCTTCTCTGGAGGAGGTAGCATAACTAGAGCCTTAAGTTAACCCCACAGTTGTTCACATCACTACCCAGTACCAAACAAAACAACATTTTGAGGGGAATTCATATGTTTATCCTTTTCAGGTTCCTCTATCTCACTGTGAACGAAGAGGATCAGTTTTCCACCCAACTAGACAGCCAGACAGAGAAACCTCTTTTCAGAACATTGTACTGAATACCTACTATGTGCTAGTCATTGGACTTGCAAACACGAGCAAGACAGAGTCCCTGCCCTCCAGAACCTTCCCTGCTTTCCAGAAGCTCCTGAACCTTTTCTGCCTTCTAGAACCTTCCCTGCCTTTCAGAACCTTCTGTGCTTCCAGAAGCTCACTAGCACCTTTCTCTTTCCAGTGCATTCCTAGTGCTTATCTTATAGTAGAATTTCATGAGGTTAATTCACTTAATAACTCTAGAGAATTTTCCATGTTGTATATACTGTTCTTGGCTCGGGAAGTTCTTATTCATCTCCACGTGTGATAAGACTTTGGTGAATAAATGCACCATTTTATTCCGTGGATATTTATTTAGTTGTGTTTCCTAATTTTTGCCAAGAAATGGAAACAGCAGCAATGAAATTGGTTTTTATTTTTTTGGATCCTTAAGAAATAGGTGCTTTTTGAAGAATCAGGGGAGAAGTAACGCAAGACCCCAGAAGTATGCCAACATATAAAACCCCAAGTCAAAAGGTCAAACCACGCATTTGATCCCTCAAGTCCCCTGCTTGACCCTCTTCCAAGTGTACTTTCCTTCCTTTCATTCCTGCTCTAAAGCTTTTTAATACTTTCACTCCTGCTCAAAAGAAAAAAAAAAAAAAAAAAAAAGAAATAGGTGTGTGTTTTTTTTTGTTTTTTTTTGTTTTTGTTTTTTTTGAGTTGGAGTCTCACTCTATTACCCAGGCTGGAGTGCAGTGGTGCAATCTCAGCTCACTGCAACCTCTGCCTCCCATGTTCAAGTGATTCTCCTGCCTCAGCGTCCCAAGTAGCTGGGATTACAGGCGCCCACTACCATGCTTGGCTAATTTTTGTATTTTTTAAGTAGAGATGGGGTTTCATCAGACTGGTCTCAAACTCCTGACCTCAGGTGATCCACCCACCTCGGCCTCCCAAAGTGCTGGGATTACAGGCGTGAGCCACTGTGCCTGGCCAGAAATAGGTGCTTTTCATGAAGTGTGCCAACACACGGCATAATTAAAAAAAAATAAGCAAAAACAAAAACAAAAAATATTCCAAGCCTTGCCACAGGGCTTGGAAATAAAATGAAATAAAATCAAATGAAATAAAACAGAATGGATTAAAACCTGAAGAGGGACTAGGTGGAGTGTCCGGTGCGGCTCCTGCCAGTGCGTCAGCCATGGCGGCGGCTGCTGGGAAGGCTCCTGCGTATGGCTTTGCCATCCGGGACCCGGGCTTTGCTCTGCAGGGGTGGGCTTCTGAGCAGAGGAAGGCCAGAGGTAACCAGGTCCATGCACGTTTGTGTCTTTCCACAATGTCGGGCTTTTATGGATGCTTTTAGTCTCAGTCACAAAAGCCATGAGCTCCACAGGGTTCCTGAGGAGGCGGTTCTCCTTGGTGCTTCCCGGTGAGTCCGTGGTCGGAGACGGGGGCTCACAGGCTCAAGCTTCTCCGCGGGCTCTCGGCGTTGCAAACCGTACCCAGCCGCGTGCTGAGCCGGTATACACGTGTTACGGCGGAGACACGCCGCAGCAAGCCGGGTGACACTTCACATCAAGGAGACTGTGTGGGAGAGCGGGCTAGCAGGCCACTCGGGGGGCACGGAGGACACAGGGAGAGGCTTCAGTGGCAGAGCCGGCCGGGGGATCGGGACCCACCACGGGGAGACGCGTCAGTTGAGGGGTCGGAGCTGCCGAAGCCGCTTTCTCACGGTGCAGAGTCCGTCTGTGAGGATGGATGGTGGGAGAGGGTGCTGGAGGGCGCTCGGTTCTGTCCTCATCTGGTTGGACGCAGCCTTTATTATGTATTAATTTATTTATTCAGCAAAACACCTTGTCCCGGTTGGCAGAGCGCGGTGGAGTGTGGGGTGGAGGCCTCTGAGGGCGTCCCTTATACCCCGGCGCGCTGCTCAGGGCGAGGACCGAGGGCCCATGGCCAAGGAGCGGCCTCCAGAAGGACACGGAGCCCGGAAACGCGGGCTGTGGCTGCGCGCTCCCCGCCTGGCTGCCCAGGTCGGCCTGCAGGGGTTGGAGACGGCTCCGCGGAGAGCCTGGGGCCCGATCTCAGCCCGGCGCGGCGGCTTCTCGGGGCTTCCCCCTGCCTGGGGGAAACGGGTGGAGGACGCGCCTGAGGGAACGCGAGGGAGGAAAGGCCTGGCGGCCTTGGCGCGTGGGCTCTGGGCTCCCCCGTCTGCGAGCGGCACCCGCTGGCCAGGGCGCGGGGCTGAGGGAGGCCGGGAGGGCGCCGCCCCGCGCTCCTGTCAGGCGGCCTCGCGCCCCGAGTTCCTGTCAGGCGGCCTCGCGCCCCGCGTTCCTGTCAGTCAGGCGGCCTCGCGCCCCGCGTTCCTGTCAGTCAGGCGGCCTCGCGCCCCGCGTTCCTGTCAGTCAGGCGGCCTCGCGCCCCGCGTTCCTGTCAGTCAGGCGGCCTCGCGCCCCGCGTTCCTGTCAGTCAGGCGGCCTCGCGCCCCGCGTTCCTGTCAGGCGGCCTCGCGCCCCGCGTTCCTGTCAGTTAGGCGGCCTCGCGCCCCGCGTTCTTGTTGGGCAGCCTTGTGCCCCGCGCTCCTGTCAGTGGCGCCCTCGAGGCCGCTGGGAGCTGCTGCCTCCGTGTCCCCTCTTCCTGGTGAGGGGCCCAGCAGGACCCTGAGAGCAGGACCCTGAGAGCCGGACCCCTCGGCCCCACAGCCTGGCGTGCGCGAGCTCCTAGCCTTCCTCCGCTGTGACGTCCCGGGGAGGGTGTCAGGGAGTCTCGTCCGCCCAAGCGGGCGCATCTGGGTCTGGCCCTCGTCCTGTGAGGCCCACGTGATCTTTTTCGAGGTCGCTCAGTGGTGATTGAGTTCTGGGAATTAAGTCCAAACTCCCTGGTTTACAACCCAAAGCCGGTGCGTTCGCTCAGGGACACGGGGCCTCCCTGGGCCAGGAGCCTCCAGGGCACGGCCAGCGCCAGTCAACCCGTGGAAACGCTGCATTCCTATTGTCAGATGTATTCCCCTTAAAATACCTAAATTCCTGAGATTTCACATACATACATGTACAGTTAGTTATATGTGTTTTGAAACACATTCTTGCTCTGTCGCCCAGGCTGGAGTGCAGCCAAATAGTCACAGCTCACTGTAGCCTCCCATGCCTTGGGCTCCAGTGATTCTCCTGTCTCAGCCTCCCCAGGAGCGGGGACCACAGGCCTAATCCCTCACACCTGCTTAATTTTTGTATTTTTTGTAGAGATGGGGTCTCACTATGTTGACCAGACTGTCCTCAAACTCCTGGGCTAAAGTGTTCCTCCCACCTTAGCCTCCTGAAGTGTTGGGATTACAGGTGTAATCCTGTGCCTGGAGGAATATTTTTTAATGTTAGTAATTTTTAAAAGAAGTGTGATAGGAAAGTTTTTTTTTTTATTTAAACATTTTTAGTTACACACATAAAGATTTGGCAACTTTACATGTAGGTTACCCCAGTTTGTTAAAAAAGATTATTAGTCTGTGAAATTAAAAAGATAGAAAAAAATAGAAACCACTATTTTAAAGAATATTTCTGTAAAGTGTGATAGGTGAAAGCTGTTTGCTCCAGGAGTAGTTGTTTAGAGTATTTGTTATAAATCTCAGCTTTGTGTAATACAAGTCAGTCATATGATTTACCCCAGTATTTGAAGACCCTCTTTTCCTGCAGATTTCCTCAGTAGTTCAAAAAAAGAAAATCTACTCTAAAAGCTGTTTTTTTTTTTTCTTCTCCAAACCAAGGTCTCCAAAAGGAAGCATGTGATGTTCCTACCGCCTCTGGGAGTGACATATAAAAGTTTGGCTTCGCTATATTGTGTGTGAGCTTGGGCGGTTCATCTCCTTTCTCTGCATCTCAGTTTCCCCATTCTTGAAATGAGGAAGTTGAGCTAGATACTGTTTGCAGGTATAAAATTTAAAACATTATTATTATTATTAGACAGAGTCTCACTCTTGCCCAGGCTGGAGTGCAGTGGTGTGATCTTGGCTCACTGCAACCTTTGCCTCCAGGGCTCAAGCGATTCTCCTGCCTCAGCCTCCCAAGTAGCTGGAACTACAGGCATGTACCACCACACCCAGCTAATTTTTATATTTTTAGTAGATACGAGGTTTCACCATGTTGGCCAGGCTGGTCTCGAACTTGTGACCTCAAGTGATCTGCCTGCATCAGCCTCCCAAAGTGTTGGGATTACAGATGTGAGCCACTGCACCTGGGCAAAAGAGTTTTTAATAAAGGAAAGATAAGAGTCTCATCAGCTTCTGACTGTCGTTAGCACGTTGGTCATTTCTGTGTCCAGGCCAGACTTGGAGTTGGGATGGCCCGTGCCCCATCTTGCACACCTGGGCAGCAAGGAAGGGTGGGATGAGGTGAGATGGGGGTTCACCATTTGGTTTTCTCTGCCCCTCATCAGGTGTGGGGGGGTGCAGCCCCCAGTGTTCACTGGGCTTGATGTTCTCTCCCCTTGCAGAGTCCCTGACCATGCTGTCTCTACCCCTTTCGGCACGATGCCCGTACCCCTTCAGTCCGCTTGCTCCTCGAGGGCCATGTCCCCGCCCAAGACAGCTTTCCCCTGTGTTTCCAATCAGTTAATTAACTTGGCTGTTAATTGGGGACCTACTTGTGTTGTCCAGGGCCCAGCCTGGGCGTAGCACGTGGCAGGAACTTAATGAGTGGGAGCCGGAGGTCTGCATAGAGCCTGCTGAGTCTCAGCCTTGACATTTCACATCACTGTAATGAAAAGCCTTCCTAAAAATAATCTCTGCTTGCATCATGTCTAATAGATTCTGTTTGGAGAGTGGAAAATGCAATCGCAGGCACGGCTGGCCTCGTCAGGCCTGTTTGTCACAGTGACAGAATGGCCAGTTCTCCAGCCCAGCAAACGCTGGGATAAACACCATAAATATGTGGGAAGTGCACACAGGTGTGTGCCAGGCAGGTGGCCCGTGAGGGCAATGGGGCTTTCTCTAATGTTTGATCAGTCCCACATTCTAGCCTTTGTTAAGGATTGGCTATGTTAATGGGGACTTGTGAAAATGTAGATACTTAAATTAGAAGCACAGGGAGCTGTTCTCCTTACCTTCCTCCCCTTCAGAAAAAATGAAGAAGAAAATGAAAAATCCTTTCTCCTTTGGAGACTTTTATTTATTTATTTTTTAAACTTTAACAATCTTTTGGTTGGGCATGGTGGCTCATGCCTATAATCTCAGCACTTTGGGAGGCTGAGGTGGGTGGATCACTTGAGGTCAGGAGTTTGAGACCAGCCTGGCCAATATGGTGAAACCATCTCTACTAAAAATACAAAAATTTGCTTGGTGTGGTAGCGGCTCCCTATAATCCCAGCTACTTGGGACATTGAGGCAGGAGAGTTGCTTGAACTCAGGAGGTAGAGGTTGCAGTGAGCAGAGATTGTGCCACTGCACTCCAGCCTGGGTGACAGAGTGAGACTCTGTCTCAAACAAACAAAACAAAACAAAACAAAAAAAACCCCACTTTAACAATCTTTTATTACCAAACCCCGCGAAGGGTGGCCAACAGCAAAAATAGCATCTCTAACAAGATCCAGGATGGAGACCTTTAGAGGAGGGAATTCAGAAATTGAGAAAGGACTTCAGTTTCAAGTGTCCAGGGCTCCCTAGTCCTTTAAATGCCCAGTCACCTGCAGAGTACCTTTTGTGCGGTGCTTGTGGCAGGATGCCTGGCCCGGGGCTGCCAAGTGCCCGCTATGGGGCCTGTTTCCCAAAGCTTGTCCTCGGGAGGCTACAGTCAGCTCGATGGCTGAGTCTCTTCTGGAATTGCTCAGGAGCTAAAGCTTGGCCACTTCTTTTTTTTTTTTTGAGACAGTTTTGCTCTTGTCACCCAGGCTGGAGTGCAATGGTGCGATCTTGGCTCACTGCAATTTCCTCCTCCTGGGTTCAAGCAATTCTCCTGCCTCAGTCTCCTGAGTGCCTGGGATAACAGGTGCCCGCCACCACGCCCAGTTAATTTTTTGTATTTTTAGTAAAGACAGGGCTTCACCATGTTGGTGAGGCTGGTCTTGAACTCCTAACCTCAGGTGATCCACCCACCTTGGCCTCCCAAAGTGCTGGGATTATAGGTGTTAGCCACTGCGCCCGGCCAAGCTTGGCCACTTCTGATGTCAGTGGATAAAAAGAGTAATTTTATTGATTCTCAAAGTTATCAAAATTATCCATAATCTCAGGGAGAGATTTTTAAAGGGAGAGAAATGGCTGACACAAAGGAAAATATAGGTGTCCTAAATATTTAGAGGACAGTGTTGTGGGCTTAGTGTCAGGTGACCTGTGGAAAGTTCCTAAGAAGCTCCATGCCTCGGTTTCCTCATCAGAATATCCTGCATCTGGCAGAGACAATAGGCAGATCTGTGTTTGGAGATGTGGGACAGTCTCTAGACGTGCGGGTAACTACGGGAACAGTGCCTGCCTCCAGGGTTCCTGGGGGGCTTGCATGAGATGGTTTCTATGTCTTGTGTGTAGAAAGTAAGTTGGAGTCATGAAGTAACAGAGGGCGACTCCTGGACCCTTGGCGTCTACCGTGCCTTTGCTTACTTTCTTCCTGGGGATTTTCCCGTGCTTTGACAGTTGTTGAAGCCTGCAGATCCCAGACGGGAAGTTTGCCGTCCGAGTTAAGATTTCTCACCATTGAGCTGAGGCCCTGTTTGGAATTCTGAGCAAAGCTGCTATTTTGGGGACACGTCCACCTTTGTGCTCAGCAGAGGTGGTGTCCAGATGGCCTGTGGCACCTGGGGTTGAGATGACCAGCCACAGCCCAGAGCTGGCTCTGTCTCACCTCTCAGGATGAGAGGTAATTTGCAAAGTTCCTGGGAATTTGCAAAGTTCCCGGTAATTTGCAAAGTTCCCTTTGGTGTGGTTGTATTTAAAAGCTGCATATTTAGTTCCATTCTGATAATCTATGTTTATGTAGCCACAAATATGCCTGTATAGATTGCAGCTCTAAAAGTCAAATACGGCTGGATCCTGATACTCAGATCTGATGTAGCACGGACTGTGTCATGTTCCTGGGAACCTCATAGTTTTATAGAGCAGAAGCCTCCATGCCTTGTTTGTTTCATCCTTGCCTTCCTCCACAATACAATTTTCTGAATGGTGTCAGCATCCCTGGGTCCATGCATGGCTGGGATGACTTTTTAGAGTTTGTGTAAAGCCGTTACGTGGGGCAGGGCCTGCGCAGGGTCTCCCTCAGGAGAATGCAACTCTCATTAAAGAGCAGGCACACACCACAGGGAAGGCACGAGCCTTGCACATTTCTCCTTAGATTTGCACACATTTCTCTTTAGCTCCCAGCAGGGCGTCTGTGACCCTTCATTTTCCTGGCTGATATGGGCCACAGAGCCATTTCCTGGGCTGAGAAGGGATCTGTGGTCTGCCGTGCTGAGCTGCCCGCCCTCTGGCCTTACCACTGGCATTCTTTGCCTGTGCTTTAAATAAACATGTGTGGGTGAAGCTGCCATGCTGAGGGAAAGGGTCTAGATGGAGCTGGAGGGTGCAGTGGAAGGTGAGGAGTCAAGCCAGGTATTCCTGGGGCATGAAGGGTGGGCAGGGGGCTTGGGGGCTGGGGCCAGGGCCTGGCATGCACCCGTCTCCTGGCTCCCTGGCAACTGCCTAGCCCCGTGCTGCTTCGTGTTGGTTCCATGCTTCAGGAGCACTGGGATGGCAGCCGCACAGCTGGCCTTGCTGGTGTTGGTGATGGGGGTGGTGCCTGGCAGCCTCACGTCCTGGTGATGGAGGTGGGAGTCAGCTCAGCTGCTCACAGGTCGATTGGCTGTATCCATCACAAAATGTACAATTCTATTACCCCCAAATCCCACTTCTAGGAATTTTCCTTACAAACTTACTTGCACACATGTGCAAAGATGTTTGCATAAGCGTGTTCATTGCTGCCTTTTTTTTTGTCATAATACTCATTTGAAACAACTTGATTTTTCATAAGCAAGAGGTTAGTTAAATATATCATATTCACACCACAGAATATCCTGCAGCTGTTGGAAAGAATGAGGTAGGTCTTTGTGTGGAGGTACGGGACAGTCCCTAGACCTGTGATTAACAAGACGTATGGCAACAGTTAACTCAGATCCAGAGCTGGCTGTGCCCCCCGCAAGTGCTGCCCTAGCCCTTTCTTTGTATCATCTTTGTATAATTTTGTTTAATCATCCCAGCAGCCCCCTGATGCAGGAGCTGTCATGATGTGTGTTTCGTAGACATCCCAGGCACTGTGGCATCAGAGCCCAAGTTCTAACCACTTACTGGAGAACAAATCCAGGTGTAAGGAATGACCCCAATCTTAGAAATATATGCTATGCATAGATCCTATAAACAGAAAAGACCATTCCCTAAAAAATAGGCATCTAATCAAAGACCTCACTTGTTTCTTCACAATCTGAGGGATAAGGGGAAGGGAGGGAGACTGTGCCCCTAGATGGAAGGCCCCTCTCTTCTCCCCTCACACATCAGTGCTCATGTACTGCCACGCCACATGCCTGTGAGTCTCTGCAGAGGGTGTGCCCTGAGCTAACAAGGATGTTCAGATGTCCCCGGCGAGAGCTGCAGGATTCTTCATCCAACACTCCCATCGGGGTGGGCTGGGAGCATCTGAATGCTGTGTGATTAGCTCCACTAAGTGTTTGTTGTAATCAAGTTGCATTTCCACGGCCTTATATCTTGGTCATTTTTTTAGCTTGCACCAGCTGGGTTTTGGCACCGCCTCACCCAAACTTCATATTATGAGACATCACGGCCAACTTGCAAACTGCTGCAGTAATAAGACTTGCATTTTGTGATGCTTTTGTTCTCACTGACGTGCCGTATCTGCGTTCCACTTGGGTACTTCTTGCTTTGAACGAGAAGCACAAGGCTATTGGCGAAGTTGATGCTGGGGATCGGTCAGCAATTTCATATTTTCCAAGAAGCCATTTTAGGACCCTGGACAAGGTCTCGAGCTGCAAACTTGTGGTCCTGCCTTGGGAGAAGGCACAAATTTCCCTGTGAGGTTTCAGGTAGGACCTCTCTTCTTCGGTGGCACTGCACCAGCAGATACCTTCTTTGTCCGTGCAAGGCTTCGAGAGGCTCTATGTGGACGAGGCTGTGGCCGTGGTTGATTTCTCTGAAACCAGGAGGACCACACCCTGCCCCCTCAATGTAGGTTTTCCTGGGCCAGGAAACATTTGCTGTGGGAAACACTCCGCTCTCGGCCTCTGCCATGCACTAATGCTGGAACGGATGGGGACACATTCTGGTCTTTAAAGGGCCTGCACTCAGCATGATGAAGGCTTTGTTGTTTAGTTAATTCACATTGTCCATACATGGGATTGTTGAGCTGTGTCCCATTCTGTTGAGGTATGTGCCCCTGGGAGCGTCATTGATCCTGACGTGGCAAGGCTTCACGTATGATTCAGGCCAGCGGTCTTCCAAGAGCTTTGCCTTCACGCCATTATCACTCAACACACTCTCCTTCAGGCTCCCAAGCAAGCACACAGGGCTTCATGCACAATCAGCCTTGTGGCTTTCAAGTGCTAAATGGACTATTAATAATAGGAAACTTTAACATAACACTGGGTTTGTTTGTGGGAGGTGGAATGGGTGTCTTAATGCTGACAGGCCCTGGGTTTCGCTGCATTGATTTGCATTTCCTCTGCTGCTGTTGCCGCAGTTGATTCCACGATTATATTTTTCATGTAAAGGGCAGATGGAGGAGTAAGGCTATTTGCCCTCTTCCTGTTCTGGTCTGGGTGTTTGTCCCCGCAAGTGCATGTGTTGAAACCTAGCTCCTGACATGCTGGTGTTAGGAGATGGGGGCTTTGGGAGGTGACAAGGTCTCAAAGGTGGATGCTCCTGATGGGATTCGAGCTCATCAGTCACTAATAAGGCAGCTCCAGAGAGCTTCCTCGCCCCCTTCATGGAGTGAGACCATGGCGAGAAGGCGTCATCTATGATCCAGGAAGCAGGACCTTGGGATGCCGAGTCTCCTGGTGCCCTGCTCTCCGACTTCACAGCCTTCAGAGCTGTGAGAAATCAAGGTCTGTTGTTTCCAGGCCACCCGACCTGTGGCATTCTGTTACAGTTCCAGCTAAGACATTTCCTGACAGAGAGACTTCTCTTGGAGGTCATGAGATCTCAAAAGACATGTGTTCATTGGCCCCTTTGTGAATCTCTTCGCACGAGAGAGAGGCAGGTCTGCAGCTCAGTGTCTCAGCCCTCAGTGAGCTTCCTCTCAGTGTTCCTCTTCTTGGGGACCACGCTTGCTGGGCTGCAATGCTTCACCCAAATTGTGGTGTTCCAGGGCCACGGGCAGTGGGGATGGGAGGTAGGGAGAGCTGCTGCTACTGTGGGGGGTGGCACGGTCCCCCCTAGTGAGAGTTTGGTCCTGGTGTTGGCCCGGGCCATCTCCCCTGTCGGAAGTGTCTTGTCTTGCACAGGGACTGTGCACAGACCTGTGCTATGCTTTTGAGTCATTCAGGATTGTTAAATGTCAAAGTGCATTTTCTGAGGTATGTTAGACCCAATATTCTGCATTTCTGACCAGCCCTGGGGAGGCCAAAGCTGCCAGTCTTGAGGCCACAATTAGAGCATCAAGGTCTGAGTCAGTGCAGAAGCCAATGAATTATCAGAAAAAGTTTATACTTGCTTTAAAATAAAAAAAATTGAAATATCACCCAAACCTTCTGGTGTGTAACACCATTTGGTCTTTTCTTTAAAAAATTCCTTGTATTTGGTGAGAAAACATGCAGTTGCTCAAGGTCACCCATGTCCTGCAGAAGCGGCATTTTCCTCTTTACAGAAGGAGCCCCACACCCCCGAAGAGCTGTCAGGGGGATTTTCTCAGGCAGGGGTTTATCTCTTAGACCTGGGGAGACTTCTAAGGCAACGGGTGTTACAGAATTGTAATTTTCAAAAATACCTTGAAGTAGTAATGAGAATTACTGGGGTTATTACTTCTAGAATCATTGGAAATTCTGACTTCAAGGAACTATGAGAATTAAGTAATCTAATGTCCCGATCTACGTAATCTTTCTTAATCTTTGATATTTATTGACTTGATCAAGTATTCATCAAGATCAAGGGTGGAAGACTTCACTAAAATTAGAAACAGGGCTCCCGATTCCCAGGCCCTGCCCTTCTTGCCACACTAACAGAATAACCCTGTGCACATTCTGACATGTGAATGGGCCTTATTGACATGCATGGACTACAAAAATCAGATTAATCAACCGATGCCCAGTCACACGTGAAGGAACAACATATGGACAAGATTTCTCTTCGATGCAAGGCTGCGTTGCTTTAGGTTTTTTAACCTGTACCCTGCTGGGAGGATGCAGGTTAGGACAGCTGCCTTCTTTTAAAGCTGTTCAAGATGCAGTGTTCTAGTCATGTGTTTTTGGCAAACCAAATATCTTTGGCTCTAACTTAAGGAGTAACATTCACATGGTTGATGTCTGTTCTCAAAGGGCTTCATGAAAAGTGCCGCCCATGTGCCCCTGCTCATGGTGGGTTTCTGCTGAAGGTGAGGCGATGGCCACACCTGCCTTGTGAGACTGCCTGGGGACACAGTGAGGAACCGCCACACGGTCCCAGCACAGTCCTGCGCGCGGAGCGCAAGTGGTCACCGTTCTTACACGTTGTGTTCTCTGCATGTTGACACTTAGTAGGGTCTCAAAGAATATCAGTTCCACTTTCACCTAGCAGTCCAGCAATTCATGTAAAATAAGCAAACCCCCCATTTGTCCCCTAGCGAGGCCAAAACATTTGCCTATTACTCTAAGTGTTCGTGCACATGATCAGAAACTATATGAGGTAAGCGTTAAAACACGCCCACTTCTGGGTACATACATACCTGAAACCATCAGAAGTAGGGACCTGGACAGATATTGGCACATCCATGCTCATAGCAGCACTATTCACAATAACCGAAGGTTAGAAGCCACCCAAGTGTCCACTGACGGATGAGTGGTAAGCAAGATGTGGTCCATCCATCCACACGGTGGACTTATTACCCAGTCTTCAGCGTGCTACACCATGGGTGGCCTTTGAATACATTATGCTGAGTGAAAGAAGCCGGTCCTAAAAGGACAAATGCTGTTTGATACGAGGTGGTTAGAATCATCAAGTTCACAGGAACAGAAAGTGGAACGGAGCAGGGGAAAGGGGAGTCAGTGTTTAATCGGGACAGAGTTTCAGTTTGGGAAGGTGAGAAAATTCTGGGGATCTGTTGGAGAACAATGTGCATAGTTAACACTAGTGAACTGAAGATTTAGAAATGATTAAGATGGTACATTTTATTCTATTTTTACCACAATAAAAAAATATGTAAGTGGGGAGACAACAGCTGGGAGGATTTTGTTCTTTGACATCGCCTCACCTCTCAGATGACCTTCTTTGCTCCAGGCCTTCCAGGGTCCCTGGGACCAAGGACCCCAGTCATGAGGGAGGCAGCCTGTGTCCATTCTTTACTGACATCACTTCTGTGAGAGGGAGTGGCAGGGAAGGGGCCAAAAGGTGATGCAGGGGTGATTGCAGCCTCAGAGGGGGCCCTGAAAAGCTGGCTGGGTGAGGTATCCCCGCGGTCACCTCCTGTGGTCACATCTCAGAAAGAGGAACTGCTCAGGCTGAGTGAACAGCCTATCTCCTCTGCACCCTGCGATGGGACAGTCGTTATTTGCATTGGGAACGAATATTCGGTAAGAGGGAGGCAGGTGAACAAGTGGATGTGCCTCATGGTGGAGTCCTGCCAGGCTGGGTATTGGCCTGGAAAGATGGAAGTGTGTCATTCTGAGAAAGAAAAAGTCAGGTATCAAAAAAGTACATATGGTATGACCTCATATGGATCGTTAAAATATTACAGTGTTGAGAAGTATGAGTAGGATGTGGTGAATGCATTTTATTTTCTTCTTTTTTGCTTCTCTTTAAGAAAACATTGTGTAATGAGAGCAATAGAAATTCATTTTTATACAAAATATTTTTCTTATTATTCCTTTTTAAATGGGGTGATGAAGAACAAAGAAAACATGAGAGAAGAATCTCCTCCAAGCACTGGAAGAATTCCTGCTGGGGGCTCCGGGAGAACCATCACTTTGTGGCCTCTGCTCTGTCGGGATCTGGGGCCAGGCAGGGCCTCACTGGGTCTGGGTTTGAGAGTCTTCCTGGGCCTCTGGACCCCCCAGTGTGGCCCCTCCCTGCTGCCTGCAGACCTCGGGGATCCAGCTCCTCCTCATTGGAAACATGACATACAGTCATAATTAACCCCTGGTCAGACCTGGGGAGGTGTTAAGAGGTGAGAGGTCTCTGTCTTCTGGGCCTCATCTCTTGGTGTGCAGTCTGAGAGCCTCCTGTCCAGAGAAGCTGAGTGGCACCCCAGAGGAAGGACTCCAGATTACTGCTTTTTTTTTTTTTTTTTTTTTTTTAGTCTAGCACTGATGTATCCAGAAGGTGCAAGGACCTGCCTGGCTTGGCGTGAATACTGAGGAGAATCCTGCTCCTCTCTGTGCCAAATTATGGAGACTCTTTCCCTGCTCACCTTTGGGTCCCTCATTGCTGCACCTGTTTTTTCACAGGCTCCATTTGTGAGGACACACCTGCCTCTAGGTGCCTGGAAATATTGGCTGGAGGTACCCTGCCTCCGCTGGGCTCTGCAGGTGCCAGGCCTTCATGTCCCTGGGACCAACTGGTAGCTGGGCAGTGTTCACTGCTCAGCACCCCCTGGGGCAGCACCCCAGGGACAGTTTACAAATGGAAAGCTGCACCCTGCGGCCTCAGGATCTAAAGAAGAGAACATGGCCATAGGCTAGAGACAATCCAACAATACATTTGGAGTCTACTAATTTAGTATTTGTGTCTGGACTGAAGTTACCTGTTATGTAAGAATTATTTTAAAAGACCTGGGTGCAGTGGCTCAGGCCTGTAATCCCAGCACTTTGGGAGGCTGAGGTGGGAGGATTGCTTGAGGCCAGGAGTTCAAGACCAGGCTGGGCAACATAGCAAGACCCCGTCTCTCCAGAACAATGAAAAATTTAGTGGGGTGTGGTGGCTCTTGCCTGTGGTCTCAGCTCCTTGGGAGGCTGAGGCAGGAGGATCCCCCAAGCCCAGAAGTTCAAGGCTGCAGTGAGTAATGATGATACCACTGCACTCCAGCCTGGGCAACAGAGTGAGACCCTGTCTCTAAAAACAAAAATACAAAGAATTATTTAAAAGGGGGTCTATGAAGTTAACCAATAGCTACTGCTGGGAAGATGGCGAGGTGCCTTACCAGGAGAGCTTTATCAATAGTGCTGCTGGGAATGCTGGGAAGAGGGCGAGGTGCCTCACTAGGAGAGTGGACCACGGGGGTTTCCATGCACAGTCAGTGTGAGGGTCCCAAGTCACCCTTCCTTCCTGACCACATTGGCCAGCCCACTTCTAGGCGCCATGGTGCTCTGGAAACGCTGTTTTCTTTGAGCACAAACATCCCAGGTTGCTCACTAGAGGAGGAGCTTTAGAAATCTCAGTGGGTTCTAAAGGTGTGAGCCCAGAAATACAGCTACATGATGAGAAAGCGTAGGCCAGGAGGGGCCTGTTCTCAGCTCTTCAGAGAGAGAGGTGAGGAAACACACCCGAGCACAGCCAGCCACGGGTTGAGCGGAGCGGCGGCCGTGACCTTTGTGGACTGGCTGGCTTGTACCTGCAGGGCCAAGAAGCGACTGAGTGGACCATGGCACCAGGTTGGGGAATCAGAGCCCATGATGGCAGAAAAGATGTCTAACCTGCACGGGAGCTGCCTGACCTGCGCGGGAGCTGCCTAAACTGCGTGGGAGCCGCCTGACCTGCGTGGGAGCCGTCTGACCTGCGCGGGAGCCGCCTGCCCTGCGCGGGAGCGACCTGCCCAGGAGCGACCTGCACAGGAGCCGCCTGACCTGCGCGGGAGCCACCTGCCTGGGAGTGACCTGCACGGGAGCCCTCTGACCTGCGTGGGAGCGACCTGCGTGGGAGCCGCCTGACCTGCGCGGGAGCCGCCTGACCTGCGTGGGAGCCGCCTGCCCTGCCCGGGAGCCGCCTGCCCTGCGCGGGAGCGACCTGCCCAGGAGCGACCTGCACAGGAGCCGCCTGACCTGCGCGGGAGCCACCTGCCTGGGAGTGACCTGCGCGGGAGCCCTCTGACCTGCGTGGGAGCGACCTGCGTGGGAGCGACCTGCGTGGGAGCCGCCTGACCTGTGCGGGAGCCACCTGACCTGCGTGGGAGTGACCTGCGCGGGAGCCGCCTGACCTGCGTGGGAGCGACCTGCACGGGAGCCCCCTGACCTTCACGGGAGCCGCCTGACCTGCCCGGGAGCTGTCTGACCTGCGCGGGAGCTGCCTGACCTGCGTGGGAGCGACCTGCGCGGGAGCCGCCTGACCTGCGTGGGAGCGACCTGCGTGGGAGCAACCTGCTCGGGAGCCGCCTGACCTGCCCGGGAGCCGCCTGACCTGCCCGGGAGCCGTCTGACCTGCGCGGGAGCTGCAGTGTTCTCTGAGGGGAGGAGACCAGGTTTTGTTCTGTCTATCCTCTACCTATCTACCTTTGAATCATCTCCATTCACCTATCAAACATCTATTTATATAACTTATCTTTCTAATCTATCTTTTTTTTTTTTTTTGAAACAGAGTTTTGCTCTGTCGCCCAGGCTGGAGTGCAGTGGTGTGGTCTCGGCTCACTGCAACTTCCGCCTCCCAGTTCAAGTGATTCTCCTGCCTCAGCCTCCTGAGTAGCTGGGATTACAGGCATGCGCCACCATGCCCGGCTAATTTTTGTATTTTTAGTAGAGACGTAGTTTCACTATGTTGCCCAGACTGGTCTTGAACTCTTGACCTCAGGTGATCTGCCCGCCTCGGCCTCCCAAAATGCTGGGATTACAGGTGTAAGCCACCATGCCCAGCCCATCTAATCTGTCTTTACGTATCAATCATCTCTATCTATCTATCTAATCTATCTTTACCTGTCAATCGTCTACCTATCCATCATCTATATCCACCTATCAATCACCCATCTATATCTATCCTCTATCATTATCTATCATCATCTATCAATAGAACATAGTCTTTCACATCTAACAATGTCTATCAGCTATTTATCAATCATCTATATCTGTCATCTAGTCTATCCTATTAGGTATCTATCTATCTATCTATGACAACCATCTGTTGATCTAGTAAAGAAGGACATTCCAAGGCTGTTTTGATTTTGTAGGAGAAAGCCATTTGGTGCCAACTCTGTACCTAGTGAAGATTTATTTTGGGACGTGTGTTGTGTGTGCCATGTTGTGATTATTGTTCACAGATTTTGTTCTCTGCGAGCTGGGTCCTCGAAGATAGGATGTGTCTTCATCATCCTGAGCTTGCTGGAGCCTGTCTCTGTGGTCTGCCCCATGTAGATGGCCTGCTAGGCAGTGGGTGGAACCCGCTGGGAAGCAACACCGGCCACCTGTTGGCGGAAGAGCTCCCTTTACCCTTCAGATTCCTGACTCTGTTGCCAGCTTCTGTGAAGGGTTGACGGGCGGTGCTTGTGCCCCTAACCCTGCCATGGGAGCTGAGGGAGGCTGGGTCTGGGGGACAGCTGGAAGATGCCAGTTGAGTGGAAATATATTCTTCTGCCAAGGGCACAATGGGAGAGAACGAAAGGGCAGCAGGACTGCCCCTGTGTTGGGATGGGACATGGCAGCATGGGCCTCTTCCTGCTCCTGCCCCACCCCGGTGACGTCAGTGTTGGGAGGTTTCAGCGAGGAAGGCAGGGCAGAGCGGTGGGGGCGAGGGGCACCACTGAGCCGTGGATGCTGCTTGTGAAGGGAGAAGGACCTGCTTCGTTCGACGCTGGGCTTGGTGCCGCCTTCTCCTGGAAGGACCTGACTGGCGCCCTAAGGCATAAGCCCCAACCTCCCCCAAAAGGCAGCTGTGGGATCTTGCAGTCGTAAGAGCTGCTGAAGATGGAAAACTTGTGATTTCCTCTGGCGGAGTTGGTGGTTGCGTCGGGGGTGATTTGCAGTAGATCAGTCTGCTGAGCACCGGAGATCCGTTTGTTCTCACAGGCTTTCCTCTCATTCCACTGTGACGCTCTTTGTAATGTGCATCTGGTGTGTGACTCTGTATCAGGCTTGCTGTGGGCAGCCTCAGAATTCAGGGCCCAGGCAGGCATCTCCGGTGAGGGGAGTTGGTAGTCGAGGAGGGGCCGGATAAATTAAACGTGTCCCCGGGTCGTGGGTGAGGATGGGCTCAGCCTCCCTGGGAGGATGCTGGGGAGGTGAGGCGGCTGTCTGTGCTGCTGGCAGGAGCGAAAACCCCATCATATAGAGGGGGCTGCTGTTTGGGGCAGAGATGGCTATGTGCGGCATTCCAGACACAGCCCATGGAGGGGCTGTGCTCCTGCGCTGGATCGGGGGAGCCACATCCTATAGTCCCAGGCCACTGCGTCTTGGAAGGGCCTGGCCAGCAGCAGGCATGGGCCGAAGAACCCCACATCCCACTCCCCCTCCACCAAAAAGGGGGGCCAGAGCCGCGACTAGCAGAGTTGGTCTTTTTTCAGTTTTGTTCAAATCTCAAATATTCCTTAAATCCTCTGTGCCCAGAACAAGCTGAGAGCAATCAAGAACTTTAAAACCCAGTATTCAAGGCTCTACCCTCAGAAAATAAATAATGGGAGAGAGAGAGAGAGAGAACACAGATAAAGCAATATGAGACAGATGATAGATGGCAGATAGACAGATACTGATCAAAATTCTTACGCACTTTTCACCTCCCAGAGCAATTACCCTCTTTACCATACTGGTAAAGAATCATCAGTGCCCTAAACAACCAACCAATTGTCTCCTGGTTTCAGGACCAAGGACAGAAAACAAAGTTGCACAAGGACCCTCTCTGGTTTCGGTCTCTGTTTTTCTTGTTGTTGTTGTTTGAGACGGAGTCTCACTCTTTCGCCCAGGCTGGAGTGCAGTGGCGCGATCTCAGCTCACTACAACTCCGCCTCCCAGGTTCAAGCAATTCTCATGCCTCAGCCTCCTGAGTAGCTGGGACTACAGGCACATGCCACCACATCCGGCTAATTTTTTGTATTTTTAGAAGAGATGGGGTATATAAGGAAGGTTCTGTAGACTCCCAAGCCTGTGTGTGTGTAGACAGGGAAGGCAATGTAGACTCCCAAACCTGTGCCTTTACACAGCAAAATTGGTGTAGACCCCCAAGTCTATGAGGAAATGTGGTATAGACTCCCAAGCCTGTGTGTGTTTAGACAGGGAGGGTGGTGTAGACTCCTAAGCCTATGTGTGTACATGGGGAAGTTGTGTACACTGGGTTAGGAGCTGGAGCCCTCCAAATGCATGTGTTAGAGCCCCCCCGATGCAATGTGTTAGGAGCTGGGATCCCCCAAATGCAGGAAGGGTGGTGTAGACTCCCAAGCCTGTGTATAGACAGGAAGGGTGTTATAGACTCCCAAGTCTGCATATTTAGACAGGGAAGGTGGCGTAGACTCCCAGGCCTGTCTGCGTGTAGACAGGAAGGGTGATATAGACTCCTAAGCCTGTGCGTATTTAGACAGGGAAGGTGGTGTAGACTCCTAAGCCTCTGTGTGTAGACAAGGAGGGTGGTATAAATTCCCAAGCCTGTGCATGTGTAGACAGGGAAGGCGATGTAGACCCCCAAGCCTGTGTCTGTACACAGTTAAGGTGGTGTAGACAGGAAAGGTGGTGTAGACTCCCAAGCCTGTGTGTGTGTGTAGACAAGGAGGGTGGTCTAGACTCCCAAGCCTGTGTGTGTATAAGGGGAGGCTGGTGTAGACTCCTAAGCCTGTGCATATACACAGGGAAGGTCGTGTAGACTCCCAAGCCTACAGGTGTAGACAGGGAGTGTGGTATAGACTCCCAAGCCTTTGTGTGCTTAGGGAGTGTGGTGTAGACTCCCAAGCCTGTGTATATGCATGGGGAATGTGGTGTAGACTCCAAAGCCTATTCATGTATAGGGGAAGGTAGTGTAGACTCCCAAGCCTGTATGTGTGTAGACAGGAAGGGTGGTATAGACTCCCAAGCCTGTGTGTGTACATGGGGAAGGTGGTGTAGACTCCCAAGCATGTGTGTGTACGCAGGAAGGTAGTGTAGACTCCCAAGTCTGTGGAAATATACAGGGAAGGTAGCCTAGGCTCCCAAACCTGCAGGTGTAGACAGGAAGGGTGGTGTAGACTCTCAAGCCTGTGTGTGTACATGGGAAAGATGATGTAGATTCCCAAGCCTGTTTGTGTAGACAGGGAGGCTGGTGCAGACTCCTAAGCCTGAGTGTGTAGACACGGAGGATAGTGTCCACTCTCTAGGGTTTCTCTGGGGTGTCAGGAGCCCTTGGATGCACATGTCAAGTGCACAAAACGTGTGGTCTTTACTGGTTGTTGTCAGTGTATGTAGACACTTTTTTGATTATGAAAGTATCGGGCCATGCACGGTGTCTCACACCTGTAATCCCAGAACTTTGGGAGGCTGAGGTGGGCAGATTGCTTGAGGTCAGGAGTTTGAGACCAGCCTGGCCAACATGGTGAAACCCCATCTCTACCAATAATAGAAAAATTAGCAGGGCATGGTGGTGGGTGCCTGTAATCCTAGCTCAGGAGGCTGAGGCAGAAAAATCGCTTGAACCAGAGAGGAAGAGATTGTAGTGAGCTGAGATTGCATCAGTGCACTCCAGCCTACACTCCAGCCCGCACTCCAGCCTAGGCTACAGAGTAAGACCTAGTCTCTAGAGAAAAATTATTTTTTAAAAAACAGTATGTATTGCCAGAATGTATGGTCACCTTTCTCACTGATCTTCTCAGGCTGACTTAGGAGCTGGGGCCCCCCAAATGCATGTACTGGAGCCCCACCCCAATGGGGTGTGGTTAGGAGGCGGTGGCGGGGGCTCAAATGCATGCATTAGAGACCCACCTTGATGCAATGGGTTAGGAGGCAGGGCCCCCCAAATGCATGCATTAGAACCCTACCCCTGATGTGATGGGTTAGGAGCTGGGGCCCCCCAAATGCATGTGTTAGAGCCCCACCCTGATGCAATGGGTTAGGAGCTGGGGCCCCCCAAATGCATGTGTTAGAGCTCTACCCCCGATGTAATGGGTTAGGAGGCAGGGCCCCCCAAATGCATGCATTAGAACCCCACCCCTGATGTGATGGGTTAGGAGCTGGGGCCCCCAAATGCATGTGTTAGAGCCCCACTCCAGATGCAATGGGTTAGGAGCTGGGGCCCCCCAAATGCATGTGTTAGAGCCCCACCCTGATGCAATGGGTTAGGAGCTGGGGCCCCCCAAATGCATGTGTTAGAGCTCTACCCCCGATGTAATGGGTTAGGAGGCAGGGCCCCCCAAATGCATGCATTAGAACCCCACCCCTGATGTGATGGGTTAGGAGCTGGGGCCCCCAAATGCATGTGTTAGAGCCCCACTCCAGATGCAATGGGTTAGGAGCTGGGGCCCCCCAAATGCATGTGTTAGAGCCCCACCCTGATGCAATGGGTTAGGAGCTGGGGCCCCCCAAATGCATGTGTTAGAGCTCTACCCCCAATGTAATGGATTAGGAGGCAGGGCCCCCCAAATGCATGCATTAGAACCCCACCCCTGATGTGATGGGTTAGGAGCTGGGGCCCCCAAATGCATGTGTTAGAGCCCCACTCCAGATGCAATGGGTTAGGAGCTGGGGCCCCCCAAATGCATGTGTTAGAGCCCCACTCCAGATGCAATGGGTTAGGCAGGGCCCCCCAAGTGCATGCATGAGAACCCCACCCCTGATGGGATGGGTTAGGAGCTGGGGCCCCCAAATGCATGTGTTAGAGCCCCACCCTGATGGGATGGGTTAGGAGGCGGGGCCTTCCAGAGGTGATTAGGGTTGGGTGAGGTCACGAGAGTGGCTCTGAGGCAAGACCATGAGACAGCATCATGAGGGAGCCGGCTGCCCTCCTCCTTCCCACCATGGGAGGACACAGCAAGGCAGTGACCATCCGCAGTGGGAATAGGGCCCTCACCAGAGCCCAGCTGTGCCAGCACCCTGATCTTGGACCTCCAGTCTCAGAGCTGTGCAAAGCGAGTGTCGGTTGTTGCAGCTGCCCTGCCCTGGTGTTCTGCCACAGCAGCTGGTGCGGATGCCTCCCTCCTTCTCCAAGGGCCCCGTGCTCACGGTCGCTGCTGGTGGACAGGCCTCCTTGCTGCTGTGTCCTGTCACAAATGCCAGTTCTGGAAATGTGCTGTGTGGGTCACTCATGGATGGGATGAGGGCCAGATGTCCGTGGAGGGGTGAAGGAAAGCGTGAAGGGAAGCGCGACGGCCGCCTGATGGAGTTAAAAAAGCTTCACGACATCTCCCCAGTGTTGGATTTCAGCAGCAGGATTTAAAAACTGAAAAGGGCACTTAAAGACGAGGTAATTACACTTAGTAGGAAGTCAGGTCCCAGCCCATTAACGACGCCTATGAGAGAAATAGATTAGACATTGAAAAGAAAACAAAGCCACCTCAAGTAAAGGGGAAGTAAAATGAATAAACGAAGAGGCTGAAAGAATTCCCAGAGATGCAAAAGTCAAACCACCTGGGAGGCGTCTGGGAGCCTTTGGCTGAGTCCCGGGGAGCCTCGGGCAGGCCTGTGTTCTCAGTCATTGCAGTTAGACTCCGTGGGTGGCCACGCCAGCCATGAGTGGGCCTGTGGGCCTGCAAGCCCCTCTCCCTGCCCAGACCTCAGCCCTGTCTTAGGGGAGGCACCTGAACTGGGTGTTAAAGCACTCAGGCCTAGTGCCCTGGGGCCGAGTGCATGGCTTCCAAAAGTGACCAGTGGGGGATGTGGGAGCGTCCTGCTGCCCTCCATCTTGGATTCCCAAGTTTGTTCTTTCCCAGTGGCAGCCTCAGGAGATGTCCTGAGGGGCAGGCTGGTGGGGAGCCGGGCAGCATCCGTGACCCTTCCTGCGAGCGCCCCAGGCTTCCTATCGGGACGTGGGCTCAGCCGGCGGGCAGTGGCACCCGCTGGGGCTCCGAGGAGCTCGAGGAGTCAATCTCCACCCCGACGCCTGGTGCGCAGCCCTCAGAGCACAGGCTATCTCCGTCTTTCATTTTCAGAACGAGGCTGGGGGGCTCTGAGGATGTGTGCTCTCGTGTGAAAGCCCCATGAGGTCCTTCCTGACGCCGACCTCTCCCAGCCCCGAGTTCCAGGGGAGGACGGCGAGGCGCGGCACAGACCCCAGGACGAGGGCAAGGGGGAGGGCTCCCAGGCCTGCTTCCCTTTCGTGCTGGGTCTAGTGAGGTCACGTCATGCACACATAATCAACCCAAGTCATTTCTAAACTCTGGAAGTTCTTAATTGGGCTCTTGGGAGGAAGAAAGAGGAAGAGGAAAACTTGGAGGCCAGTTGCCAGCCCTCTGGGGACACGCAGTCCCATCTCACAGGAGGAGTGAATCGGTGTTCTCACGGGGTTTTCCGAAGCCATCTGTATTTCAGAGCTTTGTGATGGAGCGAAGTTCTTCACTCCCACTCCTGGGCTGATCTCCTCTGGGAGGCGGAGCTTCCAGCGTTTGGAGCGAGCCCTGGCTGCAGGCCCACAGCTGCTTCCTCCACCCTAGCGAGCGCTCAGGCGAAGCCCAGCCTCCGCAGGACTTTGCTTTTGCAAAGGAGAAGACAAAGCCAGCAGAACCTCCGTAGCTTACGGGAATTTTACCTATTCACGGCTGCCCCTTTGCCCTTCGCGGATCCAATGGACTCAGTGAGGCGCCATCCCTGGGGTTCAGGGGTTGGGTCTGAGTCTCGCTGCAACAACTGGGGGACCGGTGTCTGCCAGAATCCGCCCGGTGAACACAAAGCTCGCCAGAGGAGGCAGGGCACGGCGTCCACGTGGGGTGACCAGCTCCCCGTGGAGACCCTGTCCCCTGCCGAGTGGATGGTGGGGAGAAGCCACCACCGTCTGATTCACTTCGGGAGCTTTTATGTCAACTTCAGTTTCAAAAATAAGATTCTTTCATTAAAAAAAGCCTGAATCATTTATGCAGACAATGCTGATCACACACTCCCTTCTCTCCCAACATTCCAGCCCCATTCTTTCCCGCTTGTGCTCGCCTTGGATGACAAGAACCTGTGGAAAACCAGCTTCTCAGTCCTGCTCCCTCGGCCCCCCTGGGGTGGCACTGCTGTCTGCATCTCCTCTTTGGAGGGAGCTCAAGGCCAACTCAAGCGGGGGCCGGGCGTTGGCCGTGCCTGGGCTGGGGTGGTCTTGCCAAGGAGGAGATGGGTGGCAGGTCCCGGAAGGTCTTTCCTGGGAAAGGCTGTTGGCACGGACTGCGGTTCCTCTCCTTTGTGGAGTTGTGCCCACTCAACACATCATCCTGTAGAGCCCCCTCCTGCGCTGGCTTTGGTGGTCAGGGCGGCTCCTGCCTCCCCTCTAGAGGCCGCCTGGGTTCACGCTGGTCCCACACTGGGCTTAGAGTCATGCTGGGGGAGTGTGAAGTCACACGGAGAACCCGTGTTGTTCTTGGAGCATCCAGTGTATCTGATGAAAAGGAAGAAAACACCTTTATCATAAAAGGCACACAGGCATATGTTACAAAGAAGAGTGCAAAATTTACACTCATTTTTAAGAAAGAGAAAGTCATGAAGAAATGTGCTTGCAGCCAGAGGCTTTGGTGTAGGAAGAGCCCCCTGGTCATCGCTGAGGGGTCACCAAGAGCGGGCGGAGCTCGGTGGAGTGGCAGGTAGGAACGGGAGCATGGCAGAGCCCATGTGCACCCTTGTGGGTGGTGCTCTCTGGGGAAGATGCTGGAAGGCACTCAGTTTGACCAATGCCTTGAAAGAGAAAAGGAACACCAGTGACCTCGGTGGCAGTGCATGGACTGCATCTGCTAACATTTCCTGGTAACCAAAGACAATCGGGGCCGGCTGCTCTTGGATCAGGGCCGTTCAGAGCAGTGAGGTTTGCACACACTCCTCTTCACAGCGTCTGATCCACTAGGCACAGATGACCTTACATTGTGACAGGATCCTGATCTCCTCCAGTGCTGGTCCTGCTCCTCATCCACATGAGGAGAGCATGGACAATGCAGAGTGGATGTCGCCTGCTCCTGCTGGCCGCTTTGAGTCTGAGCCGAGGGTGCTGCATCTTGTGTGCAGATTCCTGGGAAACCTGCTGGATGTCTGGCCTGGAGGCAGGGATGGCACAGCCCCGGGATCCAGGTCCTCGGCCACCCCTGTGGGTCGGAGTGGGTGACCCCCATGGGCAAGGTCGTGCCTGGGAGTCACAGCTTCCCTGGGGGAGGTGGCTTTTGATTAATCTTCACAGTTTTTGCTGCAAACTGATACTCGGGCCAGCCCATGTCCTTGAGAAGCGTTGCCTTGATATTGGGACAGAGTAGTGCTCTTGAGTGCAGTGTTTCAGCCTCAAAGGCCAGGTGGACAGGGGGTACGGTGGGGGGCTGATGAGGCATTCCTGGACCCTGCATGGAAAGTCCCTTGTTTCTAGCATGAATCAGCCTCTGCTGGACCCACTGGAAGACCCAGGAGTGCCTCCCAGGGCTCCAGTCTCCACCAGCAGGGTCCCTGCCTCTTCCGTCCTCCAACAGGCCCCTTTCCCTTGAAGCCAGAGCTGGTGTTTTATTTAAAAATAGACGCAAAGAGCCCTGACCTCTGCGACAGCATGGGTGCGCCTTGAGAACATTATATGGAATGGAATAAGCCAGACACGGAAGGACAAGCACTGTGAGATCCTACTTATAGCAGCCCCTAGTGTTGTCAGAGTCAGCGACAGAAAGTAGGATTGGTGTTGCCGGGGGCTGGGGAGTCAACGTAGGATTGGGGGTGCCAGGGGCTGGGGAGTCAGCATAGGATTGGGGGTGCCAGGGGCTGGGGAGTCAGCATTTACAGGGAATGAAGTTCAATTTTGCAAAATGAAAGGAGTTTGAGAGACAGATGGCAGTGGTGGTTGTATAGTAGTGAATGTAATGAATGCCACAGAATTGTATATTAAAACTGATAAGATAGTAAATTTTATTTATGTTATGTGCATCTTACCACAGTTAAAAAAAAGTTTAGTTAAAAAAAACAAAGCCCCCAAAATCAATACAAAGAGAAGGCCACTTTGCCTGCACAGAACCCCTGACATCGGTGGTGTGGGGTGAGTGAGTCCGGGGGCCTTGCCTGGCAGGAGGGCCTGGGTCTGAGCTTCTTTCTGTGCCGCTCTGCCGTGAGCTCTGAGCTCTGCATGGGCTGGCTGTGGCCTCACCTGGGGCCCTGAAGATGGCTGGGCTGTCCCCCAGCCCTGCCCCAGGTGCCCAGGCTGCCCAGCATGCGTGAGATGAAGGCAGCCCCAGCGTTAACCATAAGCTGAGCCCCTCTGGAGTGCCCATGCCCTGTGTGTGCATCTGCATGTTGGTGCATACGTGAGACGTGCTCAACTCACAAGAACTTGGCAGGCGCTGGCCGTGGGGTGACCGGGCCTCCCAGGCTGGTGGCTGGGGTCTTCACCAAGGCAAGCATGGCCAGCTCTGCCTAAGACCCTCAGAGCACCTCTGTAGTCACCCACCTGCTACTCGGGAGAGGTGGCGTCTGTCCCGTGGCCTCCCACGTCAAGGTGTGGCCTGGGAGGGCAACAGGCGATGGGCTTCCCAGGGTGCTTCCTGGCTGCTGGTAGGGATTATCAGGAGGCCCCTTCTTCATGGCCCTATAGTCACTTAGACATCATGGCGCCTGGGACACTGGGGCTTGCCTCCGCCATGAGCCCCTTAACCCGGCGGCTGTGATTCCAGCACCATTCCGGGCTGTGGTGCCCAAAGGACTCTGAGAGCTCAGTCCGTCCTCCCCTGGGAGGGATTCCCTTTGACAGTGCAAAGCTGGCACCTCGCGGACCCCGTCTCCGGGCAGGCGTGAAGCTCAAGCTGCTGGAAGCGCTCTGTACATCCAGTGGAAGGAGCCGTCTCTGTCCCTGTCACCAGGAGTGTGATGCTGATACCGAGGCTCCCTGATGGTTCCTCTCAGGGAGGAGACAGGCCGTGTCCAGCCCCTTCCCCCTTCCTGTCCTCATGCTCACACCCAGTCCTGCTTTTCTGCATGACCCTTCACCTGGCTCACGTGTTTGTGGGCCGTTGGCCCAGTTTTTTTGGTCTCCAGCCCTTGCTGGAGGTAAATTACCTCCTGGAATTTTGAAAGTCCTGTAATTAAGATTTGAATTTTTCTTTCTTTCTTTCTTTTTTTTGAGACACCCAGGCTGGAATGCAGTGGCGTAATTTCGGCTCACTGCAACCTCTGTCTCCCAGGTTCAAGCGATCCTCTTGCTTCAGCCTCCTGAGTAGCTGGGACTACAGGCGCGTGCCACCGCACCCAGCTAATTTTTGTATTTTGAGTAGAGACAGGGTTTTGCCGTGTTGGCCAGACCGGTCTTGAACTCCTGACCTCAGGTGATCCGCCCACCTCAGTCTCCCAAAATGCTGGGATTACAGGTGTGAGCCACTGGGCCTGGCAAGATTTGAAATTTTGAAGGAAACAGGGACAGGATTGCTGGGGGTGACAGCAACTCCAGAGCCTCAGAGAATGTGCTGGTCACTTGCTCTGTGATTTCACCAAGACAAGACTAGTGGCCCTCAGCTCCTCATCAGCCACACGGAGCGGGGTGTGAACAGCCCCACCAACGATATTCCAGAATAGCGCAAACCCTGAGGCCCGCAGACGGCTGCTCAGGGTGGAAAAGTGACCCACATCCATCCTGGAAGGGTGCAGAAAAGGAAAGGAAATGTAGGGACAGTTCTACTTGAGAATACGAGAAAATGGTAACAGGAATAAGAAACAGGTATTTGCAGCTGCTGAGGAACGCATGTGGCCTCCCACTGCGTCGGTCTGCAGCACAGGACTGGTCCCTGCATGTGTGACGTTCTCATTTGGAGGGAGCTTCTTACAGCTTAGTGGTGAGAGACACAGGCAAACTGAAAGAATCTGTTATTTGTGCTTTTCTCAGATGAAGACTGGGTGGATAGAGGCTCTGAGGTTTTATATCTTCTAGTTCCTTTTAGCAAAAAAGAAAAAATCAGTGAAAGCCAGCTAAGTCCAGAAAAACCCGGTGGATGTTGAGGCTGGAAGTGAGAGCCAGCTCCCAGGTGTGTCCGAGCAGGTGCCTTCCTCGCCGTGGGTGGGGCTGGGCTGGAGTCAGGAAGGACCTGGAGCTTCCAGAGGGGGCCTGGGAGGATGCAGATCACCTTCCCATTTCTGGGCAGGAGCTCCAGATGCCCCTCTGCTCCACGTGGGGCTTTCCACAAGAAGAAAGAGTGGGTGTGATCACGTGAGTGTGAGCACCAGTGTGGGCAGGTGTAAGTGTTAGCAGAAAACTGCAAGGGAAGAAGGTGGCAGCGGCTTTGAACCCCAGGACAACAGGTGCCCCAGACAGTGCTTCTGTGTTCACTCTAGAGCAGGGGCACCCAATCTTTTGGTATCCCCGGGTTACACTGGAATAAGAATTATCTTGGACCACACGTAAAATACACTCACACAGTGATAGCTTATGAGCTTTAAAAAATTGCAAAAAAATCTCATAATTTTTTTTTTTTTTGAGACAGAGTTTGGTTCTTGTTGCCCAGGCTGGAGTACAATGGTGCGATCTTGGCTCACTGCAACCTCCACGTCCCAGGTTCAAGTGATTCTCCTGCTTCAGCATCCCAAGTAGCTGTGATTACAGGCATGTGCCACCACACCAGGCTAATTTTTTTGTATTTTTATTAGAGACAGGGTTTCACTATGTTGGCCAGGCTGGTCTCAAACTCCTGACCTCAAGTGATCCATCCGCCTTGGCCTCCCAAAGTGCTGGGATTACAGGCATGAGCCACCGCACCCGGCCAAAAAATCTCATAATGTTTTAAGAAAGTTTATGAATTTGTGTTGGGCCACATTCAGAGCCATCTCGTGGGCCGTGGCCTGTGGGCTGGATACGCTTGCTTTAGAGTCAACGTTGCCGTTCCTGTTTTTGGGTTCATTGGCCCAGTCACACCGGGTAATGATAGTCTGTTTTGGGGAGAGGCAGATCATGCGGGCAGAGTGTGGACTGGGTTCTGGCCCCTCCCAGGCGGGTGTACATATCCCCCTCCACCGGGTGCACTCCTGAGCGTGGGGCACTCACCGCCTCCTCTGCTTCCTTGCACAACTCTGGTGCCGTGCAGAGGGGCAGAGCCCAGAGGAGCTTTCCCGGCCAGTTGGGGCTGCCCTGGTTTTTGGACCCTTTGGAGGGAGGAATGCCCAGTGGCTCAGTCCACCCACAGTGCGGAGCTGCTTCTTGAGGGTTGCCTTGTGGGCAGGGGCAGCCTGGTGCAGAGGCAGCTTAGCCGGGAGGCTGACCCCTTTCCTTGTCCTGGGCTCCGAGACCCAGACAAGATCCGGTCTCAGTAGATTTTTGTGAGGAAAGAGATTGACTCAACTGTGTGTGTATTTTGACAAACTAATTTTAGAGGGTAGATGAAATGTCTGATGAAACCTTGACATGGAATTAGCCAATTTTAAGAACATCCACTTACTACATGTTCAACGAGGCCTCACACATAAATTTAACGTGGTTTTGGAAAATGCAGCACTTAACATAAGATCACATTTTTATCTGTATGTCCCAAAGTGCAAATATAATTTCAAATGTTCTGCCATCTTGGTAACAGTTTTTTTACATTATGCAGTTACCCTCAATGCTGTTTTTGAATTACATGCCAGAGTGTTTTTAGTTACCACAAGAAGGAAAACAAAGTGCAAAACTGAATTGAGCTACGTGTGTGGCAGACAGGCCTCCTAGAAGGCTCTGCAAAATCCATCCAAGGACTAGAGGGGCACAGCCCTGCTGGGAACAGCCGGCGGGGCGGCCGTTGTGGGTGGCTGAGCTGATGGCGGCTTCCCTCCGGGCCTTCCTTCTTCCCACCCACCTTCAGAGCCTCGGGGTGGGGAGGGTTGGAGGCAGGTGTGTCTGGCGTATTGAACCCACTAAGGTGAGCTCCGTGCTCGGGGGTGCTGTCTGCAGCCACATCCTCATTTCTTTGGGCCTCAGTTTTGTTGTTTGAAAAGCGAATGGACTGAACAAGAGCAGCCTTTTTAAAGCAGAAGACCTTTTCTTCAAATGAAATCTGATAAAGGCATTCATTAAGAAAACTGTGGCTAGACTATTTTGAAAATAAGAGTTTCTAACCTTTCCTTATTCTGACCCAACCCGGCGCATGACATTCCCTGTCTTTGGGGTGCGGTGAGGACGTGGGAGCTGAGAGCTGGGGCTTTGTGGTCTCTGCGGCTCCCCCATCTCCTGATGCCCTTTGGAGCTCAGAAGTCCAGGCATTTTGATGTCCAGTAATGGGCTGGCTGTTCCGTAGACAGTGGGCTTTGGAATTCCACAGCATTGCCCTGACAGATGGGAAAGGAATCCTCCTCTGCAAACAGAACCCAGGGACATGGACTTGCTGTTGACCCACATCAATGTCGTAGAAAACTTCCCTTGTGAGTATTTGACAAACTCAGAAACAATTTAATATTAGAAGGAGAGGAAAAAATTGCTTGCAGAGTTTTTGACAGAGAGGGAGCTCACTTGCTTGGGTTGAGCGTTGCTCCGCTGGGAGAGGGATGGACGCTGCTGCAGCCTCTTCAGCTACATTTAAAAATGGCGCTGGGCACATCCCTTCTGCGCTTTGGTTCCTTCTTTCCCATAACTGATGCACTGAAGAATTTTGCATAGCTTTCTTATGTCCCAGTAAGAGTAGGAAATCAATTTAAAAAGGCCAGGCACCGTGGCTCACGCCCGTAATCCCATCACTTTGGGAGGCCGAGGTGGGCGGATTGCCTGAGGTTAGAAGTTCGAGACCAGCCTGGCCAACATGGTGAAACCCCAACTCTACTAAAAATACAAAAAAATTAGCTGGGCATGGTGGCGTGCGCCTGTAATCCCATGTACTCAGGAGGCTGAGGCAGGGGAATTGCTTGAACCTGGGAGGCGGAAGTTGCAGTGAGCCGAGATTGCACCACTGCACTCCAGGCTGGGTGACAGAGCAAGACTCCATCTCAAACAAAAAACACAAAACAACAACAACAAAAAAAGAAGGGGCTGGTTTGAATTAATGAAAAATCTAGAAAACTCATGGTTTTATTTTGTTAAAGACTGTAACTCAAGCCAGATAGTCACATTGTCTCTTCTTCCTTAGGGATCTTATTTGACAAATATATAGAAATGTTAGTAATTAGCATATCAATTGGCAGTCTGTTAATTCATGGTTGTAATAAAGCCTTGCTGTTTTCTGAAGTGAGCTAGGCCAGTTTACTTCATGAACAGACTTAACAAGCCTCATGCTAGCCAGTTCTGAGCTCCCTGAATTGGAAGCAGGTGTGATGCGCATGCGTGGTGCTCTGCAGTCTCTCAGCTTCCCCAGCGGCCTTGGCCCCTTCTCCTCTGATACTTCCCCTTTTATGCGTCCGCAGCCCTTTTGGGTTCTGAGCTGCGGCAAGCTTTAAGCAAGTGTTTTAATTTTCTTTAGTTCACTTAGCTAAGTCTTCAACAGATTAACTAACGTTCGTACCTTGGTAGAATTATAGCCAGATTTTGCAAAGAGCTTGTGAAATGACAGCCAGATGGCTGTGGAATCTGAATATTCACTGCTGAGAACCGAAGCCAGCTTTCCTACTATGAAGATGTTCTGTGTGAGCCACACCTTGCCCAGGGTGGAAGTGATGTTTGTTTCAGGTCCACAGACGAGGGAGAGGACGGAGCCAGTGGACCCTCGGTGGCAGTGTCTGGTGCAGATGTGGGCAGGTAACCGGGTGGAATAATGCTTGCTTTGCTGGCATTTTGGCCTTAATTTTAGAAAACAACAAGTTAGGTTTGTAGGGCTCAGGACAGGTCAAAACTCAGTGCACTAAATGCCACCACAGCCCAGAGTTCTGAGTGACAGTTCCAAGCACGTGCTGATGATCAAAGCCCTAGAGAAACCAAAGAATTTGAATGTCCCTTTGAAATTTACAGCAAAAAATTTACCCTATGTCTTCAAGACAAACATGAGAAGCACCGATTTATGAGGTGCCAGGCACACTAGTGTTTATGAATACTTAGATGATTTGTGGCAAATAGAAAGGCCATAGGCTTCAGAATAGACCTGGATTCAAATCCCAGCATTGCCAATTAGCACCTGTGCAGCCCTGAGCAGCTCACTTAACCTCTCCGAGCCTCAGCTGCCCGTCTGCAAAAAAGTGGATTCCTATCCTGCAGGTGGTAGTAGGGATTAAAGAAGGTAACTTGTGGGCAGCACCTGTGTGCTTGGCGCTCGGTAAATACTGGACACGTGGCACACGTTGTTACCAGCCACTGGGGCACATTGGCCTTGGTGACCTAATGGAGAAAGCCAAACCGAAGTGCTAACCCCACAGGTCGATGGAGGCCCCGAGAACTTGTTGGTTCTTCCACACTGAAGGAAAAGCTCATGGAATTTTAAGGGCAGAAGAGACCTTGGCGGTGGGAGGTGTTAGAGCTTCCTCCATGCAGACACACACGGTGGGCCCTGGGGCGACCCCACCCCTGCCCGAAGCCCCAGGGTCCCTTGTGGTCTCGTCTGGATGTGGGGTGGTGACGCTCTGCTGTCCCTTTGGAGGGTACGCGTGTTGGGGGCATGGGTGGGAGCAGAGCCACCTCCAAAGAAACCCCCCCTTGGCCATGTGCTTTCCTCCCATGGAGCACAGGTGGGGGGCCCAGCCTGGGCTCCTCATTGCCCCCCGAGACCCAGCACGTCACCTCCACATTTATAGACTCTCTAGCTGGGCCCAGCCATGGAGCCCCAGAGGCTGGGGGCTGAGCTTGTGCAGCCCCAGGAACCTTAGCTCTCCAGGGCTCCTCTGGCCCGAGGGAGGGGCTGACAGCCCTTTTTGTTAAGGGCATTGACAGTGACTTCTGGGCAGGAGACCCTAATACGCTTGGAGTAAAAAGGGAGGGTGATGCCTTGGTGGGCCCGAGGCTCCTGGGAGCCCCCGGCTGCAGAGACAAGAACCATGAGGAAATGCAGAGTGAGGCCCTTGGCTAGCCAGGGCATGGGACCCGGTCCCTGCCTGTGTGTGACTGCAAAGGCCACTCAGGCACCCGCTGCAGCAGCCACGTGGGGACACTGACCAGACCACACAGCACCAGCCTGTCCCAGCCAGTCCCAGCTCCAGGCTCACCGTATGTCCCCAGCCGTCACCAGCTCCAGGCTCACAGTATGTCCCCAGCTGTCATCAGCTCCAGGTTCACAGTGCACCGTCCGGTTCCAGCCGTCACCAGGTCCAGGCTCACAGTATGTCCCCAGCTGTCACCAGCTGCAGGCTCACAGTGCAATGTCTGGTTCCAGCCGTCACCAGCTCCAGGCTCACAGTATGTCTCCAGCAGCCACCAGCTCCAGGCTCACAGTATGTCCCCAGCCGTCACCAGCTCCAGGCTCACAGTGCACCGTCCGGTTCCAGCTGTCATCAGCTCCAGGCTCACAGTATGTCCCCAGCCGTCACCAACTCCAGGCTCACAGTGTGTCCCTCAGGACCCGGGACTCGGCGCTAGACCCCCAGAGTGAGCATGCTCCAGCGTAAGGCTCCAGGCCTTTCCCTCTCGGAAGGGCCACCCTTTAGAAGTGCCTGCTCTCATCTGTCCTGGAGGTTATGGCTGAACCCACACCAGGACCGTCACTCATTCGAGCTCCCTGGGTTTGCTCCAAGGCTGTGCTGTTGAGACCACATCCAGGACAGGAGTCCGGTGCTGGGCCAGGGTCAGATGTTCTGATTTGCAGGGAGGAGCCACTTGCATGCATTTCTCTGTGGAAACAAAAGGCTTGTTTTTGAAGGCAGCAACCCTAAGGATGTTTAAAAGGCAAGTGGACAGTTTTGGGGGTAAACCTATTTAATGAAATGCACACAGCCAATATTGCTGTCACTTGTGTCTTCAGGTGCCTAGAGGGTGAATGTGATATATAGCAACTCAATATCTTAGTGCATTTAAATATACATTTTAAAAGATTCTCTGACTCATTGGAATTCATAGTTCCATTTTTAGATGAAATTGAAGACATAGTTCAGGGAAAATGGGACAGTTACTTGTTTGTTACCAGTGTGGTCGTTGCAGGCTGTGCTGGCTGACACGGGGGGCATGGCTTTTCCCTGAAACACCTTGGAATCTGCAGTTGTCGTTCCCTCCAGAGCGCTGAGGGGTGAAGGGAAACCCCTCCATTTTGGATTTGGAGAGCTGAGCCCTGGGGGGTTCGTGCTGCCTCACTTCCAGCAGGTCCTGGGACTGGGCTGGGAGTCAGACCACCCCCTGCCCACCTGTGAGTTTGGGTGGGTCGTGTCTTCGTTCCCTCATCTGTGAAGTGGGAATAAAAAGCTGAGCTCCGGGGCCTGTTGTTGGGGTTACGAGGCTGCGAGAATCACTGGAGTCAGGGCCCTGCACGAGGCAGGTGTTCACGGACCTGAGTTCCTCTTCCCGCCCCGTGGTGCCGCCTGCTTTTGGGATGAGGTAGTGGCTGGGGTGTCCGTAGTGCAGTGCATGGGAAAGGGCTCAAGGCAGTGGAGGATGGGAGGCCACTGTCAGGTGAGCGCCCACCTATTCTCAGTGCCTAGGGCGCTGGGATGCGTCTCTGCAGGTCCCATGGGTGGGCTGGGGCACTTGAGACGCCATGTGTGACGGCTGGGAGAGGCACACACGCATTATAGAAGCCACAGAAATCACGACCCACGGAGGCTGCGCTTTTTCCTTGGAAACTTGCAGCCATAGCCTTGGTGGTAACAGGGACAGAAGCAGCAAGTAGACACACGCTGGAGGTCGCCTGCGAGTGGATTCCCAGAGGGACACGCCGCGCAGGGGTGAGGGGCAGTGCTGGGAGGAGAACCACTGGGGTTAGTGTTTGTGAGGGAGCGCAGCGTGCGCCAGTCACCGGACGAGCAGGTCTCGAAACACTTTCCGAGATGCGGTGCACAGACCTGGCTGTGGGCTACGTCGAGTATGAAAAGTGTCCCCACATTTTCCAGAAACAAAGCCACTTACAGGGGGCCCCTAAAAAGGGGCACTGATTCTAAAGGTGCACGAGCTGTGCTCTTTTCCGCCAGCGTCCGGAAGAGAGCTCCACAGGGGGACCCTCTGTCCCTGTGGTGGTCTACTCCTTCCGTGCTTGGAAAGCCAGATTTTGCTTCCAAATCTAGAAGAAATGAGTAATGAAAAAAAGTAATGTTTTCTCTCACCAGCTCTAAAGTGATGGCTTTTCAGCATTTTAAAATGCAGTTCTGCTACTAGAATTTGAAACAACAAATTACATTTATGAGGTCAAGGTGAAGCTAGCAAATATTACAGGGAAAGGAACATTCATAAATAAAGATGAAGTCATTTATCAGAGACCTAAATAAGAAATAGGCTGAAAGCGCTGGTGAGATAAACTGGTAATGTAAGGGTCATTTAGCCTAATGTTCACATTTATATGCAAGGAATCGAGTTTGCAGCACAGTCCAGGCTCGTTGCTGGGCTGGCAGATGAGGCCGGGTGCTCTGCGGGGTGCCCACCCTCCACGTCCTGCTCTGTGTCCCACAGGTCTGTGGGTCCTTTGACCTCTGTCCTGACTCACCTGCCTCTGGCCCCTGGTCTGCTGGTCTTCTCTGGCTGAGTGGAAGGGAGCGCAGCTTCAGAGCACCTTTTCCCTGTTCTGAGGCAGGAGAATGGCAGAGGGAGCTGGAGCTTGGATAGAGACGGCATGTGGACTGCACTTCCTCCCTGGCGACAGCCCCCGCTGGCCTGTCCTTGGGCTGCAGCTCACTGTTTCCTGACAGTTGACTCTCATGCATGACTCTGCTTCCTCGTTTGGGCCTTGGGTGCTAACGACGACATTACTGCTGAACTAGAGAGCCTCTTCCTGTGGTTCCTTATGCCTGACCCTTGCCCTTGTAAGCCATCCCTCTCCAGTTATCCTAATTTGGCTATGCTATTCATCATAGTCCGCTCAGGATGCTATAACAAATATGCTGCAGCCTCGGGCTTAAACAATGGATGTTTATTTTTCACATTTCTGGAGGCTGGAAGTGTGGGGTCAAGGTGCCAGCAGACTTGGTGTCTGGGAGCGCCTGCTTCTGGTTTGCAGAGGCCTGTCTTCTCACTGGGACCTCACAGGGGCGAGCAGAGGGTGGGCTCCTGAGTCTCTTCCTATAAGGGCACTAATCCCATCCTGAGGCTCCACCCTGATGGCCCAGTCATGTCCCAGAGGGCCCTCCTAACACCATCACGTAGGAGTTTTGGGAGGACTCACACATTCAGTCCGGGGCACAGTCTGTCTCCACCCGTGTCCTACTGACAGATGTTTGCTCAGTTGTTTTCCTGAGTCCCGTCTTATTGATGGTGGGCTGGGAAGGCCCTTGTGTCTTCCTGAGTCTTGTCTCAGTGATGGCAGGCTGGGAAGGTCATTGTGTCTTCCTGAGTCTCGTCTTGTCGATGGTGGACTGGGAAGGCCCTTGTGTCTTCCTGAGTCTCATCTCGTCAATGGTGGGCTGGGAAGGCCCTTGTGTCTTCCTGAGTCTTGTTTTGTCAATGGTGGGCTGGGAAGGCCCTTGTGTCTTCCTGAGTCACATCCTGGTGATGGCTGCCTGGGAAGGCCCTTGTGTTTTCCTGAGTCCCGTCTCGGTGATGGTGGGCTGGGAGGGTCCTTGTGTCTTCCTGAGTCCCGTCTTGTTGATGGTGGGCTGGGAAGGCCCTTGTGTCTTCCTGAGTCTCATCTTGTCAATGGCGGGCTGGAAAGGCCCTTGTGGGGTCTTCCTGAGTCCCATCTGGGTTATAGTGGGCTGGGAAGGCCCTTGTGTCTTCATGTGTGCCTGGTGCACAATAGACAAGGCAGGGCAGCACTTACTTAACTTCTTATTGTTTATTTTCTTGAAAACATCATCAAGTTTATGAAACCAGGCAAAGTTTCAAATCTAAGACAATCACTTTCATTAGGCAAGCCTCTGTCTAGCCCTGTCTGGACCCAGAGGAGGAGGTGATGATTTTCAGCAAAATTTAAAGGGCATTTCAGACCTTCTTTATTTTAGTTTTCATGTTTTATATTTTTGAATTTTAATTGATGGGCTTAATGAGATTTGGGGCATTGCATCGCCAACATCCACAACAAAACTAAATGGAAGGTATGGGCTGGAGTTGTGGTTGCTTTGTGTGGTTGTTTTGAGTGTTTTGTGTGGTTATGTGTGGGGTTCTGGTTAGTAAGGTCCCAACCTTTTGGATGTGAACTGAAATTTTATTTTTCTTCATCTTATCTAGTATGGAACCAGACTTTTAGATTACTCATTTTTGAAGTACTTTTGCAGATTTTAAAAATAAACTGGATGGAAAACTTAGACATTTTATAGAAAATGAAAGAAAAAATCCCAAATATAATCAAGTATAGCCGCTATATTAAGATTTACTGTGTTTCCTTCCAGTCTTTTTTTTTAAACACTTTATGTAAAAACAATCATGGTTGAGGACATATACACACTCTGTATTCTGCTTTGTGTTGTGTACACAGTTGACCAACTAACTGAAAAAACTTTATTGCCTAATTTCTAATGGTTGCCTATTAATTGTTTTTGTATGATTTCAATAGCCACCTGAATGCTACAAGAAGTCCTCAGTGCCATGGTCTGACCCCAGAGAAAGCCCCAGCCGCTCCCCAGGTGCTCTAACAGGCAGTTGACAAATAGTCCAGCCGCAGAAAGCAGGATTCTGACACAGTTCTGTATCAGGAGAACGAAAACAGCACAGATTAAATGCAGGTACCCTCCCATTGCAGGTTCTTACCATGACCCAGTGAGGTGGGCATTTTAAATCCCCAATTTACAGAAAGGAAAAACAAGGCTCAGCTCATGTAAGAAACTTACCCGAATTCACGCAGCTGAATGGGGAGGGAGTGAGCATTGACATTAGGTGTGGTTGGCTCAAAGCCCACAACTTCCCTTGGTACTGAGTAGTTAAGAGTATCTGAGATCAAAGCTGCTGTTTTCTTCGACCAGATTGTGGAAGGAACAAGATATGCCTTTGCTACAGGGTAACTCAGAACTTCAACACTTCCTTAGATTACATGAGTAACAGCCACAGAAAAGAATACCCCATGGAATCTGAGAATCTGACATTCCCAGGCTGGGAGATCATTTGGGAGGCAATGCAGGAGGAACAGAGGCTTTGGAGGTGGCTGGTCTCTAAAGATGTTGTGTGAAGTGCTCCTTTCTGCGAGGGCATACTGAGGTGTAGTTCTGGGGAACACTGAAACGCCTGCCTGCTGACGAGGCTCGAGGCAGGACTTCCAGACCCCCACCTCACTGTCTCCCGCTGCGTTTCCCACCCCGCCCTCCCTGGCTGTGCAGGCTGCCCAACGTGCAGGCGTCGTCTCTGCTGATCTAGCAGGATGTTATCTGTCGATGAGCTGCCTGGAGCCAAGAAACATATGGAGAATGTCTCGTCTTCAGAGGGTCTGCACAGCCGAGGTGAAACATGCCCGGGCAGATGGCCACTGTGTGACGTGGTAGGCTAGCTTTGGCCTGGGTGATGGGGGGAGCTTCGCAGAGATGTGTCTTCAGGAGGGACTGTGGTGGACAAGCTGAGTGGCAGCTCCATTGCAAGATGGATGGAGGCTCTTGGGGTACGGCAATGAGGGCAGCAGTTGGGGCAGAGTCGCAGTTCAGACATCCAGCCAGGCCTGATCCCACTGCGTTTGGGAAATGAAGAGCAGCACACAGCTGTCCCTGATGAAGCCTGTGGCATGGGTGGTCACAACCTGCACCCACAGCCATCCCTGACAGAGCCCAGGGCATGGGTGGTCACAACCTGCACCCACAGCCATCCCTGACGGAGCCCAGGGCGTGGGTGGCCACAACCTGCACCCACAGCCATCCCTGACGGAGCCCGGGGCGTGGGTGGTCACAACCTGCACCCACAGCCATCCCTGACGGAGCCCGGGGCGTGGGTGGTCACAACCTGCACCCACAGCCATCCCTGATGGAGCCCGGGGGGTGGGTGGTCACAACCTGCACCCACAGCCATCCCTGACGGAGCCCGGGGTGTGGGTGGTCACAACCTGCACCCACAGCCATCCCTGACGGAGCCCAGGGCGTGGGTGGTCACAACCTGCACCCACAGCCATCCCTGATGGAGCCCGGGGCATGGGTGGCCACAACCTGCACCCACAGCCATCCCTGATGGAGCCCGGGGGGTGGGTGGTCACAACCTGCACTGGCCAGTGGAGGCCCAGGGAGGGTAGCCCCTGCATCTTCAGGCAAGGCATCCCCAGCAAAGGCAGTGGTGGCTGGGGAGAGAGCAGCTGTGACGGCGGCACGGAGGGCCTGACGTGCGACTTTGGGATGTACCCGGAGTGGGAGCTGTGTTTTCATGGTGTTCATTCTGCATCCACATCTTCAGAGGAAATCCCCGAGGCATTGTGAGCATGTCCATCAGGGCACCCTGGAAAGCTTGGTAAATGCTGTGTGGTGGCGAAAGGATGTCCGTTATAGGTGAGAGCTTCATCGATTGATGGAAGATTGACGGCTCGGTGCCTCAGGCTAGAGCTTCTGTGGTGTCCACCTGGTGCAATGCAGAGGGCTGGGGTCAGGACGGTCTCTGCGGGACGTCCCCTCTGGCCCCTGGGATAGGGACTCCTCGTGTGTTGCAGGGAGACCCATCACGCAGGACAGGGTCCTGGCGGTGCCTCCGGGAGTGGACATAGGTCTGTCTGGCTCCTGATGGCTTCCTAGCACTCCACGTTGGGCCACTCAGTGGAAGGCAAAGGTGCGATCTCCTTGGATGGTTTGTGTCTGGGATTTGCAGCCAGATGCGGAGGGTCCTAGAAATCTCCATTTCTGAGCTTCTTGCTCAACAAGTGAGTTTGGCAAAGTTTTGTTGGGACTTAAAGTTTGCACAGATTCCATCTGTGAGAGGCTCACTTTGGTGAGTGCAGATCTTGGGCGCTGCCCTGTGAGCGAGGGTGCACTGAGGAAGATGATGTTGCTGTAATTAGGACAAATGCACTCAGCCCAGTATCTCCAGGGATTTGAGAATCAGTTCATTCTGCAAGTAACAAAACTAGGGAAGGAAGTGGTTTTCAAGCTCCCGTGGTTGTTGGAGGTGAGCTAATTCTTTGCGAGTTATTAATTGCTGGTCTCTTGGAATGGCTTGGGAGCACAAAGTGACAGGAACCCAAGTCATTTCTGTTCTGTTTGCTTGTGTTTGTTTTGCTTTAAGTTAATCCTTTGGTGGTTCTGGGGATGAGGCCTTGTCCCTGGCTTGGTAGAGAGAGGCCAGTCAGGAGGGAGCAGGTGTGGTGGAGCCTGGCCGTCCCTGAGCCATCAAGATGGTCTGCGCGTCAGAGTGCAGCACGGGCCACATTCTCTCTGCCATGTGCAGAGGGCTCCTGCACGGAAGCCTGCACGCATTTAACACCAGCACGCTCAATGTAGTCTTGTAAGGAACAGGTTGAAGTGTGCCGTGGTGTGTCTGGAGGAAGCGCCTGTTGCTGGTTTTTGTTGTTTTGTTATGTATTTTTTGCCATGTTCCATGCTGTTCCTCTAATCACATCATGTCCCGGGTTTTTGAAGTTTAGTGACGTTTTTGGTCTTTTCTTACTTTTTACCCATGTTTTTTCCTCTTTGTAGGATCAAAGTCACATACAATAGCAACTTTATTATAACGCACGGTCCACCACGCTCCAACTTCCAGTGTGGAGGCATCGGTGGGGGTTTGCTGAAAGTCTGAGCAAATCTCATGGCTGTCTCTGCTGTCTCCGTGATGACTCTGTGGGGCACGTGACTGGAATGCTCTGATGCCTGTTTGACATCTGGGGCTTCTCAGAAGCCACAGGAGCCACGCTGGGGGCTGACAGTTTCCTCTCCCAATGTCGCTTTTGGGCATCTAAGAGCCTGGTCATAGAGACGTGACGTGGCTTGAGAATGGACAGAGGCCAAGAGCAGATAACAAAGCAAGGTCGTGCCCGACGAGCTGAGGATCTTTTTACACTGGGGGCATGGGCACCACCCAGGTGCTGGGCCAACCCTGAAGCGGTCTGCACCTCCCTCCGGCACCCCCTTCTTTAGGGAGCCTCTGTTAATGCAGGATTAAAGTCTGTGGATGGACACGCCCCTTTCTGACTTTGTTGTTTATTCAGTTTTCACTGTGGCAAAAACCTATTCTAAGAATAAAATAAGCCGGTTTATCTGACCCTTCAGAGGGAAGGACCCACGTTGCTTTGGGTTTTTTGCCTTCCGTGTCCTTGTCAGTGGAAACCCCAAATGCCTGGGCTTCTCGGCGCACCTAAGTGTTTAGGCACGTGTGAGTGCAGTGATGCGTTCAGCTTCCAGGTGCCTAGTAGGTTGGAGCCAGCGTGGCTGGGAGGAGGCATGTGTTTGTGTAAAATATGCTCCTGTTCACCACGTTCTTTCTATGAGCAGAGGGCAGGTGGTGGGTGAGGGCGTCGAGCCTGGTGTTTGGAGGTTGTTTTATGTGATACAGATTTCTTAACCTTTTTCTCTAAAGGTGATGGTCCAGTGGTGCATTGGTTTTGTTCTTTCCTGCACTTGCTTCAGCCTCCTCCTCTCAGCTGGGGTGTTTGCATCTGCTGCCTTCCAGGAGGCTGCGCGTGAGATGTGGGCATCTGTCCACCACAGCAAACACCCGTCTGCCTCGTGAGGAGGCCTCATGGTGCCTTCCCCACAGGTGGGATGAGCTGAGCCTGGAGGGGGCTTTGCCACAGCCCTGGGTCGTTCTCTCAGGGAACACCTGCTGTTTCTGTGCCACCCCTGGGCTCGCAGGCCTGGATCTGGATGGGGTTGGGGCCTTCCTGTGGCCCCCTTCCCCATCAGTTCATGGAGGGTGGCAGCCGCGGGCTTGAGCTCGACTCTGGAGAGGGAGATGTGAACTGACAGCCTTGGCTTCCCTTCCCTGGAGCGTTTCTTGGATGGCAGCATGGGACGTGGGTAATGGGGCGTGGCTGGGAAGCCGTTACCTGAGCGCTGTAGGGTGATGTGTCTGTAAATTTGCTGTGTCAGGCATGGTTTGGGGCAGCTGTTGGCCGGGCTGTAACCTAGGACATTAAATTCAGTTCCCTCATCGCAGCTTAGGGATCCTCTCGCTTTGAACACAGTCTGTTGTGGTTTGTTTTTGTTTGTGTGCACATGCTCACCCACGCCCATGCACATGTTCACACACACACCCCCATGCACATGCTCATATACATACATGTGGCCACACACATCCGCATACAGATACATCCGTACACATGCTTACACACACACACGTGTATGTTTTGAGGGCACTTGATCACTAGCTCCCCCCAGCCTGCCATTCCCCTGCTCTGCTGAGTGAACGTCCTTCCTGGAACCTGCATGGGACCCACATGGCCCGACACCTCTTGCCTCGCCCCTCAGGAGCAGGAAGGAGTGGGTTCTGCTGTGAAACAGATCTTGGGAGTGTGCATGTTTCTTTTCCTTTGCCACCAGCTCTTTGTGGTCTGGGTCTTTGCAACCCCAGCACTCACTCTGTTTCATATGTTAGTGTAAACCTGCACACATACACCTCACATGGGCACACATATATGCACACATGGGTGCTCACAGGCACACGCTCTCACACGTGTGCTGTAGCTGGTTCCATCGTGGGCTTTCTCTTCACCTTGCCCACATGGAACCCCCCCCGCCTTGCTCTATGTGTTTAAGTCGTGGGGTACCAGAGCTCCCTGTCCCAGTGCATGAAACCTGCTCCAGGGAGCAGAGCTGAGTCTGTGGCACACGGGGAGGCCGGCGTGGGATGTCCAGGTCCCCAGCATTCCCAGGAGCTCCTGCAGAGCCTCCGCAAATTGCCACCTTCCCTCATTCAGTCCAATTATGCTTGTTCTGTTTTCCTCATGTACCAGCATCAGTATTGAAGAGAAACAAAAAATAATTTTGGATTCAATTTCATTGCTTCACTTAATTATTACTGTAAAGACCTTGCTTTCCATTGCTTTTTATTGCAAGCATGTGGCATTTAAATTGTATTTTGGATCGACAGGCTTTGATGGACTAGCCAGGGAACCAAATCACTAATTCCATGTTCTAAATATCTGACGTAATTCTACTTATTTTTGGGGTCAGCCTGTCCTAGGAATGGATCTCACTTCTTTTGCATTCTCTCTGTTTTCCCTCTTGGTTGTGACAGAAACTTGGAGCTAGGCCTTAAGTTAGGGGTGTGCATGTGGCATGCGTGTGGTGTGTATGGCATGTGTGGCGTGCATGCTTGTGTGTGGTATGTGAGATACATGTGTGCATGTGTGTGGTAGCGTGCATATGTGTGCTGTGTGTGGCACGTGTGTGGTGTGCATATGTGTGGTGTGTGGCATGTGTGATGTACACGTGTGTGTGGTGTTTGTCCATGTGTGTAGAGGAGATGCTGAGAACTCATGCTGGCTGGGGAGGCCTGGGGAGACTGTGAGCTGGTCCTGCTCCCGCCTGGCCCCTTCTGGTGACCGCCCCTCCCCACAGCCCCTGGGGCTGGTGGACACAGCCCAGGTGTGGTGAGTGTGTGCTGTGTCCGCAGAGGGAAGCTGCTGTCATTCCCACACTGCATCTTCGCTGCTGATTGGAGCCCAGACTCACACAGTTGCCACTCTCCCCACATTTGACTCATTTTGGTCAAAAATGCACAAAATATCTAATACAGAGCACTCTGTGGTTCCAGAGGCAGCGATGTGAGTTTGCAGCTGTGTGTGAGCTGTCACCATGGCTCGTCGTTGCTGGCCGTGGTCAGCAGCACCTTCCCTGTCCTTGGGGGTGTCCTGGTGAGTCCGTCCTCCTGCTGGCCTCCCCTGGGCCTTCCCACCTTCCTCTGCCGACACAGCCAATGCTTGCTCTGGGGCGTGTCAGCACCTGCACAGCAGAGATGCCACGCATTCCAAAGCAAAATGGAGATGATTTTAAAATGTGAAAATATTCAGAAGTAAATATGCACGCAGCTGCTCCTCCCATCAGCGTTAGCCCCAGGACCAACAGCGACGGGTGCTTAGTGCCCACCAGGTGCTGTGTGAGTGCTGCGGGCATTCTAATGTCCTGTGTCCCAGGCATCATTGTTATTATTGTCTGTCTGCCTGTCTGAGAAGGGGATTGAGGCATTTGGGTGACTTTTCTCAGGCTGCAGAGCTGAGATTTGCCCCTGGCTGTGTGATCCCAAAGCCCCTTGGTGGGCTCGAAGGCCAGGCTGACTTTCGTGAGCACACGTTTCCCTCACAGGGCTGGCCCCCTGAGGAGCTGGTGTTTCCACCCCTCATCACCTTAGACTCAGGCTGTGTAGGAAATGTTGTGTCTTCCAATTCCGGGCACTTTAATCCTTGTTTGCTTCCTGTTGTGGACTCACCGAGGCCAGTGTCCATCGTGCACAGTTCTTTTTTTTTTTTTTTCCGTTTTTGAGACGGAGTTTTGCTCTGTTGCCCAGGCTGGAGTGCAGTGCAGTGGTGTGATCTCGGCTTACTGGAAGCTCCGCCTCCCATGTTCATGCCACTCTCCTGCCTCAGCCTCCCGAGTAGCTGGAAGTACAGGCACCCGCCACCACACCTGGCTAATTTTTTTTTTTTTTGTATTTTTAGTAGAGACGGGGTTTCACCGTGTTAGCCAGGATGGTCTCAATCTCCTGACCTCTTGATCCGTCCCCCTCAGCCTCCCAAAGTGCTGGGATTACAGGTGTGAGCCACCGAGCCTGGCCCAGCATGCGTGGTTCTAAATCAGCTGAAATGTAGGCATTCACAGGTCTGAGACAGCAAGTGAACCTGTTCCTGATACACCAGGTGACGCTTTGTAAATGTGCATTTCACAGGGCAAGAGACGGCTGACCGGCTCTGGGGAGTGATTGAGTGGCCTGTTTTGGGACGTCACCTGGCGTTCATACCCCATGGCAAACCTCAGCAGCATCTGGAGGCTGCCCAGGCGGGTGCCCCCGCCTGTCCTGCACCCAAGCACGGGTACCCCCACCACACTGTATGAGTGCACCTTCTCGGGAGCCTCTTGTTTAGGCTGATGCCTCTGGAGCTCTGTGGAAACATGATGTGTTACTTGGCAGCTGTTACACAGCCAGTTGCTAGCAGCTTCACTGCTTAGTACACACCAACTTCCTCCATGTGCTCACACAACACAGGAACACCCAGGAGCAGCTCCTCGGCTGTCCCTGCCTGCCCCCTACCCTGTCGTTTAGACTGAGTGTCCTGCTGAGTCCCTGCTGTGTGTCGGGCGGGATCAGAGATGGGCTTTAAACCAACAGACATAGCACAAGCAACACAGGTAGGTGGTCCCTGCTACACAGGAAGGTGGTTGAGACAGCAGCACCGAGGCGCAGCTTGTGGGGCAGGTGAGATGTGGCTGGTGCTGATGAATCTGGGATACGGGGCAGGAAGACCAGGGGAGCCTGGGGTGAGAGCTGGCGGAGGACAGCCTGGCCCCAGCCCCATGTACACAGACAATTCTACTCTCTGCAGAGGTCACGGTGAGGGAATGGCCAGCTCTGTGTGGCTGCTGTGAGACCCCCCCACAGAGTGGAGCCCACACCTCGGAGCCCTGCCCTGTGCACAACCCCCACATGGCTGAGCAGTGGGCCGCCAGGTGTTAGGAAGGACCAGCGGCCTGGGAGGGACACTGACCGTAGTCCCTGTAAACAGGCAAACACAATCCCAACTCCACGGTATTCTCAGAAGGAGGAAATGGAGAGGCCAGCCCATGGCCTGGGGCTGGTGAGGCCTCCATGGCACTGAAGCAGGAGGTCAGACATGTTCCTTCACCTGCTCATCACATGTGTCTTGGCAGACACTCGCTGAGGATTTAGCACGTCCAAGGACTGGACACGGAGACGCAGGCTGGCCCTGTCTTCAGGGAGCTGTGGCCAGGGAAGGCAGTGAAGTGGCTCCGGTGGCGGGGGGCATGGCCGGGGTCAGGGAGGCCCAGGACGCGCCTTGTGGGGAGGAGGCCTGGGGAGCTGGTGGAGAAGCTGGGTGTGGGGTGGGGGGAGGTGAGGGCCAGGCCCACGGTGCGGGAAGGACACAGCTGCATTTGCTCCGAGGACGGGAAGGCTGTGGGGGATCCTCGGAGGGATGCTCCTCGGAGGGATGCTCTCCCAGGCCTGAGCCAGGTTGGCTTGTGCAGTTTCTGCGCACGTCTCGACTCTGCTTGGGGCTTCTGGTGATATTTGTCACAAACCATAACTTGTGTTGTTACAAGTTATGCCTTTATGAAGGTTTGAGGAGGTCACCAACTCTATCTTCATTGTGTTAGAAAGAAAGTGGCGGAATCCACTGTATGAATTGGCTCAGTCTCCCTAACAAACCCCCACAAACCAGGCGGCTTAGCAAACAACAGACATTTCTGAGTCCTGGAGGCCGAAAGTCCAAGATGAGAGCACGGCAGGGCAGGTTCCCCCAGAGGCCTCTCCCCTTGGCTGGCAGATGCCGTCTCCTCCCTGTGCCCCACAGGGTTGTCCATCTGTGCGTGTCTGTGTCCTCACCTCCTCCTCCATAAGGACCCAGTCAGCCTGGATCCGGGCCCATCCGGCGACCTCGTTTTACTGAAATCACCTCTTTCAAGACCCATCTCCAAATACAGTCCCATTCTGAGGTCCTGGGGGTCAGGACTTCAGTGTATGAACTTTGGGGTGCACAACTCAGCCATCACACCCACAAACAGGAAATGGGATCAGGAATGGAGAACAACCGAGTCAGTTTCCCAAGCCACAGTCCAGCATGTCGGAATTCCGAGGCCGTGACCAGCGGAGAGACCTCCAGACCCTGTGTTTGTGGGAACGTGGTTGCCTGTGCCCCGTCCTAGCTCAGAGTGGCTGGTGGTTCTCGTGAGCGTGGCTCTACCTGGTTATCTCTGCAGCGTCCCACGGGAGAGATGCAGCCCTGCCGAGCTCACCGGGAAGGAGTGGTGTCAGTTCCCTTCGCCGCCACAGGTGGGCAGGGAGGGCCTGAGCCTGCACGAGGGGTGACCCCTTCGCCACACAAGTGAATCCTGCCCTGGATTCCGCCGGCACCCTGCCAACACCAGGAGCCGTGTGTCTGCCTGATGTGGCTCCCCCCAGAGCGGGCCCTTTCAGAAGCTGTAGGAAGTCATCATCTCCTCAGGGACTGGGCAGATAGTCCCCCTTCCCACACAGCGCTGCTGAGGAAGGAAGGACTGCACAATGCCAGCCAGAGGGGAGAGTAGGGGCTGGGCTGCAGGTCTGCAGGTCTGCAGAGAGCCGAGTCAATGGGGGGGCATTGTCGGCTTGGGATGTTGAGACCCTAAGGCTTCAGGAGAGCTTGGGTCTTCCTGTCAGGGCTCTGGGACAGGTCTGAGGTCTGTGAGGGGAGGCGTCTTCACCCTGTATCATCGGGGCTTTCCTCTTGCTGAAGCGGGAGCTTCCACACTGTGTGAGCACAGCAGAGAGAGGTGGCTGTGGAGCAGGTGCCGTGGAGAGAGACCAGCAGAGATGTCCTGGGAGATGGGGGCATCTGCCCCCGAGGGCTGCTTGGGAATGAGGAGGGCACATTAGATAAATACTCATTGTGCATGAAAGGATCTTTAAAAATCCCCGTAATATGTGTGATTATGCTGAATAATAATTAAACACGGCACTATTAATACTCCATCCCGTAGGACCTCTCAGGAGGAAGGGAGGAGATACAGTGAGCGCCTGTTCTGGGCCAGGGAGGCTGGGGTGGCCCCAGCTCAGGATTTCTGCAGAGCCTGTGTCCAGCTGTAGAGCGAGGGGTGCGGAGCGGCTCAGCCTTGGTCCCACTTTCCGTCCTTAAGTCTGGATGGGGCTGGCAGGCTGGAAACCTGGCCCGTGCGTAGCCCATGGCCCCTGGGGCCTAGCATCCTGCCCGTGCTACCTTCTGCTGCAGCTTCTGCTCGGGTCTCACGGTTTTGTTGCACATTAGGGGGCCGTGTGTTCTCCTTGGCAGATGCCCAGTTTCCAAAATAGAGAAACTTTCACCTCTGGACTACTTGCCAGAGGTGCTTTTCCTTCCAGAGCGGTCAGGGCCTGCCTCACGCTGTGCTCTGCAGCCGGCTCCAGAGCCTGGAGCTGGGAAGTCCAGCACTGTGCAGGGCCTGGGACGCAGCATTTCTTCGCATGGAGGGCCAGCTTGAGGGTTCAGTCAGAGCCTTGCATCCTGAGCCACAGTCTTCCAAGGGCTGTCTTTTCGGAGGGTGCAGGAGACCGCTGCTGGGGCCACACTTCGAAGGGCAGTGATGCTGGCACAGGTGGTGTTGGCTGTGCTGGAGGAGCCCCCAGTGGCCTCATCGGAACTACAGTGGGCCCTGGGACAACATGGGTCTGAACTCATTTATTCATGGATCTTTCCAACCAAATATGGATCAAAAATGCAGTATTTGAGGGCTGTGAAAGCCAAGTGTACAGAAGCTGACTTTTTGTGTATGCAGATTCCGTGGGGCAGCTGCAGGACTTCAGTGTGTGAAGATTTTGGCGTAAGTGGGGGTCCTGGGACCAATCCCCACTCCATGCTGAGGGTTAACGCCAATTTTTCCTGCAAAAACCTGATTTCCAAACGCAGTCACCTTCTGAGGCACTGGGCTGGGGACATCCATCTACGAGTTCTGGGGCTTGACCATAACAACCAACAGCTTTCCTCGCACTCCTCAGCGATCTGGCTTCACTTCCCTCCACTCCAGGGCAGACTCCACTCCAGGGCAGACTCCACTCCAGGGCAGACGACTCCACTCCAGGGCAGACTCCGCTCCAGGGCAGACTCCGCTCCAGGGCAGACTCCGCTCCAGGGTAGACGACTCCACTCCAGGGCAGACTCCGCTCCAGGGCAGACGACTCCACTCCAGGGCAGACTCCACTCCAGGGCAGATGACTCCACTCCAGGGTAGACGACTCCACTCCAGGGCAGACTCCACTCCAGGGCCGACTCCACTCCAGGGCAGACGACTCCACACCAGGGCAGACTCCGCTCCAGGGCAGATGACTCCACTCCAGGGCAGACTCCACTCCAGGGTAGACGACTCCACTCCAGGGTAGACGACTCCACTCCAGGGTAGACGACTCCACTCCAGGGCAGACTCCACTCCAGGGCAGATGACTCCACTCCAGGGCAGACTCCACTCCAGGGTAGACGACTCCACTCCAGGGTAGATGACTCCACTCCAGGGCAGACGACTCCACTCCAGGGCAGACTCCACTCCAGGGCAGACGACTCCACTCCAGGGTAGACGACTCCACTCCAGGGCAGACTCCACTCCAGGGCCGACTCCACTCCAGGGCAGACGACTCCACACCAGGGCAGACTCCGCTCCAGGGCAGATGACTCCACTCCAGGGCAGACTCCACTCCAGGGTAGACGACTCCACTCCAGGGTAGACGACTCCACTCCAGGGTAGACGACTCCACTCCAGGGCAGACTCCACTCCAGGGCAGACGACTCCACTCCAGGGCAGACTCCACTCCAGGGTAGACGACTCCACTCCAGGGCAGACGACTCCACTCCAGGGCAGACTCCACTCCAGGGCAGACGACTCCACTCCAGGGCAGACGACTCCGCTCCAGGGCAGACGACTCCACTCCAGGGCAGACTCCGCTCCAGGGCAGATGACTCCACTCCAGGGCAGACTCTGCTCCAGGGCAGATGACTCCACTCCAGGGCAGACGACTCCACTCCAGGGCAGAGGACTCCATTCCAGGGCAGACTCTGCTCCAGGGCAGACGACTCCACTCCAGGGCAGACGACTCCACTCCAGGGCAGAGGACTCCACTCCAGGGCAGACGACTCCGCTCCAGGGCAGACTCCGCTTCAGGGCAGACTCCGCTCCAGGGCAGATGACTCCGCTCCAGGGCAGACGACTCCACTCCAGGGCAGACTCCACTTCAGGGCAGACTCGCTGTCGGCAGCATGGTGGCTGCTCCTTTGGCTAATCTCTTGTCCGCACCAGCCCTCACCGTGGGACGTGTCTGCACCACTCTGGCTGCTGAGGCTCACCCACCACCCCCGCCCCTGGTCACACTGGGGCTCCCCAGACCCCAACCTGGCTGCAACCCGTCTGGCCCCTCCAACTTGTGCTTCCTGTGATGTCCCCTCCTGGACCCCAAGAGTCACACCCTGGCCTCCTGCGCTCTTATCTTGTTCTTCTGAGACCCCATTTTCCAGTTTTCAAGATGTCAGCAGCCACGGTGATGCTGACAATCCCTAAATCTAAGTGTCAGCTCATCCTCTGTTGAAGCCCTTGGCTATTCTTGAAATTCCCATTTTTGGGTAACTTTTGTTCATCTCAGTCCCAGCAAGTTCTGGGTGATCTTTGCTGCCCTCTCCCTTCTCACGGCAGGTCTGTTCTCTCCAGCTCCACATCTGCCACACACAGAAGCAAGTGTGTGGAAATGAAGACTTGGGCTGTTGGAAGAACTCGTGATGGTGAGCTGCTCTCAAGACAAGGAAAGCCAATGTCCACGTGAGAACCAGGGGAGACGCTGAGCCCTGCAGACTGTGCCAACCCCTGGGCTGGCTCCGGTGGTCCGAGTGCCTCACGGACTCCAGACCATGCTGATGCCCTCACTTCACCTTAATCTGTGTCCACAGACTGCATCTAGCCGCAGCAAGGTGCATGTTGTAAGTGCATCTGGTCACCAGGGGCCAGGTTACAGAGAGCGATTCGCTGTACACACACAGTGGTGCCAGAACACACCCTGCACATGCACCATCCTGGACAGTCCATTCTGACGTGGACCTTCCTCTTAAAACAGTCCACCATTCTGACGTGGACCTTTCTCCTAAACAGTCTACCATTCCGATGTGGACCTTCCCCCTGAGCCAGCACCTGGACAGTCCACCATTGTGACGTGGACCTCCCTCCCGAGCCAGCACCTGGACAGTCCACCATTGTGACGTGGACCTCCCTCCCGAGCCACTACCCGGACAGTCCACCATTGTGACGTGGACCTCCCTCCCGAGCCAGCACCTGGACAGTCCACCATTGTGACGTGGACCTCCCTCCTGAGCCACTACCTGGACAGTCCACCATTGTGACGTGGACCTCCCTCCCGAGCCAGTACCCGGACAGTCCACCATTGTGACGTGGACCTCCCTCCTGAGCCAGCACCTGGACAGTCCACCATTGTGACGTGGACCTCCCTCCTGAGCCAGCACCTGGACAGTCCACCATTGTGACGTGGACCTCCCCCCTGAGCCACTACCCGGACAGTCCACCATTGTGACGTGGACCTCCCTCCCGAGCCAGCACCCGGACAGTCCACCATTGTGACGTGGACCTCCCTCCCGAGCCAGTACCCGGACAGTCCACCATTGTGACGTGGACCTCCCTCCTGAGCCAGTACCTGGACAGTCCACCATTGTGACGTGGACCTCCCTCCCGAGCCACTACCCGGACAGTCCACCATTGTGACGTGGACCTCCCTCCCGAGCCAGCACCTGGACAGTCCACCATTGTGACGTGGACCTCCCTCCCGAGCCACTACCCGGACAGTCCACCATTGTGACGTGGACCTCCCTCCTGAGCCACTACCTGGACAGTCCACCATTGTGACGTGGACCTCCCTCCCGAGCCAGCACCTGGACAGTCCACCATTGTGACGTGGACCTCCCTCCTGAGCCACTACCTGGACAGTCCACCATTGTGACGTGGACCTCCCCCCTGAGCCAGTACCTGGACAGTCCACCATTCCGATGCGGACCTTCCTCCTGAGCCAGCACCCAGCGTGCTGCTCCTGAGAAATCATTCGTCAACTGATTTTGGAGTTACTGCTTCAGCATCTTGCTGATTACTAATAGATTTCCTCATTGTTAAATTTAGATGCAGGGAGAAAAAACAATTTCCAGAAATAATTCACCCTGTTGGGAAGCCAGACACCTAGTACTGTCTCTAACTCAGCAACTAACTGTGTGGTTTCGGGTGAATCACACAGTCCTGTGCGTTGGTCTAGATGTTTTCTCAGGTCCCTTTGGGCAAGAATACAGCCAGCCCTGCATACCCTCAGGTTCTGCCTGAGTCGACCAACAGAGGATTGAAAGTACTGGGGAAAAAAATATAAAATAACAATACAACAATAAAAATAATACAAATAAAATTATAGTATGACTACGCAGACAGCATTCCAGCTGGGGCAGGAAGTCACTGCGTCTGCAGGACTGAGCGCCTCGCACAGAGGGAAGTCATGGAATAAGGTCCTGGCTGCAGCACTTGGAATCCTGCTGTGGGAGAGATAAGAGGGACGTGGCTGAAATCTCCTGTTCCTTGGCTGGCTGAGATCTCGGCCAGGCCCTCATGGCCTGCAGGGTGCCTGTGGTTTGCCCAGCGTATCCATGTGTATCCTCCTGCTGAATCTTTGCTGCACCCTCATGAGAGTGAAGAGGCTGGGGTTACCGATCTGGTGCTCAGACATGGAAACCAGGACGTGCTCACTGTGACCTGGCTGGGCATGGCTGAGGCAGGGATTAGGATTTTCTGATAAGCAGCCACCCGATCGTTCTTCGTATGTTTGTTTCTATTGGTAATATGGTTGAAAAAAATCCAGGAGTTATAGTCTTTTCTAAAAAACCATGTAAGTGCTACTTTAAATGGAATTATCACCACCCACAAAACAGTGGAAGGCCGCCCAGAGCTTGGAAGTCGGGGTTGGAGCCACTGTTGCTCCTGACGGAAGGGAGCCTTCTCTGGAGATCCTGCTCTGGGGAGTGTTTCTCCAGGGGCCTCGAGCTGAGCTGAAGGTGGAGAACCTGCTTCAAACATCCAGGAAAGACTCGTCTAGAAACTGTCTACCGAAGGGCATGAACTGTTTTAAATTGTAGTGGCAGTAAACATAGAAACACCATCTAGATGGACATAAATAATAATTTTCAGGAAAAATAAGTTCTCAGAGTCCGTTTCATTGCTGAAGGGGGAATTTCACAATAGTGGAATTTTACTCTCCTTTCCACACCTTCCTGCTCTAGAAGGGACGGTGTGAGACCCAGGCTGCCAATGCACCTTGTTCAAGATCCCAAACTCTGTTTTTCTTAGGGGATGGAAGTCCTTCTGCCTCCGTGTCAGGGCTCCCTCTTGGAAGGGGAGCTGAAGGGCCCACTCTGTGGCCAGAAAATGCTTTCCTTTCTTGGCATTGCCGTTGTTTTGTTAAAAGAAATGACAAGTTTGAGTGGGGGACATCCCTGGGATTTAAAAAATCATTCTGTGTTGCACTGGAAAAGCTCATTAAATCGAAATGTTTCCCATGGCACATGTCCTGTTCAGAACTTGTGTGTTTGGCAGAGTAGTCATTGCACTGAACAGGAAAGCTTGGTTTCAGGCTAATGATAGTAAAGTTGGAAAATGTAAGGAGAACAGATGGGTGTTGCTTGCAGAGTGTGACCGTGCTGGCGTTGTGGGGAAAATGGAGAATTTCCATGCCATGGGGGAGGCATTGGGTAACCCTTCTTCCCTTTTTCTTCTTTCTGAGGTGAGTCACTTCTTTCCCTTGGCTGCTTGGGATGGGAGAAAGTCCTTATATGATGGGAAACAGCATCAGCAGCATTGGAGAAAAAGGGCCCCTTTCTCCCTTGGGGATGTTGTATGGCCACTAGATTCTTGAGTATCTTTAGAATGAAGGTCCAGAGTCACCCAGATCAACATGGAGAGTGCAGGAGAGTGCTGGAGAATGTCAGAAAATGCCAGAGAGTGCTGGAGAATGCCAGCCCATTCCATCACCTTCAGAGCCACCCATGCAAAGCAAAGGCTCAAACACAGCTTGGTCCCCCATGCCCTGAGAGCCACCTGCAGATCGGGCAGGGAAGGAGCTTGAGGTGGAATCGGCACTTCTGACTCAGCCCTAGCACCTCTTTACTTATTTATAGACTAATTCTGTTCTCGGTATGAAAAAGTAATTTAACTGTCATGGCCAACTGAGTGTCTCACACAGATAGCTGGGATGAGTCCGACTTCATAAAATGAGGAGATGTGCTGGCTGGCAGGACAGTGTCAGCACTAAGGGACTTCTTTTAATGTTTTCTCCCTCTTCCCACTTAGATGCCAAAATAGCCCCAAAGTTTGAAATGACTTTTCAGCCAAGGAAGTTCTTGGAAACAGTGACGACGCCTGTGTACTGTGTGGCCTGAGATGCTGCACGGCTGTTCTCTGCTGCAGTGCTTTGGGGATCCTGAGCCTGTTGGCATAAAGGGAGCTCAGTGCAAACTGCTGCAGGATGATGGGCATCCTGGAGCCCAAGTATTGTTTTTTTGTTTGTTTGTTTAGAGACAGAGTTGTTTTGCTTTGTCACCCAGGCTGGAGTGCAGTGGCGTAATCTCAGCTCACTGCAACCTCCACCTCCCAGATTCAAGTGATTCTCCTGCCTCAGCCTCCCGAGTACCTGGGATTACAGGCACCCAGCAACATGCCCAGCTAATTTTTGTACTTTTTATAGAGACGGGGTTTCGCCATGTTGCCCAGGCTGGTCTTGAACTCCTGAGCTCAAGCAATTCACCTGTTTCAGCCTCCCAAAGTGCTGGGATTACAGGCATGAACCACCGCGCCTGGCCTCAAGTAACATTTTTAATCAGCTCGAATGTTTGACCCTTAGCCTTGGGGAAGGTTCGTCCTTCCCTCTTGTCCTGCTGTGGCCTCCTCAAGTGGGTCCTTCCTCTATGGTCATGCCGTCCTGGTAATCTGTTTATATCCTCTGTTGATCTCAGTCCTACCCTCTTTTAAAGGTGGAGCTTGAGCCGTATCCTTTAGCCTCTGTGGACGTTCTGGCCCGGCTTGGCTGTGCATTTTCTTCACTTCTGGCTTACTTGGCACCTGAGCTACTGAGTATGGCCTTTGCTAAGTCCAGAAAGGACAAGCGCTGATGTCCCTGTGTGTTCATATCCTTCTCCCACCCCGTGAAATCCGTATCATCTCTATTAATGTTCATATCCTTCTCCCACCCCGTGAAATCCGTATCGTCTCTATTAATGTTCATATCCTTCTCCCACCCTGTGAAATCCATATCGTCTCTATTAATGTTCATATCCTCCCACCCCATGAAATCCGTATCGTCTCTATTAATTAATTGATAGATTGATTCAGTAAGAACTATTGGGCTCTAACTATTTTATAGACACCATGGCAGTAACTGAGATAAACCCACTCTTGCCCTCCTGGAGTCTATTTTCTTTTAAGGGAGGAGCAAGTTCTTAAGTAATCACAATGCAGTTGGCGAGAGCTGGGCCAGGGAGAGTCCAGGGAGCTGGGAGAATGTTGCAGGGGTGCCCCGCCCGGTCAGGAATTAGGGAGCCCTCTTGGAGGAAGCAAGGTGCAACTTGGTACCTGAAAAATGAGTGGACTCTAGTCAGACTGGGGGGGAGGGAAGGTTTTTCTGCAGTGGCATGTTAGTGAAGGCCTGGTGGGAACAAACCGGGGTGTGTGGGATGTGTGACGAAGGGGATGGAGGTGCCTGGGGAGGCCTGCCTGGCTGTGGTGGGGATGAGTCTGGAGGCATCTGGAGGCCTGCCTGGCTATGGTGGGGATGAGTCTGGAAGCGCCTGGAGGCCTGCCTGGCTATGGTGGGGAAGAGTCTGGAGACGCTGTCCATGAGGCTGGCTTGGACTCCACCCTAAAGGCAGGGGACTGCCTGAGGGCATTGCAGCTCAGGAGCAATATGACCTTTGCATTTTGTAAAGATGATCCTGGCGGCTGTTGGAGGAGATTGCAGAGGGGCAGCGAGGCCAGTGAGGAGGTGGAACGGGGCTCAGGCTGGGGGGCGGTGGGGCTGAGGCAGAGTCAGGCCCCTTAAGAGATGTCTGGGAAGGACTGAGGGAGACTTGGGAACTGCAGGGATTTAGGTACAGGGTCACGTTCTGGAATTCCCCATATGTGGCCCACCCCATCAGCCCACAGTGCGCCTGTGGTGGGCGGTGATAGGTGTCGTTGCTGCGGTTCTGTGAGGGGGCGCTGCCCGCACTCTGCCTCCTCCAAGGCTGTGGGCTGTTTGGTCTTGCAGGCTTGCACCCCCGAAGTGAGGAGGAAGCCTGTGGGGCAGCCCTCAACTGTGGGACAGGAATGGGGGTCAATGCCACCCGCCCTGTCTTCAGTGAGGACCACACTGTGGAACCAGCGTTGTACTGTTCTGTCCTGCTGGCCTTTGTCAAGTGGTGTTTGGATGAATCGTGTTGTGCCCAGTCCAAAATCAGTGAGGCACCATGCTGGGGCCCAAGGTGCCCCAGGTCTAGTGGTTTGGAAGGAATCACAGGACTCACGAGTGGTTCTGCTGGGCTACGGTTTACTAGAGAGGACTTTCCATGGTGTAGTGTGGAGAAAAGCCTTGCAGGTTACAGGAATAGCAGAAACACCAAGAACAGCACCAGGAACAATAGGCAGAAGCACCAAGAACAGCACCAAGAACAATAGGCAGAAGCACCAAGAACGGCACCAAGAACAATAGGCAAGAGCACCAAGAAAAGCACCAAGAGCAATAGGCAGGAGCACCAAGAACAGTACCAGGAACAAAAGGCAGAAGCACCAAGAACAGCACCAGGAACAAAAGGCAGAAGCACCAAGAACAGCACCAGGAACAATAGGCAGGAGCACCAAGAACAGCACCAAGAACAATAGGCAGGAGCACCAAGAACAGCACCAGGAACAATAGGCAGGAGCACCAAGAACAGCACGAAGAACAATAGGCAGGAGCACCAAGAACAGCACCAAGAACTATAGGCAGAAGCACCAAGAACAGCACCAAGAACAATAGGCAGAAAGCACCAAGAATGTGGCTGCCTAGGGCTGGGTGCAAGGCAGGCTGGGAGGGGGCTGGGGAGTTGAGGGCATGGGAAGGAACAAGGGGAAAGCACCTTTGTGCCTTGTAAGGAAGTTTTGGCTTCATACAGAAGAGGCTGCATGTTATTGGAGGATTTTCATTTATTTTTTAAAATTTAAATTATGTGTTTTTTAGAAACAGGGTCTCACTTTGTTGCCCAGGCTGGTCTCTAACTCCTGGGCTCAAGTGATCCTTCCACCTCAGCCTTCCAAAGCCCTGGGATTACAGGTGTGTGAGCCACTGCGCTGGCTGGAATGATTCACTTTTAATTGTAGGAGAGAGGAGAATGAATTGGAAGGTAAATTACTTAATGCTATGGAGACTCCTTAGGAGGCCTTTGAGGCAAGAGATGGCCAGGCGGCCGGGGCGTGGGGAGAAGCCCAGAGAGGCTTCTGTGAGGTGCAATCACCAGCGTGTCTGTGGATATCATGGTAGGTGGGGAGGGGGACAGTGAAAAGGGGCTCAGCCTTAGAGTATCAAGTATGAAATGTTTGTGTGATAGAGGTTACAACGTCCAGAAAGACTGGACTATGAAGGTGGAACTCTTGGAAAAAGTGTGGAAACGTATTTAGGAATCATTCCTGACTACAGCCATGGCTGTGGAGAGACGACCAGACAGAGGATGAAGCGTGGGAGGTGTCGATAGTGAAAATTTGGTAGACGCTGGTATTTCAGTGGCACGTGGGTGAAAACAAGCCAAGGAAAGGAATCAGGAGAGGAGGATGGAGAGTAGGGAAACAGGAAGGAACTGGGAAGAGGGATTGCAGAGGCCGATGGGGAAGCCTTGAGCATGTAACAGATGATGTAGAAAGGCGAGCATGGAATGAGGTGGAAAAAGCCCCTGGGACTCGCCTCCCATTGGGAGCAGTGGGTGATGCAGCCAAATTGAGTGAGAAGGGAAACTGGTCTGTAAAGTTCTTCCTGATGTTGAGATGCTGGATTTTAAAAATTACATTCGCACGGCTGGGCATGGTGGCTCACGCTTGTAATCCCAGCACTTTGGGAGGCTGAGGCGGGCTGATCACCTGAGGTTGGGAGTTTGAGACTAGCCTGACCAACATGGAGAAACCCCATCTCTACTGAAAATAAAAAAATTAGCCAGGCATGGTGGCACGTGCCTGTAATCCCAGCTACTCGGGAGACTGAGGCAGGAGAATCACTTGAACCCAGGAGGCAGAGGTTGCGGTGAGCAGAGAACATGCCATTGCACTCCAGCCTGGGCAACAAGAGGGAAACACTGCCTCAAAAAAAAAAAAAAAATACACTCACTGAGAGGGAAACACCAGCTGGTGCACGCGGCCGCTTTGTGTGCCCGGGGCTGCCCCTTTCTCTCCGCATCCCAGTTCTCCTCGCCATAGTGCAACCTTGTTCTGCCTGCTGTTTTCGGATCATCGTCTTTGTCATCGTAAATGTTCGGCACAAATTAGGCAAGAAACAGTACTGTGGAGATAAAATAAGAGTGGTCACGGAATCCTCTTCTTCAGATGATTTTCTTTCCTCTGGCTCTGCAGAGGCCTCATGATGATGCCCCTGAGAGAGCGGGTCCAGGAGCAGCAAACCACACACGTGCCAGTGACTTTGAGGCAGGCGGATGGTGACAGTTCTGGAAGTCAGCCATGGCTGTTACATCTGCGAGATGTTTTCCTGTTAACCAAATGGATGGGGCAGGTTCATCCTCTTATGTTTTATTTTCATAAATATCTTCCAAATGACCTCATTAGCTTAAGTAACGAAAAAGCAAATTCCAGTAAACAGCTGCATGCATGTTGATGGATGATGTGTTTGGAAAGTAGGTATCCTTCTTTTGTTTCTCTTTGACGCACCCGTGAGCACTGAGGAAGAGGTGGGGTTGCTGCACACATGGATCCTTTTTGCCAGTGGGAGGCATCGCCATCACCTGGGGTGCAGGGATGTGTCGTGTCTCACAGGGACACCCTAAGTGGACACAGCTGAGATCCTTCTCTTTCATGGACCACAGAGGTTTAATTGCATCACAAACATCTGAGGAACACCCCTGCCAGGCCCATGCTTGTTCAGGGACTGGGCAGCCCACGTCATTCTGAGGAATGCCCTTTGCTGCCATCCTGGGGTCATCTCCATGCAGCTGTGCATTCTCCGTCACTCCCTCTCTCCAGCCGCTCCCCTTCGTGGCCATCCCTCCTCATTGATAAACGAGGAGAATGTACTGCTGTGTTTTCAGGGGCTCTCCACAAACAGCCAGAGGTATACCAGGTATACCTGTGATGAGGTAAGACCATCCTCAGCAGACAGAAGAGAAAGATTAGGGCCCCCTGAATAATCCTTCTATGTCAGTCCTGGACGAAACAGCAAGCTGTTACTGATTGAGGGTTGTAGGCTTCCATCCGCCTCATTTGATGCCCGTGGTGTTGATGCAGAGTGCTGGGTGCTTTAGAGCTAAGACAGACCTGTGCAGTCATCGTGCGTTGATAAAGCCTGTAGTGAGAGGGCTTCAAAATCACACCCTTTGAAATATCAACTTAGTGTATCAGTGGCTTTTACTGAGCTTTGAATAACCCATAACTTGTATAATTTTTCATAATGGGTTAAAAAGATGTTAACATGTTCCTTGAAGAAAATGTGAAACACAGATAAGCAGAAAAGGAAGATCAAAGGCCAAAACATTCCCGCTGCCCGGCACAAATGACCACTGGTAAGTTTCGGGGCTGCCTTTTCTATCTTCCACATTTACATCTTGTTTTTTAAAACTTAATGTAGCATAAACCTATTTCTGTGTTAAGAAGTATTAACCTATAGCATTTTGATGGCTTCATATATTCTACCATGTGGCTATTTCTCTCTCTGTCTATAATAAACTATTTTTCAGGACAGTTTTAGATTTACTAAAATAACTGAAGGTAGAACAGAGAGTTCTCATATCTTCACATCCAGTTTCCCAATTAACTTCCTACATTAGTACACAGTTTGTCATAATTAAGGAACCAATGACTGTTATGTGACTGTTAACTAAATTCCCTACTTTATTTAGATTTCCTTAGTTTTCACCTAATGAAGTTTCTCTGTCCCAGGATCTCATCCAGGATTCTACCATACATTTCGTGGTCGTGTCTCCTGGGGTCCTCTTGGCTATCACATTTTCTCAGACTTTCCTTGGCTTTGAGGACCCTGACAGTTTTGAGGAGGCCTGGTCAGTCTGTAGAATGTCCCCTGGCCTGGATTTGTCTGATGTGTTTGAGTTCTGGGGAGGAAGATTGGGGTGAAGTGCCTTCTCATCACATCAGATCAAAGCCACACACTCAGTGTGCGCCATCATGGTGGATACCAACTGTGCTCAGTGGCTTGGTGGGGAGGGTTGCGGCTTCTCCCCCTCACCCCGCTTCCCTCTTTCCCTGCTGCACTCTCTGAGGGAAGGCACAGTGTAAACCCACACTCGTGAGTGACGCGTCATGCTCTGCTTCCTTGAAGGCAGAGGATAGACAGAAATTGTTTGGAATTCTGCACAGGAGATTTGTCTCTTTCTTCCCATTTATTTATTCAACACTTTATGTTATATTTTGGGCTATAACATAACACTTTTCATTTTGTTTGCTCACATTGTTCCAGCTTCGGCTGCCGGCAGCCCGTTCCGTGGCCTCACACAAACTGTCCCTTTGAATACGTCCATCTTTATGGCTTTTTGAAAACACTTCCTTCCTTTCTGACACTACAAGAGGCTTTAGGCTCATCTTGTGTATTTCCTGTCTCAGTCTTAGAATTAGCCATTTCTCCAAGCAGTCCCAGTCCCTTCTATCTGAGAATGGTTTTGGAAATCAAGTGCTGGGCGTGGTGTGTGCTCATTACTGCGGGGATGTCCTTGCCTGTAGGACATGTCAGCTGACGGAGCGAGAAGATGTGTGTGTGTGTGTGTGACTATGCATGTGTGTGAGTGTGTGCATGTGGGTGTGACTGTGAGATCTAGGAATATACACATATTTATAAATATTTCTGTTACCATCTGTATCTATACCAAGCTAACCATGAGCTCTTATTCACGTCTCCAACTCCAGGCTCTTACCATGTGGATTATTCCAGACGCTGCCTCCTGCTTACCTGTAACCTCCACTCCAATAGGGAGAACTTCCTCCTGCCACCTGCCAGCTGTTAACCTCATTGTTCACTTTGCATGCATGTGTGGTAGAGTCAGAATTGCTAGCTGGTACCTCTTGGGAAACAAGTTTATCAGCTAGAGCACAGTGCTTATAGACAGGATCTTTTCCTTTCAGTTTTACAGGCTCTGCTCGTTTCCAGAGCTATGTAGGTCAGCACTTTTTCTCCTGCCCCGTTGGTGTCAGTGGCTTCACACATCTGTGATGCTGCAGGATTCTGTCATCACCGTCTGCATGGCATTCTGTCCCGGGATCTGAAGCATCCTTGATTTTTTTTGTTAAACTTGCATAAATTAAGGCTCCTCTTTGTGCTGTGAAGTTCAGTGGGCTTTGATAAATGCATGTCATTTATCCACAGTTACAGTAACATAGAAATAGCCTCACTGCCCTAAAAAAATCATCTATTTCACATACTCACATCTCCCTTCCTCTCCCGGAATCCTTGACAACCACTGATCTTTTAAATGTCTCTATAGTTTTGCCTTTTCCAGGATTTTCAGACTGGCTGCTTTCACTTAGCAATGTGCATGTGGGAACCCTGGCTCTTTCCGGCCTCTGTGAGAACAACCCGTTTGTACCCAAGGAGCTGTGAGCATGCTGCCTCCCACCGTGTCTTGCACTGGTGCCCAGGGGTGTGCGGGGACATGACGCTTAGCCGGAAACATGGGTGAAGCTGATGTGTGCGATTGTGTGAGAGGCAAAGCTGTGCGGCCAGGGTTGCCTGGAGAAGTTTCCATTTTCCAAGCAAGGCACAGAGCATGTCTACAGAGACAGGTATGGGAGGGATGGCACCAGCCTGTGTGGATGGCCTCCTTTTTCGTGTTGGGACCCTTGTTCTTTGTTCTACAAGATGTGGATGGTTTAGGAGAACTAGGAGGAAAAAGCCCCTCTGTGAGCCGTGGGTTCTCCCTTCCAAGTTCTGCACAGGTTGATGTGATGTGCACGTTCGCATTTCCATAGTCTCTGTCCGATCCACTTAATAACATCACAAACCACACTGCTCTTTAGGTCTTGGCCCAGGACCCAGGATAGGGGGTAAAACTTGAAGTGCAAATAGCATTGCGTAGCCATCCTGACCACACCAGCGCATCCAGCTGCCTCTCGACATTTTGAGGTGAGGAGGGAAAGGAAAAGGTAAGAGCATGAAGGGTAGACACGGAGGAGGTTTCACTGCCATCTTATCTCAGAGGTGCAGGGTCAAAGGTGCCAGAAAATTTCATCTGGCATTTCTTGCCGTCAACTCCTGACCAACTGTTTTCAATATTTTAACTTGAGAAAAACAAATTCAAATCACCTATTGATGATAGTTCTATTACTCAAGGAAGGTTCTTTGCCAACCCCATGTGACCTCACATGGGTGGCAGGAATCCCCTGTGGGAGGCTGGGAAGGTACATTCCTTGGGCCTCCTCGACGACAGCCCTCCCACTGCTGGGAACTCGACACATGTCGTTTCCCAGCAAGCGGCCCTGAGAAGAATGTGATCCTGCAAAACGCCCTCAGTGTCCTGTCGGCTTATTCTTTACATTCACATCCGACCTGTCGGCTTATTCTTTACATTCACATCCGACCTACTCATAGTTTTCTCTTTCTCTTCTTTTCCTCAGTTTTTAAAGAACATGGCTGTTTCTCTTACATGGAATTACAGTATTTTTTATCAAATAGGAGAATTTCTGATATCTGTGAATTATTTTGTGATTACAATATGAAAATAAAAGAGAACAGGGTTAGGAATAGAAGAGGGAGTTCAAAAGGATGCAAAGAAGGGTAGAATCTTTTTAAGAAATGAAATCTTGGAAAAGATAAAAACTGAAGAGAGTGAGATGGTCTTAGCCTGGACTCTGGGTGAGAGAGAGAGAGAGAGAGAGAGAGAGAGAGAGAGTAAACACACACACTTAGTGTGAATGAGGTTTTTGTGGGGTGCGAATTTGAGAAAGCGTCATTAATTCACTCATTTCTTTAGCAGCTGTCTATGAGCACCTGGTGTGGGTGCCGTGGGCTGAGTTGGTGAAATGTTTCCTCGGAGCACCCTGGGCTTCTAAGTTGTTCTGTCATTGGGGCTCCCCCAGAACCCAAGAGGGAGAAGCCGAGGATGCCAAGTTGTAACATTGAAACTATGTTAAATATTCCCTGATAGAACCGGGCCCAGCTAAATGTGTCCCCGCACACCAGGAAACAGGTTTAGGGGTGTGGCCTTGAAATCTGGAAAGTACAGGCTCTGAGGTGTCTCTCTCAGGGTGTCTCCACTGATCCAAGATCTGCGAACACTGTCTCCTTAGCAGCTCTGGGGAATGGGCAGCTTGGTTGTGTGTGCCTGTTCTTCTCTGCCGAGAGAATGGCTTTTTAAGGCTTGACTTGTGTCTCGTCCTCTATCTTCGTGCTCCCCTCATAGCCTGGCCTCAAGTGTACATTTGAGGGCCATGAACATCCTTGAGTTGGTGCTTGCCGGGTGGAATGACTATCTAAGATGCACCAAATCACTTACAGCCCTCTCGGCCATGGAACAGAGCACTGCAAGTCACCATCCTCTGTGTGCATGCCAGCCCTCCACTGCCACTCTGCCCGTGTGGCCTCAGGCCTGGGCAAAGGACAGGCCCTGCTCCCCTGGGCCACCTGCCTGTGGGCGCTGACAGACGTGTGGTCTCTTCTGCTAGTGTGTTGTCAGTAGAGCCCATGACAGAGATGGAAATGAGGCTGGGGGATCCCGGAACAAAGCAGATGGGCTTTGGGGTGACTACGCATCTGTGCTATTCTGATTTTGGCTGCTAAGCTCTGGTTCTGTGTCACCTTGATCTTTAACTTGGGTTTCTAGAAAGAAGAGATGAGGACTGGACACCAAGTCCCAGTGTGGCCTGAATGGCAGACTTGATGCCAGGATGCTGAGCTCTTTCCTGCAGGGTGGGTGCATGGCTTGGAGAGGCCTTTAGATGTGCTGCCTGAGACAGCCCCGCTGGCCCTGACTGCAGGGTGGAGGGGTCTCCGGCTCCAGCCCCGATTGCACGTTAGGGATCAGGGAGCACTATTCATTCTTCCGATGCTGTGACTGACGGGCCGGCAAGGAAAGGAAGTGGATGGTGCATTTGCTGCCGCCTTTGAGCAAGGACCCTGTGAGCTGCAGCCTGTCCACTGGTCCCGCCTGCTGGGTGGAGGCTGCGTGGAGGCTGTGTGTGGCGCCTCTCTCTTCAACAGAAGCTCATCCTTCTGCTCTCTCTCTCCCTCTCCCCTCCCAGTCCCCATCTTCTTCCTCCCCTTCTTATCTTTAGAAACCACCCACCTCCACCCGCATCAGCTTCCACCTCTGAAGAGATCTTGCAATCCGACCCCTTGTGAGCTCAGCTTCCTGCGTGCTGAGGCCCCCTCCTGAGCATCCCACGTTGCCCTGACACCCACAGGAGCAGAGCCACTTCCGCACCTGCTCCGAGCGTCCCACGTTGCCCCGACACCCACAGGAGCGGAGCCACTTCCGCACCTGCTCCGAGCGTCCCACGTTGCCCCGACACCCACAGGAGCAGAGCCACTTCCGCACCTGCTCCGAGCGTCCCACGTTGCCCCGACACCCACAGGAGCAGAGCCACTTCCGCACCTGCTCCGAGCGTCCCACGTTGCCCCGACACCCACAGGAGCAGAGCCACTTCCGCACCTGCTCCGAGCGTCCCACGTTGCCCCGACACCCACAGGAGCGGAGCCACTTCCGCACCTGCTCCGAGCGTCCCACGTTGCCCCGACACCCACAGGAGCGGAGCCACTTCCGCACCTGCTCCTCTCCAGCTCCCCACAGGCTGCCTTCACCACACCCCTGGAGCTGGGTAGCTCCTGTGTTCTTTCAGTTGCTGAGTCACGGCCACACCCTCGTCCTGACCCTGACTTCCCCTGTTCCTCCTCTGTCATCCTGGCCCTGATGATCCATGCATCCTCCTCACTCCTGACTCTCCTTGTTCTAATCAGCTTGGACAGGTGCCACATACACCTTCTCAGATGTCCCCTCACTGCTCAGCAGCCTGTGGAAGCCCCCGCTGACTGGTTCAATTCATAGTCCTGCCGACCATCGAAAGCTTTCGGATGACCACAGTGTCATCTCCTGCCCCCTGCCCAGCGTGGGGCTGTCCCCTGGACGGTCCTCACTGACCTCCATGCCTGTGGTCTCCTGCCGCCTGCCCACCTGCCTTCTGCCCACCGTGGGGCTGTCCCTTGGATGGTCCTCACTGACCTCCGTGTATGTGATTTCCTGCCCAGAGCAGGGCTGTCCCCTGGATGTTCCTCACTGACCTTCGTAACACTGTAGCGCTGTCCCCTGGACGGTCCTCACTGACCTCTGTGTATGCAATTTCCTGCCTAGCACGGGGCTGTTCCCCGGATGGTCCTCACTGACCTCCATGTGTGTGATTTCCTGCCCAGCGCAGGGCTGTCCCCTGGATGGTCCTCACTGATCTTCATGTGTGCAGTCTCCTGCACACTGCAGCGCTATCCCCTGGGCAGTCCTCACTGACCTCCGTGCATGCGGTCTCCTGTCCACTGCCTGTTGCAGAGGCTGTTCCCTGGATGGTCCTCACTGACCTCTGTGTGTGCAATTTCCTGCCTAGCATGGGGCTGTCCCCTGGATATTCCTCACTCACCTTCATGTGTGTGATTTCCCGCCCAGCGCAGGGCTGTCCCCTGGATGTTCCTCACTGACCTTCATGTGTGTGATTTCCTGCCCAGAGCAGGGCTGTCCCCTGGATGTTCCTCACTGACCTTCGTGTGTGCAATTTCCTGCCTAGCACGGGGCTGTCCCCTGGATATTCCTCACTCACCTTCATGTGTGTGATTTCCCGCCCAGCGCAGGGCTGTCCCCTGGATGTTCCTCACTGACCTTCATGTGTGTGATTTCCTGCCCAGCACAGGGCTGTCCCCTGGATGGTCCTCACTGACCTCTGTTTGTGCAATTTCCTGCCTAGTGCGGGGCTGTCCCCTGGATGGTCCTCACTGACCTCCATGTGTGTGATTTCCTGCCCAGCGCAGGGCTATCCCCTGGATGGTCCTCACTGACCTTCTTGTGTGCAGTCTCCTGCACACTGCAGCGCTATCCCCTGGACAGTCCTCACTGACCTCTCTGTGTGCAATTTCCTGCCTAGTGCAGGGCTGTCCCCTGGACGGTCCTCACTGACATCCATGTGTGCAGTCCTTGCCCCACATCCAAGCCCTGGGTCCTGAGAGATCCTCATGGATGCCTGTTCTGACCCATAGCTTACCCACCCCTCTCCCTGCCTCTCCACCCTTCAAACCTAGCTCAGAGCCCATTCCCCCCAGTAACCTCCTGATGTTCCTCAGCTGACCATGCTGGGGCCTCTCTAGTCAGGTTGGAATCCCTGGTATTGGCCAGCCATCAAACCACCCCGAACCAGAGCGGTGTCCTTCATGATTGGTTGTGGCTGCTCCGGGCTGGGCTGGCCCTAGTGTCTCTGCCCATGCACCTGCCATCCTGCTCTTGCAACCATCGGGCTGGCCCAGGTGTGTCCTTCCTATGGCGATGGCGGAGGGGCGGGGGAGTGAGGAGACACCCAGGCCTTCGGAGGCCCCCGGCATCCGCCTTGTCATGTCACAGCTAGCCAGTGGCCAAGCCTGGGTGGAGGTGGGGTTGGGGGAGGATCGGGGCCCTTCCTGCCAGTAGCCACACTCCTCCGTGGCTGTCACCATCATCACACCACTGCCTTGGTGGCCAAAAGTCCACTGTTCATGGGGCTCCTGTAGACCCCGGGCCTGTAGGGCTCCCATTCAAGGAGAAGACGGATGTTAAGCAAAATAAATGAAGTGTGGGTATTAGATGCAGTAGGTGCTAGGCGGGAGGTGGCCTGGGTGGGTTCCTCTCCCGTGTGCTTGGCTCAGGAAGCCTCTGAAGTGCTTTGCTCTGCACAATTGCCACCACACCTGTGTGGCCGGTGTCACTTAGTCATTCTACTGAAGGAGGACAAAGCTGGGCTCAAACTCAGGTTCAATCCTCAGCCTCACTGTGGAGCCCGCAGCCTTGGCCATGTTCTTCATGATTGCTGCCAGTGGCAGCCCCACCTGAGTCTGGCACCTCCGGGGAGAGGGGACTTCCTTGTGTGTGTCTCACTTTCCTGTGTTCTCCTAATGGCCCGCCTGTTCCACTGGGGTTGTCCGACGCCGAAGCCTCCCATGGAGCCTCTGCTTTCTCTGTGCTTCCCCACAGAACTCGCCCTCTCCCAGCTGCACAGTGTCTCAGCACCGGCCTTGTGTGCCCTGTACCAGAGCACGTCCCAAGCCCTCTGGAAATTCCAGCTCTTTGCCCTCCTCACCCTCTGCAGCCCTGAGGTGGCCCCTCGGCCATCACATGTGAGGACGCGCGGTGGGCTCTGTGCTTCCTGCTGTACCCGGTGCAGCGTCTGACCCACTGTAGCTGCCAGGTGGTACTCAGTGTGTTGTTAACAGCCACCACTTGGGATTACTGGATGCCTGCTTATGGCAGGCACTATTTGGGCTCATGTTATTTAGCACCACATTGAACCCCTTAAGGACGCAGGGCATGGTGATGGCATACACGTGTACGGTGGAAGAATCAGGGTTCCAGGAGTGAGGCGCGTGCTCAGGTCACCCCACCCCCCTCCCACCCCGGCTCCTCCGTTCCCTCCTACTTCACACTCCTTTTCTTCCTCTTCCTCTCCCCATTCCCTCTTCTCACTGTCCAGGGCAGAATGAAGTCCTCTAAACCAAAAGGCAGAGGCAGAAATACATGCTTTCAAATTAAATGTGCCTTTGTGTTACAGCTCAGGATTTTAAAACTATTGTTATTTAACCTTAGGAGCCTGTTGACAGCCCTGCATTAATTTTTCTCTGGTAGTGAACGGGGGACTTGGACACCACACAGGTGTTCCATTGTGCATGATTAGATGTCACCTTTGTAGAGAAGGAATGGCCTGGGAACCAGCCAACAGAGAGAATTCTGCACGCTCATGGAGCACACACAGCTGCACATGGAACGAAAAGCTTTTACTCCGTCTTGGTGGTTCTGGAGGTGGCAGCAAATCGCATCAGCAGGTCCCAAAGCATGGCCTTGCCTGGAGGCTTCATTTTGCCAGAAGTGTCCCATGGGTTTATATTATTTTATTTCATTTATGCATTTTTTTGACTAACAGTGGTTCAGACTTATGCCTCAGTGATATAGTGGGAAAAAAGAGGCAGGTCCCTGAGTGATTTATGATGCGATGATAATCCTACCTGCATCAGAGTTCATGTTTTAACTTTTGTTAGAGCCTTGGATTTTCCCGGCAACCCTATAGGGTGAGGAGGGGAACATAGTTTGCATTTTAACAAATTAAGAAGCTGAGGTTTCAAGGTTCACTCATATTCTGTTGGTGACAGGGCAATTTGGCAAGATATTTTGAAAGTCTTACATATATACCTTTAAAATATCTAGAATTCTTTTTATGGGAATGTATCCTAAGAGGAAAAAATCAGAGATCTCTCCAAGGACTTACAATCAAGATTGCGTATTGCAGTATTATTTTTAATGGGAAATATTGGAAACAATGTAAAGTTTCTTCAAGAGGGAATTGGTTAGCTAGATGATGTGCATGTGTAGAAATAGTTATTAAGCAGTGATTAAAATTCATGATGAGAAATACTAAGGACAGGGAATTGTTCACAATGTGTTATAAGTAAAAAGTGCAGGTTATAAAGTTGTGTGTACACAACAGCAGAGACATGGAACCAACCTAAATGCCCATCAGTGAGGGACTGGATAAAGAAAGTGTGGTACATACGTACACACCATGGACTACTATGCAGCCGTAGAAAAGAGTGAGATCATGTCCTTTGCAGGGACATGGATGGAGCGGGAAGCTGTTATCCTCGGCAAACTAACACAGGAACAGAAAACCAAACACTGCATGTTCTCACTTATAAGTGGGAGCTGAATGACGGGAGCACATGGACACATGGGGGGGGAACGACACAGACTGGGCACCTGTTGTGGGGGTGGGCAGGGAGAGCACAGGAATAATTGCTAATGGACGCTGGCCTAAATACCCAGGTGAGGGGATGCTCTGTGCAGGAAACCACCATGGCACACACTTACCTATGTGACAAACCTGCACATCCTGGACATGGACCCCAGGATGTATAAGTTGGACAAAAATTAAAGGTGTGTGTACAGTATGACCCCAGGTCTTTCATATATGCAAAGAAAAGTAGCTGAAAACCAAAATATTAACAAGGAATTTATCTCTAGGTAATGAGTTAACTGGTATTGTATTATTCTTTGAGATTTTCTGCATTTTCTTAATTTTCTAGGCTTTTATGATATAAAACAATTCCCAATAATTTTTTTTCCATTTTTTTTTTTTTGAGACAGTCTCACTCTTGTCCCCCAGGCTGGAGTGTGGCTCACTGCAACCTCCGACTCCCGGGTTCAAGCGATTCTCCTGCCTTGGCCCCCCAAGTAGCTGGGATTATAGGCACACACCACCACGCCTGGCTAATTTTTGTATTTTTAGTAGAGACAGGGTTTCTCCACGTTGGCCAGGCTGGTCTACAACTCCTGCCCTCAAATGATCTGCCTGCCTCGGCCTCCCAAAGTGCTGGGATTACAGGCGTGAGCCACCGTGGCTGGCCAGTTCCCAATAATGTTTCAAGTGAACAGGTGCAGACAGAGTGAGTGATTTGTCCATGGTAACATGACTAATATCTGTAACTTTTTGTTCGTAACCAGGAGCTCTTTCCATTCTCTCAGTAGAATCATCAGTGTTCGGTACTGTTACTTCCAAGTCCTCCATTCTTGTGGTGCCGGCTCTGCCTCTTCAGAGATGTGCAATGAACGGATGCTTCCAGTTTGGGAAACCTGGTGGGGAGACAGGCCGGGGGAGGAAGGGGTGCCATCCTTCCATCCACCTCTTCTGCTTTCTTTTTTCCTACTTGTTTCAGTGAGTCAGATGAAGACATCAAGGACCTGTTGATTAAACCTGCACATGGTACACAGCTGTGAGGGTAGAGAGAAGCTGGTATTGTGACATTAGAGTCCAGAAAGGTTTAGACTGGGTATCTGAGTCAAATGTGAGTTTGGAATTACACATGGATGAGAAGAGAGTCCCATCCTGGAGTCAAGGGGCCAGTGGTGAAAGTCATATGGACACAGTGGCTGATGGACACAGTAGTTGATGGACACAGTGGCTGATGGACACAGTAGTTGATGGACACAGTGGCTTATGGACACAGTGGCTGATGGACACAGTAGTTGATGGACACAGTGGCTGATGGACACAGTAGTTGATGGACACAGTGGCTGATGGACACAGTAGTTGATGGACACAGTAGTTGATGGACACAGTGGCTGATGGACACAGTGGCTGATGGACACAGTGGCTGATGGACACAGTAGTTGATGGACACAGTGGCTGATGGACACAGTAGTTGATGGACACAGTGGCTGATGGACACAGTGGCTGATGGACACAGTAGTTGATGGACACAGTGGCTGATGGACACAGTGGCTGATGGACACAGTAGTTGATGGACACAGTAGTTGATGGACACAGTGGCTGATGGACACAGTAGTTGATGGACACAGTGGCTGGGGGTGAGGGAAAAGTGGCTCAGCGTGAATTTGACAAGAAAAGAATCTATTTTCTATTGTAAAATCAGGCTGTGGAATCAACAGCGTGGTGTGTGGTGACGTCCAGGTTTGGGTGTGTCCACCTAGCCTCGCTGTGTGAACTGGGGGATGTGAGACCACTTGACACAGCCTTTTCCGTGCTCCAGGGGACTCGGCAAGTGCAGCCGGGAGGAAGGCGTCCCGAGGAGCAGGGGTGGGGCTGGTGGCCATGGACCCCTGAGGGGTGGCTGTGTCCAGGGCTGGTCCAGATGTGATGGTGCTGTGTGGTTGTGACAGTGTTCTGGTGGGCACCTGTCTTGTTTCCTGCCCATTTCTCCAAGTCAGTTTTCTAACCTTCTTTTGATCTTGTGAAGAACCTGATCTCCTTCTAATAAATCAAGAGTTGGCTAAGTTTTTTTGTAAAAATTGTTTCCTTTCAGGCCAGTCTCTGTCACAACTATTGAATTATTATAGGACAAAAGTGGCCATAGGCAATCTGTAAGCAAGTGGGCGTGGCTGTGTTTCCATAAAACTTTATTAATACAGAAACATATGGCAGTGGCAGACCATGGTTTGCCTACCCCAGAGCAAGCCAGTTCTTCTTGTGCTTGAAGCTGCTGAGATCAATTTCTCTCACTTTTCTCCCGGCCCTGGGATGGAATCAAGCTCTAGGGAGAGGAGCAGAGAGTCGGAACGAGGAGAGGATGGTGCGTTTTACTCCGTGACGGCTTTATCACTCCTGAGGCTTTGTGTTCAGTGCTGACACTCGCCTCACCTTAAGGCAGTTCGGACATCGCAGGCATCCGCAGAGCTAGGAGGATGGTGACGCGGTTAGAAGCCACGATGTGAGCTGGGCGCGGTGCTGGTGGCTCAGGCTGTCTCACTTTCAGGGGTAGAACTTGACTCTATGACACTAAGTAGATCGATAATGAAAGCTCCAGGCGGGTCAACATATCCTCAATAAATAAAACTTCAAAAAATCCAGGGCTGCCGAAACACGCGTTGGCCTCCTTGGTGACTTTTCTGCCTGGCTACACAGAAAAGGCCGCTGTGACAGCGCCTTTGGTGGTCTCTGACTCCAACACAGGGTGGCCGGGGCTCTGGCACTGCCCCTCCCTCTGCTGTGCTGTCTGGAGGCAGGAGGTCCCCCCCTGCGACTGCTGACAGAGCTGTCTTCTTGGATCTGCCTCCCAGACTGGGGACAGGGTTGGAAGATTCACAAGAAGGCAGCCTCAGCCTCAGCCTGGCGTTGTGTCGGGGATGGGAACAGGGCTTCCCAGCAGAAGGCAGGCTGTTCTCCCGTTCAGGATTGGCCCATTGATCACGTCCTGGGTGCAGGAATGCGAGCACTGGGGCCTCCTGAACTGGGGCGCTCCATCTGCTGAAATCGGGGGGTACAGAGGCTCTGAGACCCTTGGAGTCCCTGGGCAGTGCTCTGTTTGCTTGGCTGTAGCCCCGGGCGGGGAGAGGGTCTGAGGATAACTTAAAACACAAGAGATGATAAAACTCATCTTTCCTTCCAGGAAGGAGTGATGATTTCCCCTCTGCGGCTCCGCAAGTGGGTTGTTGCTGCTTTGCCTGGGAAGGCACGAAAATGTCATAGTTAAAAAAGCTTTAACATAATGAAAATAGAAAAGCACCAGACTTCATAAAGCTGATAACATTCCCATTACCGGAAGGGCGCCCTGAGTGCTCCGAGCCTCACACATTTGGACTCCGAGCGGGAGGCGGGAAGCCGCAGAGCCCAGCTCCCAGCGGACGTGGCCCGGAGCCTGTCACACCCTCGCGTGTGCAAGCCGCTTGCCTGACCCGCCGCGTGAGGAGCGCGGCCCAGCAGCACCGGCCTTGCCTGGGAACTGGTTAGATATGCAGGTTCTCTGGCCTGCTCCGGACGCATTAGGTCAGAAACTCGGGGACTGGGCCCCGCAGCTTTGTTCTAACAGGCCCTGCAGGGGCTTAAGAGCGAAAACCGTTGGGCTGGATGGCGTTTAACAGCCCTGGTCACGTCTTTCAACTTCAGTTCTGTTGTCTGGTTTGCTGCGCCCCAGTGAGAGGCAGCGGGTGGACGTTTTTGTGGCTGGGGCGTTTGGCAGCGTCTGCAGGATCCTTCCTGGGAAGCCAGCGTGGCCCTTTGGAATAGTGAAGGTTCGGAGTTCCACAGAGAAGAGTGTGTGAAACTTCAACTCACATTTTTCAAATGTTTTTGAGCCCAAGCCTGGTTTTGTTAACGACCCACAGCACCTGTGCCCTCCAGAGCTGCCACCAGCTGAGACTTGCTAATTCCCTGGGGGACTTTTACAGAGTTTTAAGTAGTTTTTCTTCTTTGTTCTGTGTCAATTAACCTGTATCTACAGTGGACGGTAGTAATTCCCAGCACACTGGAAATGTAGCGAGCTCAAGAGGAAGATAAAAAGAAATTATTTTTCAAATTCACCTCAGACTATCCTCCTAAAGTGTCAGTCCCATCCTCTGATAAGGTCTCACGTGGCATATCCAGTTGCCTGTAGCAAATATCAGGGTTAAAAGGGGAAACTGTAGTAACAATTGGATCTAATTTGTCTTTTCATTATTGTAAGTGCAGATTCCTCTCACCCACAATGCGAGTGGTGTTTGTGGACAGGTGTCTAAAGGAGCAGAAGGCAATATTCTTTCCTATCTCATCACTTAAAAATAAAGTTTTCAAAATAAACCTTTTTTTTTTTTTTTTTTAGCTCAAGTGTAAGAGTTCTAATCATCAGGGCCAGGAAGCAGTTTTTGTCTTTTAAATCTTAATTAAATTACAATGTATATTTAAATATACATCCAGTCTTAAAACTGAACCTAATACATTTGTAAAAATTAGTTGATGTATGATTTTCCCCACATAATTAATTTAAAATTATACACACACACACACACATACACACACTGGAGGGTGTGTGTATATATATATATACACACACACACACACACACACATACACACATATATTTGAGATGGAGTCTTGCTCCGTCACCCAGGCTGGAGTGCAGTGGCACATTCTTGGCTCACTGAAACCTCCACCTCCCAGGTTCAAGTGATTCTCCTGCTTCAGCCTCCCAAGTAGCTGGGATTATAGGCATGCACCACCATGCCCAGCTAATTTTGTATTTTTTAGTAGAGACTAAACACCATGTTGGCCAAGCTGGTCTTGAACTCCTGACCTCTAGGCCTCCCAGTGTGTTGGGATTATAGACGTGAGCCACTGGGCCTGGCCTAAAATAATTTGTATAAGGCCAATCATTTGTTATCCGGGTGATGAAGAATTTGGATCCAGAAAACAAATTGTAAAGAGTTTGTTAAATTTACTTTTAACAATTTTTATAATGTGCTGACCCAAGTTTTCAATTTACGGATGATTTCTACATGTGATGCCCTTGCTTCTCAGTGTGGTGGGCAGCCCAGCGGACGAGTCACCAGGGAGTGCTTTGGAAATGCTGAATCTTTGGCTCCGTCCCAGGCCCAGGGAATAGAAATACTCATTTAACAGGGCCCAGCTGGTTCACATGCACATCAAAGTGTGGGAGAGGCTGTTTCCATGATGATGATGATGATGATAATGATGATATAACTCACATTTCCTAAGGGGGTCTTGAGATGATAAGGTCTTTTTGTTAGAGGGCTTTGGTGCTTTAACAATGACTGAGAAACTATGAACTGGATTTTTCCTCTTTCATCAGAGACTACAACTAAGTCAGCCCAGTACTGCTAAAAAGCTTGTTTACCTTTTAAATTATGTGTCTGAAGTACCACATGTCTAAAGTTCACGTTTACAGCAGGGTAGGCTGTGTGGTTCACGTGTGCCATGTCTCAGCAATCCTGAGCAATACATCTACCTTTCTTCACTTTATTCTCACTTTTGGTACTGTTCTTTCATGGGTCATACTATATTTTAATCCAGCACATGAGAGTTACCGGTTGAAGTTCTCTGAGATTAGCTTAACCATTTCATCCCCGGCATAGCCTGGCTACCTGCACCTGCAGTATTTAATGTTCAAGGATTTTCATCAGATACTTTTTCAAAGCTTGTCTTTAACTTTTTATCTGTGAAAGCAAGGTTAGAAATGTTTTCTTAGTCCCGAAGAATGACTCAGCAAACATCCTTCTTTTGAAGGTATTATCCCATTTCAGGAAATCGAGGACAAAAAACCAGAGCCGATTAAAAACCAAGAGCTGATTAAAACCACGTGCCATTTAGAATAAATATAGTTGAGGTTGCTGCTCTTAATGTCTTCAAACGAATGAAGGAGGAATGTGTAGCATGGAGAGCGCGGTTCCCAAAAAGTAACTCCTGGACTTTAAAAATAAAACAAACAATTCTGGTAGGTATCCTGAATTTGGTACAATTTCTTACTCTTAAGAGAGTTTAAATAAATCTGTGCAATTAGGAACCTGAAATAAGGAAATTAATCAAAGTAAGAGGTTTTGTTTTTCCTAAAAATAAATGACAGGACTTGATGGTTGTCCTGGTACCCAGCTCGCTGCCCTTCTTCCAGGGTGGAGTGAGCTGGTTCTTTTTCTGTGGGAAGCTGATTTTGTGAACAGGAGGATCTGAAATCAGGAACTGCCTTAGAATTGTGGCCCCAGCTTCAAACAAGAACTGACTTTACAGAAGCCAAAGACGTGAGGAGGACCTTGGCCATTTCAGCCTCTGCTGAGCACACACATCACCGTTGTGATGGAGCGGACTGACCAGGCGTATGGGGTGGAGGTGAATTGGAGGGGCCTGAGCCCCAAGGATCCACCTTTGCAGTAAGGCACGGTCACTCATCCATGTTTGTGTGTGCCCTCCCAGCTCCTGCTCATGTGTGACATCTGTGCCCGGCAGAACAGGCCCAGCATGGAAGGAGTGTGAGCCTCAGGCCCCTCCTCCCAGCACAGGGGACGGACAGGTGTCCCCGCAGGAACAGGGCCCAGAGGCTGTGCAGGGGGCAGGCCCTCATGCCTGCAGGAGAAACCTTGGCCTGAACTTGCCAGCGGTCAGCTCCCATCGTTCATGGCAATTGAGTGTGCAGCGGCGCAGAGAACATGCCACTTAATAACTGTTTTGGGGTCCTGCCTTGTAGGTCTAAGATCCAGGCCACCGTGCAGTCCTCAGGATGGGGCACCCATCTTCCTGCTCTCTGAGGCATTGAGGCTGAAGTTTCCAGAATCTTCTGGGTGATTATCCCTCCTCCTGCTACCAATTTGGCTGTGGACCCTCCTCTGCGAGGAATGCAGCCATGTGTGTCAACCTCCAGAAATGCCCTGCGCTGAGAGTGTGGCCAAGGCAAGGAAGGGACGGGTCCCCAAAACGCTGGGCTGGGGCTGTGATTGAAAGCCTCAGAATTGGGGAGGACTTACTGGGGGGCTCCATACTCTGGATCGGCAGGTGAAGGGGACTGAGCAACACCCACCCCTACGTGCAGTGGGCAGGGTGGGGCTGGGTCACCTGGCCAAGGTGGGGCTGCATGTCACCCAACGGAGCCCCTTGCTTGGCAGCCCAGGGAAGGGGGAGGGGCGCAGGGAACAAGGAAGGGGCACAGGGAAGGGGGAAGGGGTACAGGGAAGGGGGAGGGGGCTCAGGGAAGGGGAGGGGGCGCAGGGAAGGAGGAGAGGGAGCAGGGAAGGGGGAGGGGGCGCAGGGAAGGGGAGGGGGCGCAGGGAAGGGAGAGGGGGTGCAGGGAAGGGGAGGGGGCACAAGGAAGGGGGAGAGGGCGCAGGGAAGGGGGAGAGGGCGCAGGGAAGGGGGAGGGGGCGCAGGGAAGGGGGAGGGGGCGCAGGGAAGGGAGAGGCTGCAGAGAAGGGGAGGGGGTGCAGGGAAGGGGGATGCTTCAGGGAAGGGGGAGGCCTGCAGGAAAGGGGGAGGGGGCACAGGGAAGGGGAGGGGGTGCAGGGAAGAGCAAGGGGTGCAGGGAAGGGGAGGGGAGGCTGCAGGGAAGGGGGAGGGGGCGTGGGGAAGGGGAGCAGGGAAGGGGAGGGGGGCACAGGGAAGGTGGAGGGGGTGCAAGGAAGGGGAGGGGAGGCTGCAGGGAAGGGGGAGGGGTGCAGGGAAGGGGGAAGGGGGAAGGGGAGCAGGGAAGGGGAGGGCGGCTCAGGGAAGGTGGAGGGGGCGCAGGGAAGGGGAGGGGCGCAGGGAAGGGGGATGCTGCAGGGAAGGGGGAGGCCTGCAGGGAAGGGGAGGGGGCGCAGGGAAGAGGAAGGGGTGCAGGGAAGGGGAGGGGAGGCTGCAGGGAAGGTGGGGCGCAGGGAAGGGGGAAGGGGAGCAGGGAAGGGGAGGGCGGCTCAGGGAAGGTGGAGGGGGCGCAGGGAAGGGGGAGGCTGCAGGGAAGGGGAGGGGGCTCAGAAGGGGGGCGCAGGGAAGGGGGAAGGGGCGTGGGGAAGGGGCGCAGGGAAGGGGGCACAGGGAAGGGGAGGGGCCACAGGAAAGGGGGACGCTGCAGGGAAGGGAGAGGGGGCACAGGGAAGGGGAGGGGGTGCAGGGAAGATGAAGGGGTGCAGGGAAGGGGAGGGAAGGCTGAAGGGAAGGGGGAGGCTGCAGGGAAGGGGGACACTGCAGGGGTTGTCCCCAGACTGGGACTGGGCTTTCAGGGAAGCAGTCAGTCCCTCTCATGTGGAGGTGGGCTGGCTTCCGTCCAGGCCGCTGCCAGGTCCCTTGGTCATAGGCTCTCAGCAGAGGGGCTGAGCGCTGTCTCCTGCTGCCCCCTGCTGCCCCCCAAGCCCTGTCCGCAAGCCACAGTCAGGGATGGGCAATCAGGCCTGGCAGGAGCTGCCAGGGCTGCCTCCCTCTTGTCAGAGACAGATCTGGGAGGAGCCTTCCTCCTCCCTCTCTCCCTCTTCCTTTTGTCTTTGAAATTGCAATCACAGCTTTCATTTGAGCCTTGGGCCACAGAAGCCAGATGCCCTGACCGCAGGGCTGCCTGAGATGAGGGTCTGGGGGTCTCTGTCCTCCCACGCCCAGCCTGGCAGAGGCAGCCCCGCCTCCGGGCTGAGGCGCTTTAATCTCTCACTTTTCAGGCTGATTCCTAGAATAGGGGTTCTTAATGTGGAAATGGCTTTCTATTCCTGCCTGGATGCCGCCCTGGTTTAACACGTTGTTTTCGATCCGATGGAAACATTTAGAAAACCTCAGTGGGGTGTGGGGACTCCTTGGTCCCAAGGGTCTGTGCTGCCAGGAGGGGATGCTGAGATTGGGGGGTAGCTATGGCCCAGGCAATGCCCACCTGCCAGCAGGCAGGCGCTTCACTCTTACCCCCCCTGCAGTGGGCAGGGCGCATCCTCATTTACATCTGAGAATGCAAGGGAGAAGGGAGGCTTTGCCAGGTGCATGGCTTTGTGTTTGCTGCAGAGGAGGTGGGGTTGGAGCCTGGGCACCCTGCTCTCTCTCCAGAATGTTAAAAATGAGGATGATGTTTAAAAAGAGCATCTCTTCAAACACTGCACCTTCCTTTTCTATGATGATGCGTTCGTTCCTAGGAAAAAATGTGATTTAACATAACCCCAGAGCCTCAGGCTGTCGTAAGCCCTAGCGTTTTCTGCAGGGAGAGGTGGGAAACATGGCTTTGACAGGAATCACATCTGGGATGGGCTCTGGCATTGAAACCCACGGTGGTGAGACTGCCACTGCTGCAGGTGACATCTGTCATCAAAGGACCTGCTCCAGGCAGTAGGGACTGGGGTTCCTGGGGTGCTGGCATGGTTTTTTTTAAGGCTGTAGAGGGGGACAGGACAAAGACACAGAGTGACTGACAGTAACAGGGTCGGATTGGGCGTGGAGTCTGTGAGCTCTGAAGAGCGGGGGAGGCTGGCGGGGCCAGGGAGGAAAAGGCTGGGTATAGATTACTTCACTCTGCTTCGTTATATTTTTTAGATGAGGAAATCTGTGTGTGTTCCTTGTACCAAGTGAGTGGTGCTGACACAGGTGAAGCCCCCGCATCCCCTTCTCAGGGGCTGTCCCAGTTCAGGTTCAGCAACTTCCCCAACAGACCTGCATCTCCATGTTTGCACAGCCACGGGGTCCTGGCGTTCCCGTTGCTGTGTGTGTTGGTGCTGTCTGGGAAGATGCTTTCCTGTTTGCAGTTGGATCCCAGGGCCTTGGTCATTCCAGCCTCAAAGCAGGGTCTTCAGTGAGCCCCTCTCAGGAAGGGTGATTAGTGAGTGGCCAGCAGCTCACAGGCTTCTGAGGAGTCCTGTCTGCAGCTTGGAGGCAACAGGTGCCGGTGCTGAGCCTGCTGTCCAGGAACCTCCCCTCCTCCCTCTTTGGTTCCTGCTGTGGGATGCCAGCTCACATCAGCTGGATTTTATGGGCCTCAGTGGAAAGTGTAGCACACATTTCAGAAGGCGTGTGCATCCTGCTGCTGATGACAGCCTTTCTCTGCCCTCATGGCAGTCAGGCGAGAAGCCTGAACCCAGGAAGGGCCTTCCACGGTGGTGGTAGAGACAGGGTTGGGCAGGGGCCATGGATTTTTAGGCCATGTCTGCCTTGGCCACAGCGACGCCCAGAGATGGGAGGAAGCAGAGCAGGTGCATGTGGTACAGGATGTGCCGAGCTTCCTCCCAGCCAGTGAGAGAGGTGGTGGGCTCTGTTCACATTTACTGTATTTCCACAATGAACAACAAACTCTCCATAAACATCTCTTAGGAGTGATTGGGGTAAGAGAGGCAGATCCAGCCTGACTCCTTGCAAAACTGGATCCATTTTCATCTTGAGAAGGGTAAGAAAAAAGGGGCACCACAATGGTGACAAGATACTGCTTAGAGTTCTGAGGACACAGTAGGGAAGCAGAATCAGAACAAGATCAGCATGCATGAGTGTACCCATGTACGTGTGCATACGTGCACCCATGTACGTGCATGCATATGTGTACGTGTCTGCAGGTGTATGCTCACATGTATGAGTGTGTGCATGTGTGTATGCATGCAGGTGTGCGTGTATGTGTGCAGGCATGAGTGTGCCTGTGAATGGGCATGACTGCATGCATGCATGAGTGTACCCATGTACGTGTGTGCATACGTGTACGTGTCTGCAGGTGTATGCTCACATGTATGAGTGTGTGCATGTGTGTATGCATGCAGGTGTGCGTGTGTGTATGTGTGCAGGCATGAGTGTGCCTGTGAATGGGCATGACTGCATGCATGCATGAGTGTACCCATGTACGTGTGTGCATACGTGTACGTGTCTGCAGGTGTATGCTCACATGTATGAGTGTGTGCATGTGTGTATGCATGCAGGTGTGCGTGTGTGTATGTGTGCAGGCATGAGTGTGCCTGTGAATGGGCATGACTGCATGCATGCATGAGTGTACCCATGTACGTGTGTGCATACGTGTACGTGTCTGCAGGTGTATGCTCACATGTATGAGTGTGTGCATGTGTGTATGCATGCAGGTGTGCGTGTGTGTATGTGTGCAGGCATGAGTGTGCCTGTGAATGGGCATGACTGCATGCATGTATGAGTGTGCATGTGTGTATGTATATGTGTGCACATGCTTGTGGGTGCATGTGTGTATATGTGTGCACATGCATTCATGACTGGATGTGCTTGTCTCTGTGCTGAAGCAGGAGGGATACCCTGTGAATACAGAGTGAGGAGGAACCCCTGAGCACCACAGCCCTGCTATAGGGTTCAGCAGAGGAGCAATTTGAGAATTTGGGGAATGTCACATGTTTTCATGCAAAAGGGTGGATAATACATTGAAGTGAAGGAATTCCAGTTTTAAGTGCTGGGCACACAAGGTTAAGGGCCCCACAGGCCGCTGTTGGCTTTCCTTGTGGATTTAGCTTCTTGGCCTCAGAATGACATCTGGACCTTAGTGTATGCAGTCTGTGAGCCGACAGGGTACACAAGTCCAGGATGCCACTTGCCGCCACATGGCGGGTGTGGAGCCCACTCGAGGAAGGCGTGTGCCCGAGGCGCCTGGGCTGGGTTGAACCAGTGTCTGCCAGAGAAAATGTCTTTTCTCTGGATGATTTATGGTCATAATTACTATTAGTAGGTGGCTGATACTTAAAATGAAATTTGCTCTTTCGTAATTTTAGAACAAATAACTTAGCAGTCAAATTAGCATATCCACTGGCTGGGTGAAATATGCATAACATTTGCAGCTCTGGTAATCATGTGAAATGCTGCTGCTGTGTTTGCCTCTCACCAAGGAGTGCTGCAGGTTTTCCACTGTCACTTCTCATCAGTCCTCTGGAGTAACGAATCAGGTTGGGCACATGCCAGTAACAGGTGGTTTTCCAAGGTCAGGATCCAAGAGATCATTTGATGCACATCTCATTCAGATCACATCTAACTGTCAGCCACGATTAAGGCAGAGATGGGAAGAAAACAGGGGCTTTCTTCCCGGTGCCTCTCCTAGCAGAGCTCCGTCATCTGCCATTTCCACGTGACAAACATGGAGTTAGAACGTGAGCTGTGTCTGCAGCATCCCTGCATCTGCCTTCCCCCAAGGTCTCTGTTCCTCCACGCTGGAGATGCACCCTAGAATCCTGAGCAGAGTCCTGCAGCTCCTGCCAGAGCCGGGACCAGGGACGTTCCACGACATCGGACTAACCTCCAGCACATCTCCGGTGTGGTCACATCCTTACTGCTCCCAGCTCCTTCTCTGTGCGCCTCTGTGTGCCTGGGGCGGGAGGGGCCCTCACAGCTGAGGCTCTCCCTCTGGGAGGCAGTGAGGGGAGCCTTGGAGGTCACTGCGTGAGGATCTGAGAGGACCTCTAACCTCCATGCTGACCTTTTCAAGGTCACTGCTTTTGTGGGGAGTGGTGTCTGCCTCTCCTCCTGCTGTTCAAGTGCCAGGTGTGTGTCTCTCAGAACGTTCCCTGCCACGCTCCTGTAGGCCGTTCACCTCCTCTGCCTGGCTCAGACACTTGTTGAATGAAGAAATAATGCAGAGAATGCAGACTGAATGTGGGGTTAGCTGATGGGTAAATGGGATTAAGAAATGAAATGCTGGCCAGGCGCGGTGGCTCACGCCTGTAATCCCAGCACTTTGGGAGGCCGAGGCAGGTGGATCACTTGAGGTCAGGAGTTCGAGACCAGCCTGGCCAACATGGTGAAATCCCGTCTCTACTAAAAATACAAAAATTAGTTGGGTATGCTGGCGCACGCCTGTAGTCCCAGCCACTTGGGAGGCTGAGGCAGGGGGATTGCTTGAACCTGGGAGGCAGAGGTCGCAGTGAGCCAAGATCACTCCATTGCACTCCAGCCTGGGTGATAAGAGCAAGACTCCATCAAAAAAAAAAATCTGTTTTTCATGAGATTGTTATTTCAAAACAAAACAAACAAAAACTCCCCCAAACCAAAAACAATCTCTGCTTGGATTGGAGGCTCCCGTCAATGGGTGGGGTGTCCACCCGCCTGTGACTGCTGGCAGGCGATGGTGGTGGGCACTGGGCTGGGCAGGCACTGGCTGGGCAGGCCAGGGCTGCACCTAGGCCACCTCCTGGGAGGAAGCAGATCCCAGCCAGGGGCCGCCCTGCAACTGTGGAAGGCTCGTGAAGCTGTTGTGAGACGAGCGAGGCTGCCTCCTCCTGTGAACTCCCAGCGTTGGGTCCTGCTAGGCTCTGTGCTGCCTTAGGTCTGGAATGACGTTTAGTTTTAAAGCCTCCGCACGTGCTGGTTTAAGGCAACCAAGGGCTTCCTCTGTAAGGGTTTTAGGCCAGCTCCCTCATGAGGAAGTAGTGACTGGAAACTTTAACGTGACCCTGGGGGTGAATCCCTCAGTAATTCATAACTTTCTCCAGATTCCTCAGTTTCTTTGTTCACCCATTTGCTCCTGGGCACCTGCCCTGTGCCAGACACACAGAGGGCATGGGAGGAAACAGTAGAGGGTGGAAACAGGCGTGTGCCCGGCTCCTGAACTCCAGGAGAGGGAAATACACACTCAATCCACAGTCACTGCACAGTGTGGCGAGTCCCGAAAAGGACGCCTGGGCAGCCCCGGGAGAGTCTGGGGCTTCCACAGGGATCTTAGCGGATGAACAGGCGTTTGTCGGCTGGTGAAGCAGCATTGAAGGCACTGTGCTTTGCAGGAATGAGTGAAAGACACTGCGCGTTCACACCACACCTGGCCTTTGCTGGCGGTGCGACTCCCGCCTAGTGGCCCTGGGGCCCTCCCGGTTCTGGTGTCCAGGGTGCTCACGCCCTCGCGGGAGCCGCTCCCTAGCGGGGTGGTGCTTTCTGGACCCATCTCTCTGTGTTTAAGACAGGCGTGGACGTGGAGCCGAACGCCAACCTTTGCCAGCCTGCTCGGCCGCGGGGGATGCGTGGCTTGGGGTCGCCTGGCCACCCAGGCACCGCGGAGCTTCTGGAGCCCCTTCCTGGGTGGGGACTGAGGCGCTGCCTCTGCCCCGCGTCTCCTCCAGGGCCTGGCCCAGCCGCGCTGGCCTTTCCTGCCCGTCTTCGTCTCTGCTGCCTCCGCTGCCTCCTTTCCTCTCCCGACCCTCTCCTGCGTCTCTTGTCTGTGGCCACGGACGCCACGGTTTGCTTCCCACGCAGCCGGGCTCCCCGCGGAGCTCGTTACCTCCCTGGAAGCCTCCGCTCCCCGGCGCCCGGCAGCCTTGCTTCCAGGGACGCGGTGCGTGCGGTGAGCACCCGGTCCAGGGGAGGCGCCGGGCCCAGGGGAGGCCTCAAGGGGAGGCCCCGGCCCCGCTGCTGCTCCCGCGGCCAGAGAGTCTCCTGTGATGACGCCGGCTTGACCCTCAGCCCAGAGCTGTGGGCCTGGTCCAGGTGAGAGCTGGGCTCCGGGACTAGGCCAGGAGGCCTCGCACGTGGCCGGGTCAGGGGCGCAGCGTTCTGGCTTCAGAATAATCGGCCCCATCTCGGAAAAGCCGGGTCGGAGGAGCCTGCTTGACCGGCGGTTTCTCTGAAATTCACCAGGGGGCCAGGAAGGCAGCCTCGGGGGCACCCCCCTCCTCCCCTCCAGCTGACCGCGTCTCTTCTCTGTTTCCCCGCAGGCTGCCTGCTCGAGGAGGGCCTCTGCGGAGCGTCCGAGGCCTGTGTGAACGGTGAGTGTGGGGTCCTGGCTGCTGCGCCCTGGTCTGCCCCTCTCCTGCCCGCCGTGCGCAGCGCCCAGCCTGGTGAGCCCCGCCGCTGGCCTGGAGCTGGGGCCGCCCGGGGCGCGCTGCCGAGAGGAGGCGGATGGAACCCCGGAGCCATGGGCTGCGGCCTCGGTGGGTGGGGAGAAGAGGTTGCCCGGGTTCTGGGCGCCCATCGCTCGCACCAACCCTTGCTTTCTGATTTTGTTTTGCTCTGTCCTTCGGCAAGTTTTTCATCCTTTTTTAAAAAATTTTTTTGAGACAGAGTCTCGCTCTGTCGCCCAGGCTGGAGGGCAGCGGGGCTATCTCCTCTCACTGCAACCTTCGCCTCCTGGGCTCAAGCGATTCTCCTGCCTCAGCCTCCTGAGTAGCTGGGATTACAGGCGTGCGCCACTGCACCCGGCTAATTTTTTGTATTTTTAGTAGAGACAGGGTTTCACCATGTTGGCCAGGCTGGTCTCGAACTCCTGACTTCAGGTGATCCACCCGCCTCGGCCTCCCAAACTGCTGGGATTACAGGCGTGAGTCACCGCGCCCGGCCAGGTTTTTCGTCCTTTAAGCCACTGATTTTCCTCTCTTATCAGGCGGATAAGAAAACAGTGCAAACGCTGTGTTTTCAGGTTGGGCTGAAAGCCCATGAGGACGGCAGTTATTATGAAATACGGCGAGCAGCGGGTCCTGCAGAGCCCCTTCCCTCCAGCGCGGTCAGGCAGAGGGCATCTCCCAGGGCAGACGCCACCCGGGCCTGTCATGCTGGTGAACTGGGCGCTGTGCGCTCTGAACGCGCAGGGGAGGGTTAAACTCCAGTATCCTCAGAAAAGCGCTGGGCGGAGCCGCCTTTCTCCAAGTCAGGGGCTGCGTGTGGGCCCGGGGCGCACTGAGCGAGGCCTTCTCTTTCCCCAGCTCCCTGCGCATCTGTCCTCAGACTGTGGGCAGGAGCGGATTTAATCCTAGCGAGGATGGCGGGGCCTGCCCAGAGGCCCCTCGCACCCACTAATCTCTGCACAGACGTGGGTGCCGGCGGGGGACTGAGGTGCAGGGCAGGGCGCTGGCCTGGGGTGCCGCCCTCCTGGGGCCTTTCAGGACAGGCCTCCCCTGCACTGGTGCATCCAGGGGGAGCCGAGGTGAATGCCTCTGAGGGTCTGAGAAGCGAAACCGAGGAGCTCGTGCGCCCTGAGGTGGGACCAGCCCTGGGTTCCGGATGGAATTTTGGGGCTGGGGGCACCTCTGTGTCTGTGCCTAGGCAGCTTCTGGGGTCGGGAAGGGAAGCCACGGTGGAGGCGCCAAGAGGAGAGCAGGTCCTCAGCGGCGGCAGCTTCTGCTGTTTTCTCTTCTTTCGGGAGATTCCTGTGCCGAGTGTGACAAGTGGGAACCGGCAGCTCGTGGGGTGCAGTGTGGGTGGTGGGTGAGGTTCTGGCCCAGCCTAGGACCCCCTGGGGCTCCCTGGCATCTACTCCGTGCAGCTTTAATTTGGAGGCAGCCTTAAGAAAAATAGCGATATTGAAAATCCTACGTCGTCTGCCTGGACTCAACAGCTTTTGATGATAATGGAAGCAGGTGTGTGTGTTTAATTTAATTGGAGCCGTAAGTAGCCCCAGCAGAATAAAAGCCGAGGCTGTCTCCCCGGCTCCTTGACAAAGGCCGGCCTGGGTGTCCGACTGTGATCATTCTCAGACATTTTTCTCCTCAACCTTGACTTGCCTCCCAGACATAGAGTCGTCTCAACATCATATCCAGATAATGACTGTGGATTCCTTGGAAAGGAAAAGCAATTTAAATGTAAATACACATATTCAGGCCTTGATTTGTAGAAACAGATGATATTTGATTTTTTTTTTTTATGATGCACTGAAGGTCTAGGAAACAGCGAAGCCAGTGGTGCCCAGTCTTAGAAAACTGCGCTTTGCGAGGCTGACGGGGAGCGATAGGAGAAGTGGTTCCTGTGCTGGCTCAGATTTATGGTTGCCATGGTGACTGGTTTAGCCCGAGGCTGGCGGGCCAGGGGTGCGGCAGCCCAGGGTGCGGTGGGGGGCGGCTGCGAGTCTAGAACATTCTGTCACCAGCCGCAGGGTCTCTTTCTCTCCCTCTGGCTCACTCTCTCTCTTTCCCCCTCTCTTTTCTTAAGGTACGTGTAGGAATATATAATCTTATCAAGCTTGGATATGTTTTTTAAAAGCCCAACAGAGGTTATTAATAAAAAGAAAGTCAAAAGATAAACATACCACCTCACACCCATTAGGATGGCTAGTATTAAAAAACCCCTGAAAATCGGTGTTGGTGAGAATGTGGAGAAATTGAACACTTGTGCGCTGCTGATGGGAATGTAAAATGGCGTCGTTGCTGAGGGAAACAGTATGGTGGTTTCCTAAAAAATTAAAAATAGAGTTTTTAATTTGCCTCAGCAACCCCACTTCTGGGTACGTACCCCATAACACAGGAAGCAGAGACTTGAAGAGCTGTTTGCACACCCATATTCATAGCAGTTAATGCACAACAGCCAAAGGCGAAAGCAGCCCAGTGTCCACTGATGGGCGAATGGACAAGTGAAACGTGGTCCATCCACATGATGGAATAGTACGCAGCCTTGAAGAGGAAGTGAGTGCTGACACTCGCTGAAACATGGGGGGAGCTTGAGGCTGTTATGCTGAGTGAAATAAGCCAGTCACAAAAGGACAAATACTGAATGATTCCACGCATGTGACGTACTAAAGATAGTCAAGTTCATAGAGACAGAAGGTAGAGTGATGGGGCCAGGGGCTGGGGGACAGTTGGGGTGTCAGTGTTTAATTGGTGGAGTTTCAGTTTGGGACGATGGAAGAGTTCTGGGAATAGACGGTGGTGATGACTGATCAACAGTGTGAATGTAATTAACACCACCGAACTGTACACTTAAGAATGGCTAAGATGGTAAATTTTAATGTGACGTATATTTTACCACAATATGCAATTGGAACTATGAAACTGCAGCCTCTGCACATGCTCATTTAACGTAATCGAATGCTTCAGCTGTAAGGGTTTTAGGCCAGCTCCCTCAGGAGGAAGTCGTGATTGGAAACTTTAAAGTGACCCTGGGGGTCAATTCCTTGGTAATTCATAACTCTGGAGTAACTTTGGTTATTATAGAAAAAACTGTAAGGGTTCTGGAAGAGAAAGCTTAAGATAAAGCAATCACATAATCCTGGAACAGCTTGTAGAAAAGAGAGTTTAGATGCTGTTACATGGGCATCCTAAATATGAGGAAAACAGGTTTCAAAGAATTTTTAAAGCGGATTTGATTTCATGGTTGATAACTTTAAATGGGACACATCCAAACACAGGTGGTATGTCCTAAACATTCTAAAGGCATAATAATCAACTACTCCACAATAGAAAAAAGGAAAACAAATCTATGAAGATTAAAATAGATCACGCTTATGTCGGGAAGTGAGCTGGTCGCTTTCACGCCCTGCTGGTGGGAGCATGGCCTGACGTGATCGTGATGGACGCTGACTGGCCAGCACGTTCACGCCACATAAGGGAGGTGGCCCGTGACCCGGCAATCTGATGTGTGAGAATATGCCCCAATAAAATAATCCATTACCCAAAATACTAAAGAAAACTTGAAGCACAAAGCTGCTCTCTGCAGTGGTGTTTGTATTAATTTTAAAACAGTAGACAAATCATTAATATTAAACAAAGGAGAATGCTTCTTTAAAGCTATGTTATGGTCACATGATTCAAATGTTAAGCAGACATTAAAAGAGAAGTGTTCAAAAAGTTGTTAATAACGTCGGAAAATGCAGGTGGGAGAAAGTAAATGAAAAACTCAGGATCCAAAACTGAGCATCTAATACGATGACAGCCGTGCGAAAATGTGGATAGCAGAAAAAGCTCAAAGAAATACACCACACTGTGAATAGTGGCTCTCTCTGGGTAGTGACTTTTATTTTCTTCATATTTCTCTGGTTTTCCAGTTTTTCACGTGAGCATGTTCCTGCTAAAAGGACAAGAGAGGTGGGAAGGAGGCACATGAAGGAACCACCATTCCCTTTGAGCTCAGAAAGGAGGAGAGGCCTGTGCAGGAGGGGTGCAGAGAGGGGTGGCCGAGCAGGCGGGGCGCAGAGAGGGGTGGCCGAGCAGGAGGGGCGCAGAGAGGGGTGGCCGAGCAGGAGGGGCGCAGAGAGGGGTGGCCGAGCAGGAGGGGCGCAGAGAGGGGTGGCCGAGCAGGAGGGGCGCAGAGAGGGGTGGCCGAGCAGGAGGGGCGCAGAGAGGGGTGGCCGAGCAGGAGAGGCGCAGAGGGGTGGCCGAGCAGGAGGGGCGCAGAGAGGGGTGGCCGAGCAGGAGGGGCGCAGAGAGGGGTGGCCGAGCAGGAGGGGCGCAGAGGGGTGGCCGAGCTTCTAAGAGTGCGTCAGGACGACCACACCATAGCGCTGGAGCCCAGGGGCGGAAATCCCGGACGTCCAGGAGGGCAAGAGGAGCAAGTCGCGCTCTCCGTTTGGAGGGAGGTGGAAGAATGGTGACTGACAGGTGGGGGAGGATGGCTCAGCTACACACCTGTCGGCTCCGTGTCTCGTGGCTCAAGGCTGAATTATGCTGTGACGACCCACAAGCCCTGCGCTCGGTGGCCCAGGTGACACGGGCCTGCGGGCCGTTGCAGGGTGTCTGCCTTCCCTCCGCAGGTGCCCTCCCGGGACGCTGGCGGCCGGGGCCACAGCAACAGCGGCTGGGAGGGGTGCCCTTGCGCTCGTGGCTCACTCCGCCGGCCACGCTGATGGTGGGGAGGCTCCTCCTGCAGCCGACTCCCCGTGGCGGCGTCACAGCCACAGCCTTCACGTCTCCAACTGCAGCTTCTTCTATTCCAAGCCCTTTCTCCACTGAAGAGGGCAGAAAACCACCAGGAACCGAGGACGTCTGTGATGGTGGAGTGCTGTCCGGCCGTGGAAAGGGAGGCAGGAAGCACCGGCACACTGACGCGGAGGAACCTGGGAATCGCCGTGCTCAGAGGAAGAAACCGAGTCACAAAAGTCACGGGGGACATGATTTCATTTATACAAAATGTCCAGGAGGCCAGGGCGGAGGCTCACCCTGTAATCCCAGCACTTCAGGAGGCCGAGGCGGGCAGATCACTTGAGATCAGGAGTTCACGGCCAGCCTGGCCAACATGGTGAAACCCCGTCTCCACTAAAAATACAAAAATTAGCTGGGCGTGGTGGCGCGTGCCTGTGATCCCAGCTACTCTGGAGGCTGAGGCAGGAGAATCGCTTGAACCTGGGAGGTGGAGGTTACGGTGAGCCGAGTTCACACCATTGCACTCCAGTCTGAGCAACAGAGTGAGACTCTGTCTCTAAATAAATAAATAAGTAAATAAATAAGTAAATAAGTCCAGGAGAGGTAAGTCGGTAGAGACAGAAAGTAGGTTGTGGCCGTGTAGGGCTGGGGAAAGTGTTGGGGGCATGGGAAGTGATGGCAGAGGGGCAGGTTCCCTTTGGTGGTACTGAGAGGCTCTGAGGTGGACGGTGAGGTGGTCACGGAACTCTGAACATTCAGAAAACCGTTGACTCTTACAGTTTTTTGTTTTTTTTAAGACAAGCACTTGTTCTGTCGCCAAGGTTGGCGTGCAGTGGTGCAATCCTAGCCTAACGCAGCCTTGAACTCCTAGTCTCAAGTAATCCTCTCACCTCAGCCTCCCTAGTAGCTGGGACTACAAGCACACACCATCATGCCTGGCTATTTAAAAAAAATTTTTTTTTTGCAGTGATGGAGTCTCACTATGTTTCCCAGGCTAGTCTTGAACTCGTGACCTCAAGTGGTCCTCCCACCTTGACCTCCCGAAGTGCTGGGATTACAGGCATGAGCCATTGCGCCCGGCCAACTCCTATACTTTAAAAGGCTGAGTTATGTGGTATATGAATTATGTTTCAATAAAGCTGTTTTTTAAAAGAAAGAAAAAAGAACTGAGGATACAGTTAGGCAAGGAGGTAAGCATAGTGAAGGATATAGCCAGAGAATTGCATTTCTTTAATAAGGGGTTACTTCCCTGACCCCAGACAGATGGGCTCCCTCCCAGGACATTCAACCCAACACAAAACAAGATGGTTGAAAATGCTGGCTCCACCATCTGGGCACAAAGCAGAACAATAAGCTTGTCCCTCTCAGATTTGGGAGTTTTTCCAGCAAACAATCACCTCCCATTGCAACTTAGGTACTAAAAGCACTAGCGTTGTCCCCAAAGTGGAAGACTTTAGAATATTCAAATCCAGAGTGTCTCCCTAATTCTTTGAAGCTATGTGATTAACCCTATTTGGATTTTCGGCCACAGCAAGCAGCAAAGGCTATCAGTGGGAAATTATTTATTGAGTGAGTGGATACAAGAATAAATGAATCATGCTTTCATGGCACAAGAGACACCCCCATAGCCCTCAAATAAAAGATTTATATACCATAGTGGGGAAAAAGTAATTTCTCACCCCTCTCCAGGTTCATGGCTGAGACTTGTAACAAAAGACAGATTAATAAGAGAAAACCCTACCCACTTATTTAATACCGGTTTTCTATGTCACATGGGAGCCTTCAGAAATGAAGACCCAGGAAACAGGGAAGCCTGTTTTTATGGACAGTTGTGCAGAAGTGTGATCGGAGGGCAAAGGGCGTGCTCTGATGTCATAGGCTGAAGGGCTCAGCAAGGCCTGTCTGGAGTCTTCTAGCTGCTTCTGTGTCTTCGGAGATAAGGACATTCCCCTCTGGGCATAGGGAGGCCCCTCTGGAATGAGGGTCTTATGACCTGCCTCCGAGGAGAAGGGGCTGGGGGAATTCTGGTTTCTGTGGTCTGCTTCTGCCGTTTTCTCGAGGGCCACCCTGCCATATTTTGAGGTAGCGTGTTCTGAATCCAGTCTATATAAACATTGCATATCAATTCCCAAAAGTGTGCTTCAGAAATTGCCCAAGAAAAACTAGTGAATGGGCTCATTTGTGAATATAAAAAAAACCACTGATTTAGCATCTACAGGCAGACCTCGGAGATATTGTGGGTTCAATTCCAGGGCACTGCAATAAAGCAAATATGACGATAAAGTGAGTCACACAGATTTTCTAGTTTTCCAGTGCATATAAAAGTTACATTTTACTAGGCTGTGGTCTATTAAGTGTGTAATAGCACTATGTCTAAAAAACAATGTACAGGCCTTCATTAAAAATGTTTTTGCTAAAAATGCTAATGATCACCTGAGCTTTCAGCAAGTTGTAATCTTCCTGCGGGTGGAGGGTCTTGCCGCAGTGTTAATGGCTGCTGATTGATCAGGGCCGTGGTTGCTTGAAGCTTGGGGCAACTGTGTTAATTTCTTAAAATAAGACAAATAAAATTGACTGCATCAGTTGACTCTTCCTTCATGAAAGATTTCTTTGCAGAACGCAATGCTGTTTGGTAGCATTTTACCCGCAGTAGAACATTTTTCAAAATTAAGAGTCAATCCTTTCAACCCCTGCCACTGCCTTATCAAATAAGTTGATGTGATATTCTGAATCCTTTGTTCTGATTTTCACAATGCTCACAGCATCTTCACCAGGAGTAGATTCCATCTCCAGAAACCACTTTCTTTGCTCGTCCCTAGGAAGCAACTCCTCACCTGTTAAAGTTTTATCATGAGATTGTGGCAATTTGGTCACATCTTCAGGCAGCTCTGCTAATGCTGGTTCCCTTGCTGTTCCCACCACATCTGCAGTTCCTTCCTCTACTGAAGTCCTGAATCCCTGAAAGTCATGCATGAGGGTTGGACTCAGCCTCTTCCAAACTCCTGTGAATGTTGCTATTTTGACCTCCCTCCATGAATCGCAAGTGTTCTCAATGGCATCTAGAACGGTGAATTTTTTCCAGGAGGTTTTCAATTTACTTTACCCAGATCAGTCAGAGGAATCACTATCTATGGCAGCTGTCATCTTACAAAGTGTGTTTCTAAAATATAAGTCTTGGCTGGGTGCAGTGGCTCATGTCTGTAATCCCAGCACTTTGGGAGGCCGACGCAGGTGGATCACAAGGTCAGGAGTTCAAGACCAGCCTGGCCAAGATGGTGAAACCCTGTCTCTACTAAAAATACAAAAATTAGCCGGGCATGGTGGCATGTGCCTGTAATCCCAGCTATGCGGGAGGCTGAGGCAAGGAATTGCTTGAACCTGGGAGGCGGAGGTTGTAGTGAGCCGAGATCGCACCACTGCACTCCAGCTTGGGCGACAGAGCAAGACTCTACCTCAAAATATTTGTATATATGTCTTGAAATGGAAATTATTTTTTGATCCCTGGGCTGCAGAATGGACGAGGTGTCAGCAGGCATGGAAACAACACCCACCTCCTTGTACAGCTGCATCACAGCTCTTGGGTGACTGGTGCACTGCTGATGAGCAGCCATATTTTGAAAGGAATCTTTTTTGAGCAGTAGGTCTCAATAGTGGGCTTAAAATATTCAGTAAACCATGCTGTAAACAGATGTGCTGTCATCCAGCTTTGTTCCAGTGACAGAGCACAGGCAGCCATAGATTTAGCATGATTCTTAAGGGCCCTCGGATGAACAAGCATTGGCTTTGACTTAAAGTCCTCAGCTGCATCAGCTCCTCACAAGAGAGCCAGCCTGTGCTTTGAAGCTTTGAAGTCAGGCGCTGTCTTCTCTCTAGCTATGGAAGTCCTAGATGGCATCTTCTTCAATGTAAGGCTGTTTCATCTACATTGAAAATCTGTTGTTAGAGCAGCCACCTTCGTCACTGATCTCAGCCAGATCTTCTGGAGAGCTTGCTGCAGCTTCTCCATCAGCACTTGCTGCTGCACCTTACACTGTTATGTTATGGAGATGACTCCTTTCCTTCAACCTCATGAACCAACCTCTGCGAGCTTCAGAGTTTTCTTCTGCAGCTTCCTCACTTCTCTCAGCCTTCATGGAATTGAAGAGTGAGGGCCTTGCTCTGGATTAGGCTCTGGCTTAAGGGAATATTGTGGCTGGCTTGGTCTATCCAGACCACTCAGACTTTCTCAATATGAGCAGTAAGGCTGTTTCACTTTCTCGTTTTCTGGAGTAGCACTTTTAATTTTCTCCAAGAACTTTTCCTTTACATTCACAACTTGGCTAACTGTTTTACACGAGAGGCCTCATTTTTGGCCTATTCTTGGCTTTCGGCATGGCTTCCTCACTAAGTTTAATCATTTCTAGCTTCTGATTTAAAGTGAGAGAGGTGCGGCTCTTTCTTTCACATGAACACTTAGAGGCCACTGTAGGGTTGCTAATTAGCCTAATTTCAATATTGTTGTGTCTCAGGGAATAGGGAGGCTGGAGGAGAGGGAGCGAGATGGGAGAATGGCTGGTCAGTTACGCAGTCAGAACACACACAGCATTGATCAGTTATGCTCACTGTCTTCTATGGGCACGGTTCATGGTGCCCCAAAACAATGACAGTAACACCAAAGATCACGGATCACAGCTCAGGGATCCAACACTGTGGAAATTACCAAAAGGTAGCACAGAGACAGGCGATGAGCACGTGCTGCTGGGAAAATGGTGCCGATGGACTCCTCCATAGGGTTGCCACAAGGCTTCAGGGTGAGACGCAACCCCCGCGACGTGGAACAAAGCTGGAACGTGCTCCTAGGAAGGTCGTGCTCCTCAGACTCTTTATTTAGGTTTGATCAAGCAGTGAATTCAATTTGTGCTGCAGAAACAGTTGCCAGACCCTACCTTCTTGGAATCTAGAATCCCAATTGGGAAATTCCTGCCAAGTAGAGAACCAGTGGCTCAGTTGTTGCATGGTGCTGCTGTCATTACCCAAACAGCAGTCGATCTCCAGAGCAGGAGCCCCCGCTCCCACAGCAGCGAGGATGACGCCCACTGCGCCGCAGAGCTGGCTTGCGCCCGCCACCCCGTAGTACCCTGTGAGCTCTCCGAGAATCAGCCTTCGGGCACTGGAGGGTCCGGGAATGCAAGGCTCATTCTGCCCACCCCCACAGGCAGCAGCCAGGACCTGGTCTCTCCGCCATGTGGCCTCAGCATTTCCAGGCTCTCTGAGTGGTTTGTGATTCACAGAGCGTAGATCTCTCAGTTGCTACCTCATCTGTTTTTCAAACCCATTGTGCTTTTCCGCAGCCTCCCAGGTGTCAAAAGTTATTATTCTATTTTTTGCCAGTTCCATAAAACAGAACAGCTCTGCGTCTCAGAGTTGCTGCTGCACTCTGGGTGTCCCCCAGATCACAGCAGGAGCTGGCAGACGCAGCCTGTGATTGCTAATCATGAAAATGGAGAGGAAAAAAAGTTCTGAGCTCATCCAACGGAAGCGTTCACTCTGCTTCCTCCAGACTTCAAGAAGGCTTTAGTCAGGAAAGAAGAGCGGAGGAGAGAGGGAGGGAGGCTGTCGGCGAGTGGGTCACCATTCGGGAGCTCCAGGCCGCTTGCAGCAACGTCCAGGCTGTTTTGTATTGAGCGCTCACAGAAAGTCCAGGCTGAGTACCTCCTGTGCCACGCCGCCCCACTCACATTGAGTAACATGAGCCCCATTCACAGCCTTAGGGTGAGGAAATTGGAATTCAGAAGAGTTCGGTGACTTGTTCTAGGCCGCAGCTCTCAGGCAGCCACTTTGCACCTCGGTCTGTCTGCATCTCCGGCCTCTGTTCTTTACCTCTTCTGCCCCCGAAACACTCACTCGTGGGTCCTGTCCTGTGGCATGTCCACAGCTGAGAAACACGGGAGCCACTGCCCCCAACAATGTGGGTATTGTTAGATGTGTGTTTCCCCAGTGACTGTCGCGGTGACACGTGTTTTCATGTCCTGTGGGGCCACTTTCACCTCTGCTTCTGTAAGTTACTGCTCCCATCTTTGCCCCATTCCCACTGAGTTTTGTCTTTTTCTTGGACTGTGTAGGAGCTCCTTGTCATTGAGAATATGAACGTGTCTGCCACACAAGTTGCTAATTAAACAGCCACTGAATTACATCTCTGTACGGCGTGTACACAAGTCAGAGCCCACTTTTATAAGTTGTGTTTCTCGTCTGCCCCCCACAGTCATCCTGATATGAAACCTTCAGTGGCTCCCTCTTTCCCACAGAATCAAGTCAAAACTGAAGGGCAGCCTTGGGGTGTGTGGTCCTTCTCCATGTGGGTCCAGCTCAGGGATGCGTTGAAAGCAGCTTCCTTATCAGGTTAATTTTGGCGTTATTCCCACTCCACTTTCTTTCCCATGCCCTTGTCACGGCTCCGCATCCCACCCGTTCTTTGAGACGCAGAGCGGGCCTCTGCCTCCTCATTCGTTACCGACGTGCTGAGCCTTCCTTTCCCACTCTTCCCCAGTGGCGTCCATTGCTCACCCTACGCACAGCACCGAATGCCAGGAGAATGATCAAGACCTTGTGCTTTCACGCCCCTTCCAGTCTGCAGTTTTCCGAGTGTCTGTACGGCGCTGCTTTCCCTCCTCTAGCCGTCCACTGCAGTGCACCTGCAGGAGTGCTGGCTGATTTCTGGACAGTTTGGGTCCTGGGGACCAGACGTAGCAGTCATGGGCTGAGCCTTCTTCATTCAAGCAGCACCTGGGGCCGCGGCTCCCGTGCTGTGTGATGACCCACTCAGCCCACTCTCTTTGCCGCCGTGCCTGTCCCACGCTCCGTGGTGACTCTGCAGCATGGCCTGCCTACCACCCCTTGGCTCTTCCCACTCGGTTTCCTGCCCCACAGGCTCTCGGTCCTGTCCCTGCTCCGCTGACCAGCGCTCTCTCCCCTTCTCTGTCTTCAGGTGCCTCCCTCTTTCCTGGCCAAGGGTGGATGTGTGGAGGCAGAGTTGTGGACACCGCCTGTGCTTCCTGCCTGTTGGGGCAGCTTGGTCCCCATGGGGGCTGAAAAGAGCAACCTGGCCGTGGCTTGGCTGAGCTTTCAGTTGCTTTTTCCAGAAAGGCAGCAGGGGGCCTATCCACATCCCAGGCCAGGCTGAAAACCTGGGGTGAGGGGTGGGTGATGCTGCCTTGGAAATAGACATGGATTTCTTGAACTTACAGGAAGCATACACTATTGGGGTGTCAAAGAGTTTTTTGCTTTAATAGAAAATTCAGCACATTCTTTAAAATCAAATTCTCGGTTGCCTCTCTTGACCCACTTCGGTATTATTTTAATAGTGGATGATGGCAGCAAAGTCTGATTTTATGAAAAGGGAAGATGTTGGCCATTACAGTATTACCCACTTTTCTCTTTCAGGTGTGTCAATTAAAATCAATTAAAAAATGAATTATACGTATATGGATATATTCAAAATGAACAGTTTGGAACTATCTAGAATAAAAAGTAAAAATTCCTTTTGTGTCCCTTCACCAAATCTCACTCCCACTCGGAGGTAACAGACATTTCCTGTTTGCTGTGTGCCCTGTTTTCTGTGCGTGTTAAAATGTCAGACAGGACTGCATGATATGTGCTTAATGAAGAAAATCTAGCAGCCAGGGCCCTGAAATGGTCTAACCATCTTTGCATTATTGGTTAGTAATGAACCGGACCATCTAAGATGTCCCAGCCACCTTGTGGGCAGGGCCCCGCCCCTTCATCCTCTCAGAGGGGCTGAGGCAACGGGAAGACCCACAGCTGTGAGACACGAGACCGCATCACTCCGTGTGACTGGCAGTCTCATTGCACTCCCAAATTCCAATGAATAAAACCTAAAAGGAGATGGAAACGAATGACTGAATTGAACTATGTGAAGCTCAGCCTTATTTGGTGTATTAACAGAAAAAGTGACGTGATATTGAGACTTCAGATTAGTGACTTGAGGTGAGTTAAAATCAGTTCAGCTCAGTTTGGGTCTCACACACATGTGAGCTCAGATGTATGCATGTGACCCCACCCAATGGCTCTGAAGATGCGGTTCGCTCCTCAAACTTTCCAGACTTTTCTCTCCTCAGAAGTTTGCTGGGAGGAAGGAGAAGCGGGAGGAACAGAACCAGATTGACGTTCTCGCGTCTCTTCTTACTTGGGCGTATTTATAGCATCCCCGCTAAGGACGCCCTCGTTTTAGAGGAACATGTTTTACATTTTTTTTCCAGCCTCCAGGCTGCCTGGCAGCCTCAGGCGGAGAAGCAGATTGACTCGGTGTCAGGGTCACACTCTCAGGCCCCTTGGCGGCACAGACAGGGTGAGGGTGCCTGCTGGGGCCCCTCTCTCTCCTCTCCCTCCCGAGCGGCGTCTGTGCTGTGAATTTTCACGGAGACACAGGCTGATCCTTCGTGCGTCCTTGGCTGGCAGTTGTTGGTGACTTACAGTCATTCATGTGCTGGCAACGGATGGCCCTGCTGTCTTGTGTTGGGACAGCTGTGCGCATCGGCGTCATTGATATGATTTGAATTTGGTGCTATCTGGTGTGGCTTTGTAACTAAAGTCATAAATAGTGGAGAAACGATGTGTCTGGTTCTAAATTAACAGTGGGACTGGGTGCAGTGGCTCACGCCTGTAATCCCAGCACTGTGGGAGGCCAAGGCAGGCGAATTGCTTGAGCTCAGGAGTTCAAGACCAGCCTGGCAACATGGTGAAACCCCTTCTCTACAAAAAGTACAAAAATCAGCCAGGTGTGGTGGCATGTGCCTGTGGTCTCAGCTACTCGGGAGGCTGAGGTGGGAGGATCACTTGAGCCCAGGAAGAGGAGGTTGCAGTGATTAAGCCTTTGCACTCCAGCCTGGGCAACAGAGCCAGACTCTGTCTCAAAAACAAACCAACAAACAAATGGCGGGAGGAACACAAATCGTAGTAAGTATGATATGCAGGTTTCCGAGCCCAGATGTGCAGCCCTGGATTTTCAAGTCTTCCCTCAAGTCAGGACTTTAAGGAAAGAACTCTGGGTTTTGTGTTTCTGCACAATGAAGTTCTAATATCTGACTCCCAAACTTCTTCCCCGTGAGACTGCCTTAATGATGCTTATGTAGACTGGACTGGAATCCCCACTAAGAGAATAAATTACCCGTTAACCAAGACGGTCTCCAGGTGTGTGTGTGCCTTGGCTTGGAAGTTCAATTTCACAGTAGTTAGAATAGCTGCTTGACCCCACAGGCCTGAGAGGGGAGGTAGGATTCAAGGAAGCTGGAGAGTGAGCCCAGCAGGGGCATGTCCTAAAAACCCCGAGAAGGTATTGGAGTGCCCGGCTGGGGTGTGGGTGTCAGCTGGGGGTGGAGGCGGGCGTGCCCTCCCGAGGGTGTTTTGCTGGGGGTTCCTCTGCTGAGTGGGCCCGTCCTTGGTGATTGTCCCTGGTGCACGGCTGGCTTGTTAAGCAGGGGCGAAGCGTGCACAAGGTCACCTTTCTCCAGCATCCTCATCTTCATGGTCTCGCTGGGAGAGTGGCCGGGGGTGCCTGAATCAAGGGAACTAGAACAGGTGCTGAAGCTGTTCCCACTCGCAGGAGGAAGAGCAGCATCTGGCCCCAGACAGGGGGAGCTGGGGAGTCCTCAGGGCCCTTCGGGGCCTCCCTAGACAGGGGAAGCCGGGGAGTCCTCGGGGCCCTTCGGGGCCTCCCCAGAACTGTGCTCGTTGGTGGCATCCACAGGCTGCTCCTCTGGGAGCTTGTTGCTTTTCGGGTCCTGAGCCCTCCCGCCTGCCACCGTGGCGTCAGGGAAACTGGTGCCTCCCAAGCACCCCCAGCTCTTCTGCATGAGAAGGTTGGAGACTGTGCTGCAGCCGGGGTTCTTATGATCACCTTCCTCCCTCGCCAGCATCTGCCCTGGAGCTGAACGAGGACCACCAGGCTCCTCAGGGCCTGTCTCCGTGGGGCACCAGGAGGCGCAAATGCCAGTTTGCATCATTGCCCTGTTTTCAGCTGTCCAGGATGCCCATGTCTGCAGAACGCAGTGTGCACAGTCCCACAGGGCACCCCGTGGCATCACCCGGCCTCTCTCTTTGACTTCTCTCCCGCTGAACAGCGAGTGCTTCCCCAAAGCCATGGGCAGCCCCACTCCCGACTCCCTCAGTGGTCAGACGGTCACCCGCCTCTTAGCCGACCTTGGGAAGAGGGTCCCTCTCAGATGGGCACCCGCCTCTTAGCTGACCTTGGGAAAAGGGTCCCTCTCAGACGGGCACCCGCCTCTTAGCTGACCTTGGGAAGAGGGTCCCTCTCGGAGGAGGGGTGCCCACATTCTGCTGGGCGGTTGACTCTGGTGGAGGTGGCCCGTAGTTTGGGCGGGCACATGGGCATGCTCTGTGCAACCTGCAGCATTTACTAAGATGCTCTTGAAAGACCGTTTTCCCTTTTATCTGCTGGGTTGACTTTCCCATTTATCAAATTAACTTTCTAAACCCTTAAATTTCAGAGATTTGAGAGGATAAGGAATTGTTTAGTAGATGAAACTCATTTTCATATTTCCAGAGGCATGTCCAAAAACTAAATGGGGTTGAGCATTTCTCAGGGAAAAGTTGACTCGGGGTGCCAGTTACACGCAGTGTTTTCCAGAGGTCCTGGGGTCCAAGGCCTTCCCATGGCTGAATCTCCCGGTTTACTCCGCTTTTTGATGAAGGAGCAAGTTTTGAATGTGGAGTCCTGTAGAGTTCGCTGTGCCTCTTGGGTTGGCCTGGCTTAGCTGTGGCTGATGACCAGCTGTGAGGGGACACAGTGGGGCCGCACGGGGGCTGGGCCAGTGCTGCACCCGCCCAGCGCCAGGGCTGACCTCATTTGCTTATAGCCTGCTTTTGCTTTTGGTCTCCTAAGCGCGAGATCTTGATGTCTACCTAGAAATGTCACTGACGTAGGAGAAAGGGATTTTTTTTTTGCTTTTACCATGAAGGGTTGTCATGGGCCTGTGTGAAAGACATTAAGTAAATTAGATATCAGCCCCAAGGAATGTTAATATCTGAGATTTATACTGGAGTAGTTTTCGCTTCCCAATTTATTTTCTTTTAAATACTTAAAACATTTGGTTTTTAAGCTATTTATAGCCAACCTTTTTTTAAAAATTAATGTTTAAAATGTTTTTTTCCCCCCAATCTATCATGGTTGACTGTTAGACAGTTGGATGGCTGTGTGGTTTTCAAAGCTGAGGTCAAGTTTGAATGAGCTCATTTCAGATCACTCTAGATTTTCTGAGGCTGACAGTGTCCTTGGGACACCATGTTTGGGGAATGTGTTTTTGCAGTTTACGAAGCACCCGCTGCTCAGAGAGCCGGGAAACCTTTCCTTCTCTTTTCTTGGAGTCTAGTTGCCATGGAGATTGTCACTAAATTATGGACGAGGGAGAGGCGAGCCGGCACTTGGAGGTCTCTGATACGCAGGCTTCTCAATCAGGGTGCACAGACACAGCAGAGGCCGTGCAGAGGCTGCAGCTTGCCCTCCCGGCTGTCCTGGGCGTGGATGTAGCCTCCCGAAACAGCTCGTCAGAGGGGTTTATTCAGAGAACGGAAGTGTGCTTATGGCAGGAAGAGCTTCAAGGGTTCTCACATATGTTTACAGCTGCTCTTTCTCCTTAGCAGGACTCTGAGTGGCTGCAGTGTTTAGAGAAATCTGCCAAATCCTGATTTAATTTTGGTTCATTTGCTAACAGGATTGGAGGAGATAGGAAATTGATCTTGGGGACCGTGAAGCTGCTGAGGTTCAGCCACGACCAGGAGTTTGGAGGGATAATGTCTGTGCGTGGCCATACCATTTTGAAAAGCACAAAACCTTTTATCATTAAAGCAGAAATATCGAACCAAACGTGGATTCTAAAGATTATGCATACAACAAACACATGTCTTTCGGTGCGTGGGTAAAACCCATAACTAATTTCAGGCCTAATCTCAGTGGCTCAGCAGTGCAGTGTGGGCAAATGCTTAACCACCAGCATTTGCAGCATTTGGGACCTGATTTGCAGCCGGGTTCTCTAGTGTAAGGCCCCCGCCCCGCCGCCACTGCTGCCTCCCAGTTACTGACGCAGTGTCACTGAAGGTGGAGTTGGGAGGAAATGTGGACGGCCAGCTCTCGGGCCCTTGCATGCAACGGCCTTGTTATTTTAGAGGCGCCGTCTAATCATTCTTGGGACGTTGGTCTGCTCTGTCTTTTGAGGCAGTTTCCATAGAGGTGGGGTCTGTGTTAAGAGTGCATTGAAGGGTGAGTGATTTCCCTCTAACTGATGGGTGATGTTCATGGTCTGAGTCTGTGTGCAAAGCTTAGCCTGGGGCTGCTTTGGAACCTGCTCTCTCTATTCCAGGCCTGGGTGCTTTGAGATATTCTTGAGCTGGAATAACACCCAGCACCTGCTCTTGTGACTGAAATGGCGTAAAGTAATAATAGTGCACTGCATGGGGGTTAATGCCTTTCTGAGTGTTTTATATGTTATCGTGTTAGATTTCTGCACCGTCACTGACAATAACAGGGCATGTATTTTTGTTCTCATTTAACAGATGACAAACTTGGTCCCTTAGTGTTAAATGTGGGTGACACACAGGCAGAATCTGATCTGGAACCACACTGATCGGGCGTCTTCCCATCCTTCCTCCAATCAGCTCACCCTTCGGCTTCTCAAAGGCCCACGGAATTTATGGTGGTTCATCGTTCTTTGCCTTAAGATGCAGGTTCTAGATTTGCTACTGGGACCCACGGTGACTTTGATTTGTCTCTTGTGAACTCTCTATGATGCTGGCAAAAGAGAGGAAATGGTCACGTATTGGTCAGATGAATGTTGCAGGGAAGAATAATTGCATTACATGAAATGCCTGCAGGAACCGTGGTGGGAATGGAACCGTGGTGGGGCAGGAACCGTGGCGAGGCCGGAACCGTGGCGGGGCCGGAACCGTGGCGGGGCCGGAAGCATGATTGGAGTCAGGTGGGCCACATTTCCTGGCTGTCCCATGTCTTCTCTTTGCCCTGACAGTGGTCTCAGCCGACAGAACGGGCAACAGACACGCACCCAGCCTGAGAGGGGCCCTGGGGCCGGGGCGCCCGCCAATTGTCAGAGTCTTCTTGGTTGCTTTTCAATTCAGAAATCAGAGAAATGATTTGTAGAGAGTTTTCCTTTTCTTTATTCATTTAGCTTGAAATCAATTTTGTTAGTAAGGTTTTTTTTTTGTTTGTTTGTTTTTGTTTTTTTGAGACGGAGTCTCGCTCTGTCCCCCAGGCTGGAGTGCAGTGGCGCAATCTCAGCTCGCCACAACTTCTGACTCCCGGGTTCAAGCGATTCTCCTGCCTCAGCCTCCCTAGTAGCTGGGACTACAGGCACCTGCCACCACACCCAGCTAATTTTTGTATTTTTAGTAGAGACAGGGTTTCACCATGTTGGCCAGGTTGGTCTCGATCTCCTGACCTTGTGATCCACCCGCGTCGGCCTCCCAAAGTGCTGGGATTACAGGTGTGAGCCACTGCGCCCAGCCATTAGTAAGGTTTTAAACTTGTCCTCAGAATTAGAAGAAATCCCAGAGACTGGAGACCAGCAGTGCTGTGTGTGGGTGAGACCCTGTTGAAGATCCCTTGGTAAGTCCAGTGGGCGTGGTCCATAGGAGGGGGAGGCGGGAGGGGAGCTGGCTCAGGAGAGGCTGGCTTTGCCTCCAAAGAAGAGCCCCACCCTCTTGTGCTGGCCTCTCGTGCTGGCCTTTTCCTATTGTCCTTCAGAGAGGAGGAAGCTTTGCTCAGCTTCTCACCAATTAAAAGAGCACTGTGAGGTTGGACAGGAGTGCAATTTATGAAAACAAAACAAAAAAAACCTTTGACATGGTGAAACCCCGTCTCCACTAAAAATATGGTGAAACCCTGTCTCCACTAAAAATATAAAAATACAGAATTAGTCGGGCATGGTGGTGCACGCACGTAATCCCAGCTACTTGGGAGGTTGAGGCAGGAGAATCGCTTGAACCTTGGAGGCAGAGTTTGCAGTGAGCTGAGATCTCACCACCGCACTCCAGCCTGGGTGACAGAGCAAGACCTCATCTAAAAAAAAAAAAAATCCATGTGATCTATAAAATCTCACGGAAACACACACCTAAGGTCACGCATTTCACTGTAACATGAGCGGGAAGATGTACTGAGCCTGTTCTCCACCTCGGTGAATGCTCCGACCCCCTCTTGCCTCACCTCCCACTGTATACATTTGTTCCTTTTTAATTTTTTGAAGACTGGTCAAGTGCAGTAGAGAGAAGGCGGAAAGGGTACAACAAGGAGCTAGATTGGGAACTGACTGAGCAGCCGGTCGGGGTGACGCAACGCTACCTTCCTACCCCCACCCTTTGCTCCTGTTGTCGCTGAGTCGTGCTCCGTCGAGGGACACACCACGTCTTGCTTGTACCCACACAGGTTGTTCCCAGCATTTGGCTGCTGTGAGCATCCTCGCGTGAACCTTTTCAGGAGCTGAGCTCTTAGAGGAGAAGGCAGCGCTGTGTTGAGCACCCACCGGGAGAAGTTCCGTCAAATCCAGGGTACTTGAGATTCTGGAAAGATGCAGAAATGTAAAAAATAAAAACAAGCAACAAGCGGTTTATCCCACAAGTCACTAGGAAAATGTATTGTTGTCTCTCTAACAGTCAAATCCTATTGGTCGGCCTTAGTTTTTCTGCAAAACAGAATAAATTTTATGTTTTTTTCCCCAGTTGTTGAAATAAAATGCTATAACCATATTTGCTTATAAACTATGTCCAAATGAGATTCTTTTATTTCTACTTGACGATTTTCCACCATGTCAGGCCCTGTTATGATGGCAGCCCGTTGTGATGCACTAGGACAGATCCCAGCTCCCAATTCTTTTATGAGGCACTAGGACAAATCCCAGCTCCCAATTCTTTTATGAGGCACTAGGACAAATTCCAGCTCCCAATTCTTTTATGATGCACTAGGACAAATCCCAGCTCCTGTTATGGCAACAGCCCGTTATGATGCAATAGGACAAATCCCAGCTCCCAATTCTTTTATGATGCACTAGGACAAATCCCAGCTCCTGTTATGGCGACAGCCCATTGTGATGCAATAGGACAGATCCCAGCTCCCAATTCTTTTATGATGGCACTAGAACAAATCCCAGCTCCCAATTCTTTGCATTTTTTTTTTTTTTTTTTTGGCCAGGTTTTCTCTCTCACTTGCTGGGGCACGAACAGATGCTCTTTGGTGTTTTTAATGATTGAGGAGCATCTTGCTGTTGTCGTTCTCATTTGTTTTCAAGGAACAGAAACGCTCTCGAGCGAGTGCTCGGTGGAGCTGGGCAAGCTGCTGACCACAGGGGAAGATGACTCAACAATTGGGATTTTGCTTCTTCTTTCTTTAAAAAGATGCAAAAGAACTAGACCCACACTTTACACATTTTTTTGGTGTGTTCATTGTGGACTAGTGTTGTTGTTGTTGTTGTTGAGACAGGGGAGATGGTCTCCCTCTGTTGCCCAGGCTGGAGTGCAGTGGTGCTATCTTGGCTCACTGCAACCTCCCCCTCCTGGGGTTCAAACGATTCTGCTCCCTCAGCTTCCTGAGTAGCTGGGATTACAAGTGCCTGCCACCACCACTGGCTCATTTTTGTATTTTAGTAGAGACAGGATTTCACCATGTTGGCCAGGCTGGTCTCAAACTCCTGACCTCAAATGATCCACCTGCCTTGGCCTCCCTAAGTGCTGGGGTTACAGGTGTGAGCCACTGTGCACAGCCAAAAACAGTGTTTTCCTTTCCTCAGTCTGAAAGCCTGACACTGTTGATCCACCAGGAGTGTGCATGGGTGTGCATAGTGTTGATCCACCAGGAGTGTGTGTGGGTGTGCATAGTGTTGATCCACCCGGAGTGTGTGTGGGTGTGCATAGTGTTGATCCACCGGGAGTGTGCATGGGTGTGCATAGTGTTGATCCACCCGGAGTGTGTGTGGGTGTGCCTACTGTTGATCCACCAGGAGTGTGCCTGGGTGTGCACACTGTTGATTGACCAGGAGTGTGTGTGGGTGTGCATACTCTTGATCGATTGGGAGTGTGTGGGTGTGCACATTGTTGATCGGGAGTGTGCGTGGGTGTGCACGCTGTTGCTCCACCGGGAGTGTGTGTGGGTGGGGGGTGTGCATGCCTGTATGCACAATAGAGTCTCGATCTTTGTGGGACAAGCATAGGGGACTGGGCATCAGTCAGGAAGCTTGGGCTTGTCTTGCCCTGCCACCACCCTGCGCACCCCTCTCTATTCAAGCCACAGCTCTGTGCACGTTGGATTTCTTACGTGCAAAACAAGGGGGTCAGCCATGCCGGTGGTAACACCTGGAAACACCTGGAAGCTTTGAAAAATAGTGATGCCCAGACATAAACTGGCGCCAGTGAATCAGAATGTCAGCTGAGGGCGGCGAGGGGCGGGGTGGGGGCGGGACCCAGGCTTTGCCGTCCTTTCTTTTTCTCTGAAGCTTCCCGAGGTGACTGTAATGTGCTATCAGAGTTGAGGATCTCTGGGCAAGACGATCCTGATGAAACCCTCCCACCCTGAAACGCCAGCTGTGCTTTGTGTAACAAAGCCAAAGGTGCGGTGAGGGAATTCAGTTTCCTCATTATTACTTCTATGGTTTGTTAGCAAAAACATAATTAGCATGAAAGATATTTCTCTGTGGACATGCAAATCAATGCAAATGACTAATTTGCCATTTAAGAATTTGCAAATTGCAATGCAAAATTGTCTTAGGTAAATAACCCTAGTCTAATTGAGTGACAATATTCTGTGTTTTGTTATTAAGGCTATTAGCTGAAGATGTAGGAAGACTGTAAAAATGCCACAATTTTTGCTTATACATGCAGTGTGAGTTATAATTTACGGGAGATTTTATGCACATTGTTTCACTTGAGCCCCACAATTCCAGTTGCATCCTAGACTAGCTACTGTAAAGTAGCACAGGGTAAATGGGTGGCGGTGAAAGCAAGAATTTGAACAGCTTGCCACAGTGTAACAAACGCAACAGCAACAGAAACATCAACAGGGCCTTCCCCGGGGGCTCCCAGGTCTTTGGCAGCAGAATTACCCAAGTTTTGGCCAGTGACTTAAACACACGCCATGTAAAAGGATGAGATGGGAACAGAACAAAGAGCCCAGAAATAAACCTGACCATATATGGTCAACTAGGTGTGAAGCAGACTCTGGGGTAAGAGCCGTCTCTTTAAATGGTTTCGGGGAAACTGGACATCCACACTCAAAAGAATGAAATGGGACCTTACCTTACACCGTTCTCAAAAATCTGCCCAAAATTGGTTAAAGACCCAAACACAAGATCTGAAACTGTAAAACTCTGAAAACATACAGGAAGAGCTCCTTGACATTGGTCTCGGCAAGAAGTTTTGGACAAGACCCAAAAACACAGGCAACAAAAGCAAAATAAATGAGTGGGACTATATCAAACTGAAAAGCTGCCGTGCGGTAAAGGAAACCATCAAAATGAAAAGGCAGCCTACAGGGCGGGAGAAAATGTTGAAAAACCATAGATCTATAAGGTGTTAATATCTAAAATATATAAGGAACTCACTCAACTCAATAGCAAAACAAACAAACAAACAACACACAAAAAAAACCCAAAAGCCAAAAAACCCCCAAACCCTCCAATTTTAAAAAGGGCAAAGAACCTGAATAGAACATTTTTCCAAAGAGGACATACAGATGGCTGACAGGTATGGGAAAGGTGCTGAGCATCACTAATCATTGGAAACGCACATCAGAGCCCCAGTGACTTACCCTCTCACACCTGTGAGAATGGCTTTTATCAAAAAGACAGAAGATAACAAGTGTTGGCAAGTGTGTAGAGAAAAGGGACACTTGGATGCTTTGTTTGAGACAGTCTCGCTCTGTCCTACAGTGGCACGATCTCAGCTCACTGCAACCTCTGCCTCCTGGGTTCAAGTGATTCTCCTGCCTCAGCCTCCCGAGTAGCTGGGATTACAGACATGTGCCACCATGCCTAGCTAATTTTTATATTTTTAGTAGAGATGGGGTTTCACCGTGTTGGCCAGGCTGGTCTTGAGCTCCTGACCTCAAGTGATCCACCCGCCTCAGCCTCCCAAAATTCTGGGATTACAGGCGTGAGCCACTGCACCTGGCCAACTTGCACACTGTTTATGGAAACAGTGTGTAGGTTCCTCAAGAAATTAAAAACAGTGCTACCATCAACGCCTCTTTTGGTTATAGATCCAGAAGAAATTAAATGGGCAGAAGAGGTGTCTGCACCCTGATGCTCATTGCAGCACTATTCACCAGGGCATGGAGACAGTACAGGTGTTTCTGATGGATGAATGGATAGAGCAATTGTGGTATACATACACAATGGATACTATTCAGCCTTAAAAAAGGAGATCCTGTCATTTTCAAAACATGGATGAACCTGGAGGACATGATGTTGTAAATAGTGTGAAGTAAGTGAAATAAGCCAGGCACAGAAAGGCAGATACTGCATGATCTCACACATATGTAGAATCTTAAAAAAAAAAGTTGACTACATAGAAACAGAGAGTGGAAAGCTGGTTATGGTTTGGGGGGTGGGAGTGGCGAGGAATGAGAAGATGTGGATGAGAGGGTAGGAAGCTGCAGTTTTGTGGGAGGAGTGAGCCCAGGGGCCTAATGCACAGCGTGAGGACTGTATGTAGTAACAACATTGGATTGTTTACTGGTAATTTGCCCAGAGGGTGCCTCTAGGAGAGGGTGGAGGCAGAGGTGTTAACTCTTGACCACAGTGGCCACCTCAGTATGCATGTATGTATCCAACATCATGTTGCACGCCTCAAATGTACATCCAAAAATTTTACAAAATGATGAGTTGGATTTTGTTATCTGCTTTAAGGATGTCCATTTTATTACTGCATGGATGCATCATGCAACAGGAAGTGGGGTGTGTGAGGCGTGAGGCAGGGATCTGGGTTCAAGGCCTGAAAGTATGTAAAGCTGCTCAGCACGTGTGACTGCGGGTCCCCAGGCAAAGTAGCTTAGCCCACATGACTGCACCCATAACTGCTGGCTTTCTGGGTTCTAGGCTTACGTGATCAGAGACCAGGTTTGTTTTTGCCCAGCCCAAGTCCAGCACACATGTGGCAGGTAGCTGGCTTTTCCCAAGCATCCACTGGAGGCCCCTGGATCAATGCATTCAGGGCAGTGTCTTGGGAAGGATATAAACTGTGCAGTGGTTAAACAGCTGGTACTTGGACTGTGAGAGCTGAGCCTTTCAGTGCTTCCAAGTACTGACTCTTTCTAAGCCTCAGTTTGCTTGTCTCTAAAGTAAGCATAGCAATAATGCCTTCTTTGTAGTAAGATTTAATGTGATACTGCAAATAAAATATTTAGTACAGTATCTACTAAAGATTAGATGGCATAGATTAGATGCTCAGGAATGTTAGTGAAAACAGTTATCATAATGAAAAAATGCCCTCATGAGCTTCTGTCTACTGCAGGGATAAAGTGGTAAATAAATGATGTGTACAGGAGATACAGTAAGGGAGTAAGGGGTGTGGTATGAATGAAGAACCAAGAAAGCATTTTAAGAATTCAAAGGGGTCACGGGGTGGGAAAGAAGAGACATCCAGTGGGAGAATCAAGACAGTCTCTGGGGGAGTAATCATGATGGATCTTGATAGGACTGGATTTGAAGGCTGGAGAGCCACCAGAGTGTCACTTCGCACAAACTCTGCAAGATGGGCACTCTTAGTATCTCCACATACAAGGCCCAGGAGAGGAGGCCCAGCATGCTTTAGGAAATGTCCACAGCCACACAGCTGATTGGTGCTGGAATCTGGACTTGTATCTCAGCAGCTTAGCTCCAGTCTGCGATAAGAACACCATAGCCTCTGTAACTAGCTGTGTTATCCTAAGAAAATTACTTAGCCTTTCTGAACTTCAACTCCCTTATCTCTAAAATGGGGATAATACATTGATCTGAAGGTCAATGATAATGAGCATAAGGGTGTAGCACAGAATCTGGCACTGGTGATATTTACTCATTGGCATGGCAATGATAGCGATGGTAAGGATGATGATGGTGATGATGAAGTGATTGTTTACTAAATGGCATGCCAATGATGGCGATGGTAAGGATGATGATGGTGATGATGAAGGATTATTTACTAAATGGCATGGCAATGATGGCGATGGTAAGGATGATGACGGTGGTGATGAAGGATTATTTACTAAATGGCATGGCAATGATGGTGATGGTAAGGATGATGATGGTGACGATGAAGTGATTGTTTACTAAATGGCATGGCAATGATGGTGACGGTATGGATGATGACGGTGATGATGAAGTGATTACTTACTAAATGGCATGGCAATGATGGCGATGGTAAGGATGATGATGGTGATGATGAAGGATTATTTATTAAATGGCATGGCAATGATGGCGATGGTAAGGATGATGACGGTGGTGATGAAGGATTATTTACTAAATGGCATGGCAATGATGGCGATGGTAAGGATGATGATGGTGATGATGAAGGATTATTTACTAAATGGCATGGCAATGATGGCGATGGTAAGGATGATGACGGTGGTGATGAAGGATTATTTACTAAATGGCATGGCAATGATGGCGATGGTAAGGATGATGATGGTGATGATGAAGGATTATTTACTAAATGGCATGGCAATGATGGCGATGGTAAGGATGATGATGGTGATGATGAAGGATTATTTACTAAATGGCATGGCAATGATGGTGATGGTAAGGATGATGACGGTGGTGATGAAGGATTATTTACTAAATGGCATGGCAATGATGGCGATGGTAAGGATGATGACGGTGGTGATGAAGGATTATTTACTAAATGGCATGGCAATGATGGCGATGGTAAGGATGATGATGGTGATGATGAAGGATTATTTACTAAATGGCATGGCAATGATGGCGATGGTAAGGATGATGACGGTGATGATGAAGTGATTACTTACTAAATGGCATGGCAATGATGGCGATGGTAAGGATGATGACGGTGATGATGAAGTGATTACTTACTAAATGGCATGGCAATGATGGTGATGGTAAGGATGATGATGGTGATGATGAAGGATTATTTATTAAATGGCATGGCAATGATGGCGATGGTAAGGATGATGACGGTGATGATGAAGTGATTGTTTACTAAATGGCATGGCAATGATGGCGATGGTAAGGATGATGATGGTGATGATGATGGTGAAGATAGTGATGATATGGTGATGACGATGATGGTGATGATGATGATGGTGTTGATGATAACAATGATGGTGATAACAATGATGATGGTGACGGTGATATTGACAACAATGATGATGACAATGAGGATGGTGATAACAATGATGATGATATGGTGATGACAATGATGGTGATGATGGTGGTGATGGTAATGGTAATGATGATGGTGATGATGGTGGTAATGATAATGACAACATGATGGTGATGACAATGATGGTGATGGTGATGATGACAACAATGATGGTCGTGATGGTAATGATAATGATGATGAGATGCTGATGGTGATGGTGATGATAGTAATGATGCTGATGGTGATGGTGATGATAGTAATGATGATGATGGTGACAATGGTGATGATTTGGGGTGGGGGACAGAAATGAGAAAAGATGGAGTTAGGGGATGATGGGCTCACCTGCCCTTTTGGCCCTCCAGTTCTGTACTTGCATATTGAGGGGCTTGGTCTACCTGGTGTTGCCCAAATGACTAGAACCATGTAGGAAGCTTATAAAAGTACACAGATCCAGATCCTATACCAGACTGACCAAGTCGGCATCTCCCATCTGGGGCTTTGGGGTTTATGGTTTTAGTACAGTTGACTGTAATGTGCAGCCAGGCTGGGGAAACATGAAACTAATGATCTGAGTTCAAATCATCACTGCTAAAATGAGCACAAGGGAATAGAACCAGTTATTCGTGCTGAATAAAATAAATGTAACCCCCAAGTTGTTGCACTGCTATTTGAAATAATTTATGTTATTGATTTTCTTCAATAAAACTGAGCTGTGTGTGGATTTGCCTGAAGGGGTCTGTGTCCCAACCTTCAACTCATCCTCTGTTTTCCTGGATCCCCACACAATCGTAGGCAGCTTAGCTTGTAGTTTTGCGGACTGTGAGCTGGACATCCTTCCTGTGTTTGAAAATGAACCTGTCATCAGCACAGGTTTTACGTGAGAAACACAGGGCCTGAGGCAGCTATATGACACGTCTCAGGGTGGAAGGAGGGGAGAGGAATTCATTGAGGAACCACTCCTTTTTGTCTTAGTTTTAAGGCAGTAAATGACTTGTCATCCTCAGGAAAGCTAACAGGCAGGTGTTCCCTCTTTCTCTACCACCATTTTCATGGCCGAGACAGGACCAGGCACCCCTTAATTTTCACATATCATCTCTAGGACTCTGTGTGTTTTCTGTCAAATGCAAGTACGGTATCGCATCATGTGAGAGCAGAAGGTGTGACAGAGGCCGGGTGTGGTATAGATGATGCCAGCACACCAGACAAATGCCAGATAGTAGAAGCCACAGGGGCCTCCGGTGCATGGCGTCTGAGGGTCTTTATGGGCCTGCTGGGAGGGAGGTGGTCAGGAGCATCAGCCCGCTGTATGAGGATCTGCACTGCCTTTGAGAAGTGACATCCTGGGATAAACAAGCTCACCCAAACTCCTCCAGAAAGAACCCAACAATTTATTTTTATTTGGAGATATAGGGCGAGTGTTGGGATCAAAGCCTGGGGCAAGATGGTCCCAGAGAGGGGCCCTGGTGTGTGGACCTAGAAAGCAGAGCAGCACAGGGCGTGGGCGGAAGCACAGGGGGTCTGAAAGCATGGAAGGAGAAGTACGAACCGAAGCACCCAGGCGGTTCTATCCAAGGACGGGAGGCGTTCACCCAAGCGCCGGCTCCTGCAGCAAGGCAGGGATTCTCTGCCATGGGGTGAGTATGGGTTGTTTCCTTGGAAGTCACAAATATGCCAGTGTCTTTAGGCTCAGTAACTCAGACTGTAGGAACCCACACTAAAGACGTGTTTTTAAAATGTGGGTGAAAAATAATTGAAAGCACGTTTGTTACAGCTTTATTTATAATGTTGAAAAACTTTAAAACAACCCATATGACCAAGCATAGCAGGGAACAGTGCAGTCAGCCTCTACAGCAGGTGGCCAAGAGGCTCTTTCCATGGTTCCGGGAAATGCTCGCGTGTAGTACCCAGTGGGAGTGGCAGGAGACAGCCCCGAGGCTACAGAATGAATTTGAGTGCTTTGGAAAAAGTACGTAATTATGCTTTGGAAAACACTGGAAGAAAATGCACCTAGAATGATATTTTTTTTCACCATTTTCTGTATGCTTCAGTTTTTATGCTGTAAGATTTTTTTTTTTTTTTGAGACGGAGTCTCGCTCTGTTGCCCAGGCTGGAGTGCAGTGGCACCATCTCAGCTCACTGCAAGCTCTGCCTCCCGGGTTTATGCCATTCTCCTGCCTCAGCCTCCCGAGTAGCTGGGACTACAGGCGCCTGCCACCACGCCCGGTTAATTTTTTTGTATTTTTAGTAGAGACGGGGTTTCACTGTGTTAGCCAGGATGGTCTTGATCTCTTGACCTCGTGATCCACCCCCTTCGGCCTCCCAAAGTGCTGGGATTACAGGCATGAGCCACCGCGCCCGGCCTTTATGCTGTAAGATTTTATTGTTCATAGAACCAAGAAAAAAATGAAAGACTGGGAATTTGGAAATTTGAGGTTTCTTCTATGCTTCTTGACCAGGTCACTTCTGATCTTAAGTGAAGCCACATGACTGTCGGGCAGAATCCTCCATAGTAGAAAGGAAGAGCTGTTATTTCTCTGCAGTGTGTCTTGGGTTTGAGGATGTTGTAGTTTGTGCAATGATGGTCTGCATCTCTAGAAGATTTTTCCTAACCAACTTTATGTGGATCAGCTGACTTTTCAGCTAGCTGCCAGCGTGCACACGTTTCTCTCTGTAATGTCTTCTATTTTGAGGTACTCTGTGCTTTACTGGAACTACTATCTGTTCTTGTATATTTCTAGGCAGGCTTTGCCAGCCAAAGGTGGGTGGAACATTTCTTGCATCAACATCAGAATAAGCTCGATCATGAACGATGGTTGAGGAAGGGAGCTGGGGCCATGGCTTGACTTTCCCATGGGACCGTGCAGGACAGAGCAGATGAATTCTCATCAGATGGCACTGCGTATGCTTGGTGACTGTGAGTTTTCATTTCCGGACAGCTGGATGACCCTCCTGTGCTGACGGCACACAGCCCCCGTAGCAGGAACATGTAGATAGAGTCCCATCCTGGAGCTGGATGACCCTCCTGTGGTCTCGGCACACAGCCCCCGTAGGAGGAGCATGTAGATAGAGTCCCATTCTGCAGCTGGATGACCCTCCTGTGGTCTTGGCACACAGACCCTCTAGCAGGAACTTGTAGATAGAGTCCCATCCTGTAGCTGGATGACCCTCCTGTGCTCATGGCACACAGCCCCTGTAGCAGGAACATGTAGATAGAGTCCGATCCTACAGTTGAATGACCCTCCTGTGCTCTTGGCACACAGACCCTGTAGCAGGAACTTGTAGATAGAGTCCCATTCTGCAGCTGGATGACCCTCCTGTGCTGACGGCACACAGGCACTGTAGCAGGAACTTGTAGATAGAGTCCCATCCTGCAGCTGGATGACCCTCCTGTGCTCACGGCACACAGCCCCTCTAGGAGGAGCATGTAGATAGAGTCCCATCCTGCAGCTGGATGACCCTCCTGTGCTGACGGCACACAGGCACTGTAGCAGGAACTTGTAGATAGAGTCCCATCCTGCAGCTGGATGACCCTCCTGTGCTCACGGCACACAGCCCCTCTAGGAGGAGCATGTAGATAGAGTCCCATCCTGCAGCTGGATGACCCTCCTGTGCTGACGGCACACAGGCACTGTAGCAGGAACTTGTAGATAGAGTCCCATCCTGTAGCTGGATGACCCTCCTGTGCTCTCGGCACACAGACCCTCTAGCAGGAACTTGTAGATAGAGTCCCATCCTGTAGCTGGATGACCCTCCTGTGCTCACGGTACACAGCCCCTCTAGGAGGAGCATGTAGATAGGGCCCCATCCTGGAGACTGTGGATGTTGCCATGCTCCTGGGTTTCTCGGTTGCCTCTTGGTGGTTCTATGATGGAGAAACGGCAGGGCCCAGCACCATGATGTGGGCAGCCACAGCGGCTGGACAGGGGCCACTGGACATTTAGGGAGATCCTGTGACACACAGGCTGTGGCCTTTCTCCGAGTCATGTGTGTGTGGCCCTCAGGGTAGTGGGAGAAAGAGAAGCTATGACATTTGGACTGAGGCGTGCATGGGTTTGCGGCTCAGTATAGAGTAATAGGTAGGGGTGGTGCAGAGCCGACGTCCTTTTGCGGGCCCCTGGAGCCCGTTCGTCCCAGGCAGGGGCTCTGGATTCTGGATCCCGTTCGTCCCAGGCGAGGGCTCTGGATTCTGGAGCCCGTTCGTCCCAAGCGGGGCCTCTGGATTCTGGAGCCTGTTCGTCCCAGGCGGGTGCTCTGGATTCTGGAGCCCATTCATCCCAGGCAGTGGGGGCTCTGGATTCTGGAGCCCATTCATCCCAGGCAGTGGGGGCTCTGGATTCTCATCTGGGTGTTGTGGTGCAGCATGCATGTGTGCTTGTGCAACTGTGTGCACTTGGAGCCACAGCCTCAAGCCTTGGTGTCTTCCTCTGGACAGTGGAGACATCAGCACGTGTGGTCCCAAAGTCCTCGTGGCCCTGTGTGTGCAGCAAGTCCAGCCCAGGGCAGCCACACCAAGGCTCCGGTGTCACCCTGTGATGGCCGCGGCACCCTGTCCTCTCTCTCCTGTGCCCCCACAGATGTTGCCGTCTCCTGCCTCTCGTGTCTTCCCCACATGTGTCCTTTGCCAGTGCTCCCTGCAGTTTCCCTTGTCTGGCCTGTGCTGCGTGGAGGGTGCACCTCTGAAGATCACGCAGTCCTCAGGGGGCCCTGGGATCAAAGGTGTGTCCACGGTTAGTGTGCTGAGGTCTCACTCTGTGCTTGTTGCTGGGACTAGAAGGGGAAATGAGGCAGAGTCTCTGCTCTTAGGCAGCGTGGAGCCCGCCCAGCCTGGTGTTATGGGGGTACCGGCTTCACAGTAGGATTTGGATTTGAATCCCAAATCTACTCAGTAAATAACTGTGCAACTTTCAGCTCTCCGAGGTGTGCAGTGGGGACGATCATGGTTCTGGCTCTGCAGGGCTGTTGGGAGACCGCACGAGAGGGTGATGCTGGTGTCAGGGCTCCGGCGGTCGACTTCGTGGGACATCATGGGGCTGTTGGGTGGGGGCGTGGTTTTGCATTTTGCTGACTATTAGAGCTTTTAAAAACCGGGGGAGCTTTAAAAGATCCGGGTGGTCAGGCCACACCTCTTGACAAATCAGAATTCAGGGAATGAGGCCAGTGTCAATATTTCTAAGACATGGCAGCTTTTCCCCCAGGTGGCCGTGGTAAGCTTTGGGAGCTGGGGGCCGAGCTTCTCAGCCTGTGTCAGCATCTCCTGGACATCCCGATGGACTGCAGATCACTCGCCCGGCCCACTTCCTGGTGCACTGGTCTGAGCATTGTCCTTTGAAAACCACCAGATGTCGGGGAAATAACGTTTGCTGTGGCGTCTGGGGCAGGAAAGGAGGAAGCGGAGCACAGGCCAAGCTCGGAGGATGGGGGATTTTGCTAGAAGGGTATTTAATAAGGTTTGCTGTGTTTCACACTGAGGGACGCATAATGGAACCCTGGGCACTGCAGAGCTGTGAAGTGCCCAGGAGACACCAAATTAACTTTCTCTTAGAGCTTTCACCTCAGTTTTCAACCACGTCTTCTCACTCCCAATTTCTAAAACTCCCAGGAGACCCGGAACCCTTCCAAATGGATGAAAATTCAGTCAGAGGTGTGAAGTTTTGGCCCTGCTGAGAACACTCAGGGTGTAAATAATGAACTTGGAAGGAGTTTTGACGGTGGCTTTACTGCGACTCTCCCCAGGCCAGGCTCGCCCTGGAGGGGGAGGTCTGGTGTTAACGCCCCTCACCGTGCGCTGACTGGGGCCGCGCATCCGCTGTGTTCCCGCAGGCCGAGGTAGCACCTTTGCTAATGAACTTGGAAGGAGTTTTGACGGTGGCTTTACTGTGACTCCCCCCAGGCCAGGCTCGCCCTGGAGCGGGAGTTTTGGTGTTAACGCCCCTCACCGTGTGCTGACTGGGGCCGCGCATCCGCTGTGGTCCCGCAGGCCGAGGTAGCACCTTTGCTAATGAACTTGGAAGGAGTTTTGACGGTGGCTTTACTGTGACTCCCCCCAGGCCAGGCTCGCCCTGGAGAGGGAGGTTTGGTGGTAACGCCCCTCACCGTGTGCTGACTGGGGCCGCGCATCCGCTGTGGTCCCGCAGGCCGAGGTAGCACCTTTGCTTTCAGGGCTAGTGGTGTCTGCTTATCAAGGCCAGGGTAGACACCTGCCCGCTGGAAGTGTCCAGAGACATTGCACCCGAGATGCTGAGGAGCCCTGGGAGGGACACGGTTTCTTCTCATTGGGGATTCTGGGGATGTTCATTGGAGTTAGGAGGAATGCAGAGCGTGGATACTGTGCAAACAGATAAGGACGCTTTCAGGAAATAAGCATCAGGAAAGGGGTCAGAAGACTCAGCCTGGATTCTTGGTGGCTCATCAGATTCATAGCAAACCACAAACACTGAATCCACCCTGCGTGCGCCATTGCTGTGTAGACGTATGATGGACCCTCCTTGGATATTAATTCAAACAAATTAACTACAAGATGACTTTTTTTTTAATTAATGGAATTTAGCACTGACCGGATACTAGAACATTATTAAAGACCAGTTGCTGTTAACTAATGTTGCTGGTGTGATACTGGGTTTGTGATGACATTTTTTAAAGCCCTCATGTGGGTGAGTTGTGGTGATCCTGGTGCTGTGGGAGATGGAGGCGGGGGAATCATTGAGCCCAGGAGGTGGAGGCTGCAGTGAGTCGTGATTGTGTCACCGCCGTCCAGCCTGGGCAACAGAGTAAGACCCCGTCTCCCCTAAATAAAATAAAATGAGATAAGTCCTCATTTGCTAGAGATACACAGAATATGGTGTAGTAGATTTTCTCTAACTGACTCCACCCTCAACCCTGGAAAACAGGGAGGGGTGGCAGGGGAGACGGATGGAGTGAAACATGAGCCACTGCAGAGTGATGGGTGGCCATGGCCGATGGCGTCCGTGCCGTTATCTTCTCTGCGGAGCAATGGGGGGCCGTGGCCGATGGCATCCGTGCCGTTATGTTCTCCGCAGAGCGATGGGGGGCCATGGCCGATGGCATCCGTGCCGTTATGTTCTCTGCAGAGCAATGGGGGGCCATTGCCGATGGCGTCCGTGCCATTATGTTCTCTGCAGAGCGATGGGGGGCCGTGGCCGATGGCGTCCGTGCTGTTATGTTCTCTGCAGAGCAATGGGTGGCTGTGGCCAATGGCGTCCATGCTGTTATCTTCTCTGCAGAGCGATGGGTGGCTGTGGCTGATGGCATCCGTGCCATTATCTTCTCTGTGGAGCAATGGGGGGCCGTGGCCGATGGCATCCGTGCCGTTACGTTCTCTGCAGAGCGATGGGGGGCCATTGCCAATGGCGTCCGTGCCATTATGTTCTCTGCAGAGTGATGGGGGGCTGTGGCTGATGGCGTCCATGCCGTTATCTTCTCTGAAGAGTGATGGGTGGCTGTTGTCTTCTCCGCAGATTGATGGGGGGCCGTGGCCGATGGCGTCCATGTCGTTGTCTTCTCTGCAGAGCGATGGGGGGCTGTGGCTGATGGCGTCCATGCTGTTATGTTCTCTGCAGAGCAATGGGTGGCCGTGGCCGATGGCGTCCATGCCGTTATCTTCTTTGTAGAGCGATGGGTGGCCATGGCCAATGGCGTCCATGCTGTTATGTTCTCTGCAGAGCAATGGGTGGCCATGGCCGATGGCATCCGTGCTGTTATGTTCTCTGCAGAGCAATGGGTGGCCGTGGCCGATGGCATCTGTGCCGTTATGTTCTCTGCAGAGTAATGGGTGGCCATGGCCGATGGCGTCCATGCCGTTGTCTTCTCTGCAGAGCGATGGGTGGCCATGGCCGATGGCGTCCATGCCGTTGTCTTCTCTGCAGAGCGATGGGTGGCCGTGGCCGATGGCGTCCGTGCCGTTGTCTTCTCTGCAGAGCGATGGGTGGCCGTGGCCGATGGCGTCCGTGCCGTTGTCTTCTCTGCAGAGCGATGGGTGGCCGTGGCCGATGGCGTCCGTGCCGTTGTCTTCTCTGCAGAGCGATGGGTGGCCGTGGCCGATGGCGTCCGTGCCGTTGTCTTCTCTGCAGAGCGATGGGTGGCCGTGGCCGATGGCGTCCGTGCCGTTGTCTTCTCTGCAGAGCGATGGGTGGCCGTGGCCGATGGCGTCCGTGCCGTTGTCTTCTCTGCAGAGCGATGGGTGGCCGTGGCCGATGGCGTCCGTGCCGTTGTCTTCTCTGCAGAGCGATGGGTGGCCGTGGCCGATGGCGTCCGTGCCGTTGTCTTCTCTGCAGAGCGATGGGTGGCCGTGGCCGATGGCGTCCGTGCCGTTGTCTTCTCTGCAGAGCGATGGGTGGCCGTGGCCGATGGCGTCCGTGCCGTTATCTTCTCTGCTTTCGTGTATGTTTGAACATTTCTATAATAAAAACTTAAGTGAAAAGCTTACTGTGCTGGCTGCCTGGAGGTGTGGTGTTTCTGTTCATTTTGTTTTTAGGGTGGGAAGTAGTGGGATTGGGGGTCCATGGGGGCCATTTCTTGGGTTTTCCTGAAGTGGGTTCTGTGCTTGGCATCATGAAGCAAGTGGAGCGTGTGTTTGCTCCATGCCTGTGGGCTGCGTGGAGGCAGCCTGACAAACACATTTCGAGGGGCCCCCGGGGGGTCGCTGAGGCTGTGTATGTCTGTTCCATGCAACAGCCGTCATCTCTGTTTTTGAACACATTGACAGTGTGTAGTCTGCTTGGGGGGATGTTCGAGGTCAACAGAGTGGCCAAAAGAGGCTCTCTCGTCATTGCAATGATCCACACTCCACTCTGCTGTCACTGAACCTGCCCCCAAGCCTGCACCCTCTTCATCTCTTCTTTGTCTATAGCAACCATCCCCAATCCTGACATCAGTGATTGTGTGTGTTGTGTCTTGTCTGTCCTCCATAGCAACCATCCCCAATCCTGACATTGGTGATTGTGTGCGTTGTGTCTTGTCTGTCCTCTGTAGCAACCGTCCCCAATCCTCACATCAGTGATTGTGTGTGTTGTGTCTTGTCTGTCCTCCATAACAACTGTCCCCAATCCTCACATCAGTGATTGTGTGTGTTGTATCTTGTCTGTCCTCTGTAGCAACCGTCCCCAATCCTCACATCAGTGATTGTGTGTGTTGTGTCTTGTCTGTCCTCCATAACAACTGTCCCCAATCCTCACATCAGTGATTGTGTGTGTTGTGTCTTGTCTGTCCTCTGTAGCAACCGTCCCCAATCCTCACATCAGTGATTGTGTGTGTTGTGTCTTGTCTGTCCTCCATAACAACTGTCCCCAATCCTCACATCAGTGATTGTGTGCGTTGTGTCTTGTCTGTCCTCTGTAGCAACCATCCCCAATCCTCACATCAGTGATTGTGTGCGTTGTGTCTTGTCTGTCCTCCATAGCAACCATCCCCAATCCTGACATCGGTGATTGTGTGCGTTGTGTCTTGTCTGTCCTCCATAGCAACCATCCCCAATCCTGACATCGGTGATTGTGTGCGTTGTGTCTTGTCTGTCCTCCATAGCAACCATCCCCAATCCTGACATCGGTGATTGTGTGCGTTGTGTCTTGTCTGTCCTCCATAGCAACCGTCCCCAGTCCTGACATCGGTGATTGTGTGTGTCTTGTCTGTCCTCCATAGCAACCGTCCCCAATCCTGACATCGGTGATTGTGTGCATTGTGTCTTGTCTGTCCCCACCTAGAATGTGAGTTTCATAGGAGGAGACTTGTCTGCTTTGCTGAGTTTCTAAGTGTCTCCGTCGGTTCCCTGCACATGGTCAGTGCACAACAAATGTCAGTTGAATGCTTAGTACTTAGGAGACATGAGGCTTTCAATTTTCCTCAGTTAATTTGTGTGACAGTAATGCATATATATGGTTCACTTAAAAGCCGAGTAATATAGGGCTTAAAATAAGAAGCAACAGATCCTGCCCCTCTTTCCTGAGCTCACCCAGGGGCAACAGTAGCCTCTCCCACGTTGAGGTCCTGCGGCAGCTGCCACTTTTCCATATGGTTCCACACCATCTCATCAGGAGTTGACTCAGTCCTCCTCTGTGTAGCCCCTGTGGTGCCCCCTGCACTGTAGGGTGAGGACTGTTCTCTTTCAATTCCCCTATGTCCAGGCTGTGTTAGCCAACCCTGTGGTGCCCCCTGCACCGTACGGTGAGGACTGTCCTCTTTCAATTCCCCTACATCCAGGCTGTGTTAGCCAACCCTGTGGTGCCCCCTGCACCATACGGTGAGGACTGTCCTCTTTCAATTCCCCTACGTCCAGGCTGTGTTAGCCAACCCTGTGGTGCCCCCTGCACCGTACGGTGAGGACTGTCCTCTTTCAATTCCCCTACGTCCAGGCTGTGTTAGCCAACCCTGTGGTGCCCCCTGCACCGTACGGTGAGGACTGTCCTCTTTCAATTCCCCTATGTCCAGGCTGTGTTAGCCAACCCTGTGGTGCCCCCTGCACCGTACGGTGAGGACTGTCCTCTTTCAATTCCCCTACGTCCAGGCTGTGTTAGCCAACATTTAGTTTTCACACTGTCAAGTTAAAAGCATCATGCCCAGCCCTGCAGCTGCAGTGATGGGTGGATCCTCGGGGTGCTCCCTGTGTTGCAGCTGTACCAGCGTTGATTGCAGACAAGCCGAGTGGGGCCCTCTGTGCCCCTGAGCCACGGGGCAACAGAGTAAGACCCCGTGTTACTCTGGAGGAGAAGACTCTTTGTGCAGTTCCAAGAGATGCTCCTGCTTCATCCTGCAACAGCCGCCCCAAATGTGCCACTTCTAACTGTGGTGTTGGGACTTTCTCTTCTTGCATAGTTTTTCTTTGTGTTTCCCAAAGGTTCTGGTCACTTCCTTTCCTTTGTGTCTCCCTCCTCATCCCCTCCTGACCTCACTCACTCCACCTGTCTTATCGAGCCCCCCAAGCCCAGAGGTGTCCGCTGGAATCCTGGCTCTCCAGCCCAAGGTCACCTTGAGATGCCACAGTCTGTGAGTGGGAGGGGAAATCGGTGGGGTGGCAGGAGGCCGCCCGGGACAAGGTTGCAGGGGCAGGTGCGTGGCGTGCTCAGAGCTCCTGGGTGAACCAGGGAGAATGGGGAAGGCCTTGAGGAGCCTGGCGACGGTGAACCCGGCAGGTCCATGGTCTCCACTGGGAGATGGGGAGGACCCGCTGGGCAGGGGAGACAGTGCTTCTGGGTGAGAAGGTTTAATTCTGTAAGGATATGAATTCTCTCTGAATAAACCTATACATGTAAGTTATCACAACAGCATATTAACAATTTTTTTTGAAATTAAACGAACTAGCTTTAAAGTCCAGGTTCAGACACAAACATGAGACTAAACAGAAAAGTTATGAAAAAGAAAGTTGTGTGTGGGGCGTTGAGTCTTGCACACTCAGTGCTTTGCAGTGATGGGACACTTAAGCCAGAGTGGGGAACAGACGGGCAGATTGAAGGGAAAGAATAGAAAGTCTAGAAATAGACCCAAATGCGTATGGGTATTTGGTATATGATAATGATGACATTTTAAATCGGTGGGGAAAAGATGTATTATTCAGTAATGATTTGGGGACAACTGGCCAGACATTTGGAAAATACATAGCTGGGTCCCTCCCAAACTCCTTACCCCAAAATAAAATCCAGATGGCACAGAGACTTAAAAATATAATGGAATTTTACAAGTACTGGAAGAAAACGTGGGGGAATTTTTAATAATTTTGCGATGGAATTAATTTTTTTAAGGAAGACAGCCCAATATCTAAGGAAATTAAAATTCACATAACTTTAACTCACCAGCCTGACTCCTGGGAAGTTATGTGATGGATGTTCAGGCCTGGGTGTAAAGAACCAAATGCGCAATGATTCTGTGAAACATTATCATAGGAAAAAACCGCGAGCGTTCTAAACACCCTTCAAGTTGTGGTTCATCTTCAAGACGGAGTTAGGTAGATGGGCTGACACAGAAGGACCTCAAGACATTTTGAAATAAAAAAGGAAGATGAGAACAGCTGGAATCCATATTAGAAGAAGATGAACCTGGACCGAATTTCTTTCGGAGACACCAACTCCTGTGCTCATGGGTGTGAAAGGCAAGACTATAAAGGTTTTCAACTGAGAATATAATGTTTCATGACTTTAGGGCGGAGAGGAAGGTTTTGAGACAGGACACAAAGAGTGCTAATTGCAAAGGAAATTACTGATAATTTCAACTATATTAAAATCAAGAATAACTCTTAGTAAAAAAGACACCGTAAAGAGAATTAATTAAAAGACAAGCCACAGAATGGGAGACAATATTTTCAACACATGTAAATGACATGTAACCGACAAAGATCTCACGTTCAAAACAGAGAGGACCCTGACAAATCACTGAGAACAAGGCAACGAAGGAAACATTTGCAAAACATTTCAGAAGTTCTAAGGAGAAAATTCAAATGACTGAGAAATACGTAAAATGGTCTTCAACCTAATTATTAAATTGGAGTGATGAAGACGGAAGCCGTATGAAATTCAGCAGCTCCCCTACTAGACGGGCAAAAACCGGAAGCACCAGCTCCAGGTGCAGCTGCGACGTGGGGCGGGGAGTTCCTGGAAGCACCTGGCTGTGATACACAACCTCTGAGCTCCTCGGGGGCTTGGACAGCAGGTGGGCAGGTGTGCTGGAATGTGGAGAGGTGTGTTTGCTGCGGCTGAGGTTTCGCTCCTTGCCCTCCACGCAGCAGAAGCACACGTACGCCTGGTCAGGGAGATGCGCAAGGAAGCGCGTAGGTGGCATCGTTTACAGTCTCCCCAGGCTGGACGTGACCCACATGCACTTTGGTGGTGGAGGAGAGGAAGATTATTTTATTTTCATACAATGGAACAGTGGAATTTAGCCATGACGGGGCGACTCGGATCATCTCACAGACATGAAGCTGAGTGAAAGAAGGAAGGTGTGAAAGACGACAGGCCCTGTGAATCTGGTGCAGAGGCAGGCGCGGCCGTGAGCACAGCTTCCATCAAGTCGGCGGTGGCTCCCCATGAAGGTGCAGCAGGGGTGGGGGTTCCAGCTGCTGGCGGGACTATTTCTTGAGTGCTGTTTGGATGAATATTCACTTAATATTGTTTGCTATACGATGCGTTTTTGTGCGCATTTCTCTATTATATCTATGAGGTTAAAAAAAGCAAGAATGAATCTCAGTTGTGTTTCACCAGTGTGTGTGTATGTGTCCTTGTGTGTGGGAAGACATTCTCTGAGGCAGCGGTTATGGACTGAATGTGTCTCATTGAACTCAGTGTGTAGAAGGCCAAACCCCCAGGGGATGGTGCTGGGAGGAGAGGCCTTTGGGCCGTGATTGAGTTAGATCACCCGTGAGGGTGGGGCTCCCACGATGGGATAGGTGGCCTTTGGGCGGTGATTGGGTTAGATGGGGTCTTGAGGGCAGGGCTTCCGTGAAGGGACCAGTGCTCTCGTAAGAAGAGGAAGAGTCCTCTCTCCTCCATGTAAGGACGCGGTGAGAAGCCAGGCGGAGGCCATCACCAGAGCAGACTGTGCTGGCACCCCCATCCCAGACTTCCAGCCTCCAGACCATGAGGACGTTTCTGTGTGAGTCACCCAGTCTGTGGCACCACGGCATCCTCACCAGGTTCATCTGTGCTGTGGCCACCTTGGATTCGTCTGTACTACAGCAACGTTTTGTGTTGTAGCTTTGCCTTTGCTTAACTTTGTAAACCAAATATTTTAGGAAGAAAAAGAGGTTTAGTGTTCCTGTTTGCCAGGAAAATCACAAGGGATTATGCGATTGTGAATGAACTAAGGGTCACCAGTGCAGGGGCTGCGGGAAACTGATGTGTGACATGCTCTCCACTCATCCTGGCTCCATTACCACACTGAAGTGGCATCCATGAGTTTGGAAATCACTAAGGCAAAGAAGTAAGGGCTGAACTCCTCCAAATGTTCCTGACTATGAATTAAGCCTCACGGGTTCACTTCTGCCTGTTGGTGTTTGGTCTCGGCCCGCGCTATGTGTCTTGCTTCTGCCTGTTGGTGTTTGTTTGGACTCGGCCCGCGCTGTGTGTCTTGCTTCTGCCTATTGGTGTTTGTTTGGACTCAGACTGCGCTGTGTGTCTTGCTGTTGTGGGAATCTGTGCATCGTCCTCTCTTGGTGACTCCTGAGCCAAGGCTGACACTCCACTCTTCGAGCAAACTGAACTATAGCATGATTGTATCTGCTGCTGCTCCGGGAGGGCCCTGTGGGCCGACCACCCTCACCTGCCCTTGGGCCAGCCCTTGCTTCCTCTGGAAGCTTCTTGAGCTTGAGTTGTGGGATTGACATGTACCTGGAATTGTTGGTTTTGGTATCTGTCATTGGAGACACCATCCCTACCCCACGCATGACCTGGGAGAAAACGGACTTTGACGTTTGATTGTTTTCAGTGTTCACTGGGAGGGAAGAGAAGTCAGGATTACTTTTCCTCTGGTGTGAAAGTCCCTGGACCCTAAACACACCCTGTTGTCCACAGGTGGTGCCGAGTCCCACAAAGGAACCTGGAATCCAGCTGAGTGGGCACGTGCTGCCTGTCACGGCCCTTCATGTCCTGAACATCTGTTGAGAGGAGGCGGGGGTGTCACCTTAATTCCATCTTGGACACCACAGTGACACAAAGTGCAAAGTGCCGTGCCCCTCATCCCCACAGATATGTGGCATCCCACTGGTCTCCTAACCACCCAACGCCGTTGCTCCTGACCATTGGAAACGCTGGTGGGGCTGGAGCACCTGGACAGTCCAGTCTCGTTCTAGTGGCTGGACTGGAGTGGGGTTGCCTTGAACCCGTCTTAGGCTGGAAATGCCCCCAGCAGCAGTGCCAGGGGAACTCTCACTGGGGCCTGCCCTGGGAGCCCCGGGGAACACTTGTCAGTTCAGCTCTGACCTTAAGGTGGGACTGCCCCATGCCCTTGGCCCAGGAGTGGGAGCTGCAGGAGGAGCCCCTCATGCTACGGCCCTCCCGCTGAGGGGCTCCCCTGGGGGCCTCAAATTCAGCATCAGGCGCCAGTGAAGACTCAGCTCCTCTGGAGGGGACCCCCTCCCCACCCCACCCTCCTGCACTGCAGCGCTGCCCAGACCTGGGTCTGCGGAGACTTCTGTTTGCCTCTGGCCTGATGAAAGCAGTGTGGAAACCAACCTCCCTCCTCCTCCCCAGATCTCTTCTCTTTTTGGGGGGTTTTCATGCTAACTTACTATTTTCTCTAATTAAGAAGCAATACATGGCTATTATGAAACATTTAGAAAATGTATAATAAATACTAAAATAATGTTACCGTTCTGATTTATATCCTTCCAAGTCCACTTCTCTCTGTGTTCTAAGGATGATTCTCAGACACCCAGCCTGCTCCTGTGTCTGGGCCACTCTGCTGGGGGCATGTTGTTGCCGACCTGGCCTGTGGCCTTCCCTGTGAGATTCATCCTGGGAGTGGTCCCAGAAAGCAGCCCTGGCGGTGGAGTGGCTGGAGTGGGGCACGCCATGCTGGGCTTGGCTTCACCCTCAGCAGTGAGGCCCTCTTGCTGCCCTGCTGAGTCGGCACCTGGCCTGGCCCAGCATCCTCGGGCTGACGATGATGCCGGGCTGAGGGCCTGTGTCCTGCTGGCATTTGCCCTGTGCCGTGTGGCTGGGTAGCATGGCCAGGAGCCGGGGTGGGGCAAGACCGTGGCTTGTCATTTCCAACCCTCTGAGGCCCCTTTGTGGATGGCAGCAGGGGCTTCAGCACTGCCCCCGCTCTCGGCTCTGCTGGTGCTCGTACCCCGGCACCTGCGCAGAGAGGTCAGCTCCCTGGCTACGGGGCAGCCTTCGTCTTCACTGCCCGCTTGGCTAACAGCTTGACGCAGCCCACCACTGGCCCAGGCCTTGGAGGGATGTTTGCTTTCCAGGGGCCTGGCAGGACGCAAGGCAGGCCGGGTACCCGTGCAGGTGGCTTTGTTTCCTGGAGAGGTGGGGAAGAGGCTCTGGCAGCGGGAGCAAGCTGGGCGGGTCGGCCTTATCGGGCCGCGTGGGCAGCATGTGTGGCTGAGCCACCGGGCTCCCTGGGGCCCTGCTGCTTCTGGGCTGCCCAGCTGGGCAGGTGGTGCCGCCCTGGCCTGAGTCCGTCAGGGCCTAATTATGGAGACGGGTCTTGTGCTCTGTAGTGGTTATTAGCTGCCTTCCTCTTTTTTTTTGGTGCCAAAGAATTCCATTTGGGGAATTTATACAGCCAATTAGGTATTTAGCTCAAGGCAATTAATGGCTGGAATGCAAGCATTAGCTAAAACCTAAATTGGAATTCATACATCCACGCTTTTGCTTAACGGTGGAGGCTGCAGGGAGGCACCGAGTGTTGTCTGGGGAGCTAGGAGAGGCTGCCCAGGCCCAGAGAGGAACTCCAGATTGGCTGTGGATTCATGGCTCTGTCCTTGCTTGGGAAGGAATGTTTCAGTGTTTCAGAGCAAAAATTTTAAATCTGTTTGACAATCAGAGGCCATCCTGGTCCTGCCTGGAGCTGCTGTTGGCCTGCCCCACCTGGCATCCTAGCTGCGTCCTTACTGGGCACGTATGTCACCGCCTTCATCTCTTTCAAAGCCACCCGTGGGCTTCTGGTCATATTGTGATGACCCTCGAAAGTGACGGATGCCGTGAGGCCGTGGGAACAGGAGCTAGGAGGCTGCAGGCCGGCCGCCTTCAGTCCACAGAAGCCAGATTTGAGGTGGGTTCCGGATGTCATGGGTGCCCTGGACAGGTGGCTGTGTGACAGCCCAGCGTGCCTGATGGTGGACAGAGGCTGGGGCTGCCATGGGGCTGGGCTTCTCCCCAGACAGGGAGCAGTGGAGAATTCTCACCAAAAATCCAGATAGATGAAACCAAACAACAAAACTTACTGCTTTTCTCATCAACCAAGTAATCTCTGAGGAAATTACACCAGGGACCATTGGATTTTCAAGCTGCTCCGTGTGTCCATGGCAGCCCAGGCAGGGTCCAGGTGGGGTCTGCCCGCCGGGGGCGGCTGTGGCCCAGGCAGAGTCCGGGTGGGGTCTGCCCGCTGGGGGTGGCTGTGGCTCGGGTGGGTCTCCGTGTGTCCATTGCAGAGCCTGGGTGGGGCCTGCCTGCCGGGGGCAGCTGTGGCTTGGGTGGGGCTCCAGCTCTCACGACAGACTCCATCGTGAGTGGGCCCAGCGTGGTCCGACCACAGCAACACCTCATACTGGCCTGGGAATTTCCACATTAAAATATAGTTGAAAGTATTCAATTTAATGTAAAATTAAAATGTACTTTTTCTTACCTATAGCTTATAGATTGGGGGTAATTTTTCTCTGTCTCTCACACATTCAGGCACACACCCACCCCATAAACAGTCCCTCAACCTCTAAGTGGTTTGCAAGGACAGAATGTGCCCAGGAAGACCTGGGGCGAGCTGGGAATCCGGACTTTGGGCAACTGTGTGTTGGTGGGCTGGGTGGGGCAGGAGCCTGGGGTGCTGGGGCACCAGGGTTTACCTGCCCACGCTGAGTGTCCTGGGTTCTCACGTGTCCTGAGTTCTCACGTGGGGTGGTCCGAAGGCTCACCTGGGCGCCCGGGTTTACCTGCTCATGCTGAGTGTCCTGGCTTCTCACATGCGGTGGTCCGAGGGCTCACCTGGGCGCCGGGGTTTACCTTCTCACATGGGGTGGTCTGAGGGCTGACCCGGAGGCTTCTGAGCACTGACATGGTCTTGCCAGTGTCCACTGATGATGCGTCTGCTGCTCTGTGGCTCACGGGGACAGGAGGAGGTGGGAGCAGGAGCCATCTGGGGCAAAGGAGGGACAGGCTGACTTGGGGCAGAGCGCCCTCTCAGGGTCTCCTGGCCCCACCAGGCAGCATAGACCCCAAGATGCGGCAGGAAGCTGTTCCCTTGATGAGCAGCAGGCGGCTGTCTGCGTTCAGCCCTGCACCTTTGCCCACTCATTGTTGGAGGACGGCCCCGTTATGGGCTGGGGCAGAGGCGAGGGGTGGGTGGAGATTAGGGCCAGACGAACCTGAAGGCCCTCCAGAGCCTCTGACCTGTTCCCGAGAGGCCGCGGGGTCACTGGTCCGGCTCAGGCTCTGCCAAGGAGCCTCCTTGGGGTTTCTGGCGCCTGCACTCAGGGACGGCACCACCTGCGATGGAGGCTGCTGTGCAGTGTAGAGTGTGGTGGAAACTCCCTGCCTGGGTTGCAGACGGGGGGATTTAATTAGGGAAGGGATCCAGGGTGAGGACAGTCAGGGCAGAGGTGAGCAGGTGGGGGCGCTTGGCTCTTCCTTTGGTGGTGAGAACAAGCTCAGGGCCGAGTCAGCCACACAAGGCTTCAGGCTGTGCAGATAAGGAAGGGCTGGCCAGCCTCGGGGACAGGGCAGTGGGGCTGAGGGGCTGTGTCACCCAGGGCCTGCCCCCTCTGGAGACAAAGCCCTGAGGCTGGGACATGCCTGGGAGGAGGCTCTTGCCCAGCGAGGGTGAAGGGCATCCAGCTCTCCCCAGCCCTCCTGGTTAAGCCCAGCTCAGGCCCTTTTGGGGAGAAGTCACGGTGGCAGGTCTCACGGTCCACACGCTGTGGTGGGCTTGCTGCTGTGCAGAGGGCCGTGGTCTGGCATGGTGCCCCGCCGGGTGCGGCCGCGTTTTCAAGAGGATGCAGGGGGAGAATTGTTGATGAAAGAGAGCGGGCCCTGAGCAATGAACTTGGGGTGTAAGCTGCACAGCAGTGAGGGGACACTGGGGGCTTTCTTGGGATCCCAAAAATGGCCGTAGGAGAGGACCTGGCTTCTGTGCATGTGACGCAGGCCCTGTGGGTCTTGGGGTCTGTGAGGAGCACTGAGGACGAGGAAAGGGAGACAGGCTGAGGCCATCTCGGTTGGATTCCACAGGAAAGGCCGCAGCCAGTTTTCCTGAGACGTTCTGGCGAGCAGCTGCACGGTCCGAGGCTTTCACTTGCTTTTCATTTTAGGCTCACTCTGGGTCTAGGGGGGTCTTGGTGCTGTGTCTAAGCTGCTCTAACAGGGTTTTGGCCTGGGACTCTGAGGCTCGGCCTCTTCTCACACAGGTGGTAGAGAGATTCCTGCCCCCAGCCGGGAGGGCAGCGTCAGGTTTATCAAACTGACGTTTGCAGCAGGTGTGGAGATTTTGAGTGAAGTCAAATCAGGTTTTCAGGGAGAAACAAACACTGGCCGTGGGTGGGGACTTGGGGACCCAGTGGGGCTGCAACAGGGGAGGAGGCGCCTGGGCGCTGGGGCTCACGGCCGGCTGGGGCTCACCTCAGCTTCCCGAGCACAGTCTGTGATGGCACTGGCGTGGCCTGGCCTCTCCAGGACCTGTTAGGAGGTGACGGTGGACAGGCCTGTGAACATTCCGCTCTTGCTGGAGCCAGGCGAGGCTGCCGGAGGGGTGCTGGGCTGCAGCATCCCTGGGGCAGGTGCCTGTCTCCCTGCCTGTTGGAGGGGTGAGTGGCAGTGCCCACAGGCCCCCTCCCTTCTCTAGCACCTCCCCGTGCAGTGGGAGAGGGCAGGACCCTGACTGAACAGGGCCATCCTGAAAGGAGGAGAAGGTGCTGCTGGAATGACACCCAGAGACGGGTATGAGCCCAGACACCCAGGACTTGGGGTAGGCCAGAGATGGGTGTGAGCCCAGACACCCAGGACTCGGGGTAGGGTGCCACATGGGAGCAGCTCTGCCCCTGGCCGTCCCAGGCAGCCCCGTTGCTGGTGGCCAACAGTCCACTCTGACACCGTCACCCAGACAAGGACCCCCAGAGCCTCACATGGTAGAGGAAGCTCCTGTGTGATTCACCTGCTGGCCACAGGCCTTGGAACCCTCCCTGCTGAGTCTTACTTTTAGGAAGGACCTCATGGGCACCCCTGGTAGGAAGAGGTGGCTCGCCCAGGTGGGGACAAGCAGCTCGCACGCTTGGCAGGAAGATTTGCCCCACGCCGCTCCCCCATCAGGAAGATTTGCTCCACGCTGCTCCCCCTGTTGGGAGGAGTCGCCCCACGCCGCTCCTCCTGCTTCCTCCCCTCCCTGAGGCATCCTGGTAGCCAGGGCAGCCCAGGATTCAACCTAAGAGCTGCATAGCGTGACTGACCAGGCGGCGGGCAGCCCCCAACTCTTACAGACCCGTCAGTGGGGAAACAGTCTCGTCAGTTCTCCGTTGATTCATTTTAGCCTTTACCCAGAAGTCAAGTTTGTCTGCTGATTTGATATAAACCTACCCTTGGATTTCCGGCAACTCAGGCAAGAGGTGGCAACTTCGGAGCCTTCTGTGCCTTCGGGGAGAAGCCATGCCTGGCGCTGCCCTGGAGCCGCGGGAGCCGCTGGGCTGAGCCACGGAAGATGGGCTTGGAGCGTCCTCCGCAGCCTCCGCTCCTGCCTCTGCCCACAAAGACCCGCTCGCCCAGTGACCTGTGGCCACCTAGTGGGAACAAGACATTTGCAATGTGCTTGTTGACCAGGTTAAGAGTCATTCTGGTTTAAAGGGAACAAAAAAGGTGTTTTTTTGCTTTTTTTTTTTTTTTTAATACTTATTTGTGTTCCTGAAAAGGCTTCTGTCTGCTTTAGTACCGTCTTTCTAGGCCAAAGACTATGCTCTAGATTTATAAATATTTCTTTTAACTCACTAATGTGCTCATTTGCTTGGAGGCCCTGTCCTCCTCTTGTCCGTAAGGCAAGAATGGTGGCAGGAGATAAAATCTGTTTTAACTTCTCCAAAAATGGAAACGTGTCATTTTATTTTCTGACAAAAAAGGAAACATACATTCCCTTCCGTGCCTTTTTCATATGCATGTTTCCTGTAACTAGAATTAAAGCACACAGGAGAAAAGGAAGCAGGCGGAACGCTGCATGGCTGGGTGGTGCAGAAGGGTACAAGCCACAAAATCAGAATCACCTCCTTACGATCCTAAAGCCCCAAAATAATCATGGTGAAGAACATTCGGGTAAATGTCTGTTTAGATGCTCTTCTGGGCACACACATAACAAAAATGGAATCCTGTAGTTCTGCAAATTTTTCTTATCACTTACCAAATCTCTTACTCCTGAATGCTGAGTGGGCTTCCACTGTTGAATACTGATACGTAGCATCCATGGCATGCAGGTGCCATTATCTAGTGAACCAACCCTCTAGTGGAGAAAAGGTAGGTTGCAGTGTTTCTTCATCATGCAGATGATAACCATGAATAGGTAACTGGTCACTTTCAGCTCTCGTACGTTTGCACATAGAGAATACCATGCATTTCAGGGTTCTCAGGCTCAGCTTCTTTACACATTGTATGATGACATTCTCAGCTCATCTTTGCTCTCAGATTTTTAACCATGTCAGGTAATCAGAGAATGATTTCCTTGCTGCCACCATCACCACTGCCATGACCATTACTATCACCATCACCACCACTGCCACCATTGCCATCACCATCACCACCACTGCCACCACCATCACTATCACCACCACCACCACTGCCGTGACCATCACTATCACCATCACCACCACTGCCACCACTGCCATCACCATCACCACCACTGTCACCACCATCACTATCACCATCACTATCACCACCACTGCCATGACCATCACTATCACCACCACCACCACTGCCATGACCATCACTATCACTATCACCACCACCACTGCCATGACCATCACTATCACCATCACCACCACTGCCATGACCATCACTATCACTATCACCACCACTGCCATGACCATCACTATCACCATCACCACCACTGCCATGACCATCACTATCACCATCACCACCACTGCCATGACCATCACTATCACCATCACCACCACTGCCATGACCATCACTATCACTATCACCACCACTGCCATCACCATCGCTATCACCATCACCACCACTGCCACCATTGCCATCACCACCACCATCACTGATCACCATCACCATCACCATCACCACCATTGCCATCACCATCACTATCACCACCACCACCACTGCCATCACCATCACTATCACCACCACCACCACTGCCATCACCATCACTATCACTATCACTGCCATCACCATCACTATTACCATCACCACCACTGCCACCACTGCCATCACCATCACTATCACCATCACCACCACTGCCATGACCATCACTATCACCACCACTGCCACCACTGCCATCACCATCACTATCACCATCACCACCACTACCATGACCATCATTATCACCACCACCACCACTGCCACCACTGCCATCACCATCACCACCATCACTGATCACCATCACCATCACCTTCATTGCCATCACCATTACTATCACCATCACCACCACCACCATCACCATCACTATCACCATCACCATCACCATCACCTTCATTGCCATCACCATTACTATCACCATCACCACCACCACCATCACCATCACTATCACCACCACTGCCACCACTGCTATCACCATCACTATCACCACCATCACTACCACTGCCATCACCACTATCACCATCACCATCACTACCACCCCTATCACTACCACCAGCACCACCATCACTACCACCCCCATCACTACCACCATCACTACTACCACTGTCACCACCACCACGACTACCACCACCCCCATCACTGCCATCACCACCACCACTACCACCAACACCACTACTACCCCATCACCATCATCACCACCACCATCACCACTATCACTACCATCATCATCACCGTCACCACCACCACCTTCACCACCACCACCAATACCACTGCCCCCACCACCACCCCCGTCACTGCCATCACCACCACCACCACTACTACTACCACCATCACCACTACCACCCCCATCACCATCACCACTATCACTAACATCACCACCACCACTGTCACCACCACTGTCATCATCACCACCACCTTCACCACTACTATCCACCCCTATCACCATCACCACCACCACCACCCTGTCACTATCACTACCACCATCACTACTGCCACCATCATCACCACGACCACCTCCATCACCAGTATTACCACCATCACCACCACCATTGTTACCACTATCATTATCACCACCACCGCCGCCACTGCCACCACCACCATCATTACCACATCACCACTATCACCCCTATTACCATCACTACCATCACCACCATCATCACCACCACACCCATAGCTACTACCATTACCACCATCATCACCACCACCACTGCTTTCACTATCACCACCACCACTACCATCACCATCACTGTTGTTGAGGAAGTCTGCCTGAAGCTGTGCTAGAACCCTACTGCACCAGTCCTGAGATACCACAGCCACCACAGCCTCTGATTTGAAGCCCGAATGGAACGGACAATCCATCTAGCTTTTGGGAGCTGGACCTGGAGCATTTGGTATCTGAATGTCAAGTCTTTGGAGGGTGTGTTCGAGGTGGCGACTTTGCCTACCAGAAGGCAGCTTTGAGCATGAGTCTCTACCTTTATGGGCTGTGGCCACACACCATCTGTTGTTGCAACTGAATTTGGGAGAAATGTCCACTCAGAAATGAGGACTCATTAGGGTGAGAGGCCAGGAGGTTGTCAGGACCCAGTAAGACTCATGTGAGGATAGGGAAATTAAGATATTTTCTAACTGATTTAGTACAGTGTGATAGGAAATGCAGATGCCTCAACATGATGTCACAGAACCCCAAACCAATGCCTCCCTGGGTTTCTCATCAATAAATCAGTCAGCCCCAGGCCTCAGTATTTCCACGTTGCAAAATTATTTCCACATTGCAGAATTATTTCCAAAAGATCTAGCTTCCTTGTGGGCACTACGAGGTGCACCCCGTAAATAAGCCTGGAGCTCCACAGACTGGGCCATCTTGTTGGTCGTTCAGAGACTTGTCTTACAATCAGTACAAACTGATTTTCATATCTTTACTTTCTATGTCTATGGAAGATGCATTTAATATGCAATCTTTATATTAATACACATCATGACTTGATATTTAAAAGAATTAGAGATGGTCATGAACTTGAGTTGGCAAGCTTTATCTGTAAAGGACCAAATGATAAATATCTTGGCTTTGAAAGCCACAAAGATTACTGTTTCCTCCTCCTCATCTTACTCCTTCTCCTCTTCTTCTTCTCTTCCTTCTCCTCCTTTCTTCTCTCTTCCCCACTTCTTCTCTGTCCCTGTCTCCATCTCATTTTTCCTACAACCCTTAAAAAAATATAAAAACCATTCTTAGCTCAAAGGCTTGTGAGCACAAAATATCTGAGAAAGGTCTCAGTCAATTTAGAAAGTATTTTGGCAAGGTGAAGGATGCATCCATGATACAGCCTCAGGAAGTCCTGAGACTTGTGCCTGAGGTGGTCGGGGGCTGAGGCATGCGCAGGAGGTGGACGGGGGCCTGAGGCATGTGCCCGAGGTGGTCGGGGGCACAGTTTGCTTTTATACATTTTAGGGAGACATGAGACGTCAATCAATATGTGTAAGACATACTTTGGTTCAGTCCAGTAAGGCGGGATGACTGGAAATGGCGGCTTCCAGGTTAGAAATAGATAAGAGACAAAAGTTTGCATTCTTTTGAGTCCTTGACCAGCCTTCCAGTGAATACACAATTGAGCCTGGCTCAGTGAATCTGCATTTTTACATAAGCAATAGGGGAGAGGGAGCAATGAGATGCATTTGTCTCAGGGCAGCCTCAGAGGGGTGACTTTGAACAGAATGGGAGGCAGGTTTGCCCTGAGCAGTTCCCAGCTTGACTTTTCCCTTTAGCCTGGAGATTTTGGAGTCCCAAGGTTTGTTTTCCTTTCCCAGGCCCTACATGAAAAGACAGGTGGGGTAGGTCCCGGGGCTCTGGTTTGCTGACCCCTGGTCAGAGTGTCTTTGAGGAAGTCACTATCAGTGGAAATGTCACTAAACCCTATATGCTAATCAGCTGGGCATCAGCCTAAAGTGTATTTTCACACAGCACGATTCATCATTAGCAAATTCCAGGAAAATCAACAACGATCAGAACTGACCTTCTCTTGGCTATAATGATCTGTTTGCATCGGATCAGATTTCCTGTGGGGAACAACTAGAAGTGCTGGGTAAAATCCACAGAATGCCTGCTTTGGGGAGCTGCGGAGGCAACCGGGATTTGAGAGGCCAAGATCCTGTTAATTAGCCTGTTTTGATGATTCCACAATGTATATATGTGTTGAAACATCACACCGTAGCCCATAAATATGTACAATTATTTGTCAATTAAAAATAAAATAAAACTTTTTCTTTTTTTTTTTTGAGATGGAGTCCCACTCTGTTGCCCAGGTTGGAGTGCAGTGGCACTGCAACTTCTGCCTCCCAGGTTCAAGCAATTCTCCTGCCTCAGCCTCCCAGTAGCTGGGATTACAGGCATGCACCACCACGCCTGGCTAATTTTTGTATTTTTAGTAGAGACGGGGTTTCACCATGTTGGCCAGGCTGGTCTCAAATTCCTGACCTCAGGTGATCCGCCCACCTCAGCCTCCCAAAGTGCTGGGATGACAGGTGTGAGCCACAGCCCCTGGCCAAAAAAACTTAAAAAAGACCCATCGGAGGGGCACTGTTAGGGAGCCCACTCCCTGCGGGCTGCCTGTCTCCTGGGGGCATTTGTGATTCCTGTCGAAAGAGGCTGAGAAACCAGGCAAGGGCTGTGGAGAAGAGGCAGTGAAACCCACAGAGCACTTGGCAACCTCATAGGGTCATCAACACACAAATAGATGTTTGCATTGCAAAGGTTACCAGGCCCTGAGGAGACTGGATCCCAAAGAGAAAGTAGGTACAGAGGCAATCAGCACCTGTGGCTTTCACCTCTGACACATTTGCCAAATTCTTGAGTTGAATCAGAGGCTGATCAGAAAGCTATGGAAAAGCAGAGCAGGATTTCTGGCAGTCTCATAATGCTGAAGAGATGAAACTGGAATTCAGGAACTTCTAAGAAAGAGGGGCCATCGCACACATCCCAGGTCCCAGCCCCGGATGGGTCATGCCATAGGTGTGAGGATAAACCCCAGGTGACTGAGCCTTCCAAGAATGATGGGTCTGTCTTCTTGTCTCAGGCCTCCCTTGAGTTAAGGGGATCTACCCTCGATCTGGCTGTCTAGTGAGGAGGAAGGTAAGAAGATAGACTCACCCAGAGTCTCTGCAGTTTCATATGTAATGTCTGAATTTCAGTTGTCAAGAAGCAAGACCAAGACACAAAAACAGATGACAACAGTACACCCACAGATAGTTATTATACTTGTTGCAGTCAAATTTTAAAATAACTGTGGTTGATATGTTCAAGAAAATAAAGGGTAAGTGGAAAATTTCACCAGAAAAATTGATTCTATAAACAAAGTAATCAAATGGAAATTCTAGAGCTGAATCTAATAACTCAATAGATGGGCATCACAAAACATTGAGTATGAAGGAAGAGCAGATGAGTGAGCTGGAAGAAGGTCCCTGGGAAATAATGAGGCAGAGTAACAGATCAAAACTGAGAGAAAGTACAGGACGGAGTGTATGAGGCAGAGGAGATCTGTTGGAAAGGTCTATATGTGTAGGTGGAGTCCCAGAAGAGGAGAAGGAAAACAGCTTAGAAGCAATGTTTGAGGCGATGAGAGCTATGATTTTTTTCAAACCTGAAGAAAGACACCAAAGCTTGGATTTTAAAAAATCTATTATATAGCTATTTTAAAGGTAAACAACAGTTGAATATTGGCAGTTTTGTGTGGTTAGTTCAACCTCACAGAATGAACACAAAGAAAACCCTACCTCTGAACATCACTCTAAAATTAGTAAAAACCAAAGTTTAAGAGAAAATCTGGAAAGCAAGCAGAGAAAAATCATAGGAAATTAATCTCTATTGATGAATTGTTTCACCAGAAACCATGGAGACCAGAAGTGTGATGAACCTCGCATGTGATGGAAGAAAACACCCCATCAATTCAAGTTCTCTACTCCCTGGAAATGTTTCTCAGGTATAAAGATGAAATCAAGACGTGACCAGACAGACAGAACTTGAGAGACTCCATCAACAGATGACTCTTAGGAAAAGACAGACAGAACTCGAGAGACTCCATCAACAGATGACTCTTAGGAAAAGACAGACAGAACTCGAGAGACTCCATCAACAGATGACTCTTAGGAAAAGACAGACAGAACTCGAGAGACTCCATCAACAGATGACTCTTAGGAAAAGACAGACAGAACTCGAGAGACTCCATCAACAGATGACTCTTAGGAAAAGACAGACAGAACTCGAGAGACTCCATCAACAGATGACTCCTACGAAAAGACAGACAGAACTCGAGAGACTCCATCAACAGATGACTCTTGGGAAAAGACTGCAGGGGCTTCTGGCAGGAGGAAAGTAAACCCACATGGAAACCAGGAAACAAGGCAGGCAGGGATAGCAGTGGGAACTATCAATGGGTTGGTAAATCAACACGAATATTGGTGGCACAGAAGGTAAAGGAGTTAGTGTTCTCAGGTTTTGGCATTATCCAGGATGCGATAATGCGTGTTACACTAATAAGTCAGGGATCCATGTCCTTTTTTGTGGAAAGAACATATAACATGAGATCCACCCTCTTAACATTTTAAGTGCATGGCACAGTATTGTTGATGACAGCCATGATCTGTACCGCAGATCTCTAGCACTCGTTCATCCTGCAGAACTAAAACTTGATACCCATTGATTAGCAATACCTCACCCTGCCCCGACCCAGCCCCTGGAAACCACCATTCTTCTCTCTGGGTCTACGCATTGGACTATTTTAGATGCCTCGTCTAAGTGAAATCATCAGTGTTATCTTTTCTGTGCCTGGATTACTTCGCTCAGCTCATGTCTTCCAGGTTCATCTATGCTGTCACTTACAGCAGGATTTTCTTCTTTTTTAAGGCTGAGTAATGTTTCATTGTCTAGATATACCACATGTAAAACATCCATCCATCTGTTGATGGACATTTGGGTTGTGGCCACATCTTGGATATTGCAAATAATGCCACAGTTAGTGTGGGAATGCAAGTATCTCTTTGGAGATCTTGATTTTGACTCTTTTGGGTAAAAACCCAGAGTGGGGTTGCTGGATCAAATAGTAGTTCTATTTTTAATTTTTTGAGGAACCTGTATACTGTTTTCCATAAGGACCTTTTGCATTCCCACAACAGTATACAGTCTTCACCAATACTCATCTTTTTTTTTTCTGATAATAGGTATCCTAACAAGTTTGATATGATAGCTCATTGTAGTGCTGATTTAGATTTTGCTGGCGATTAGTGATGTCGAGCATTTTTGTTGTATACCTGCAGTCCATTTGTATTTCTTCTTGTGAGAAATGTCTATTTAGGTCCTTTTGCCCGTTTAAAAAATCAGGTTATTTTGTTTTTGGTTATTGGGTTGCAGCAGTTCCTTATACATTTTGGACATTAACCTTTTAAAAAGTTATACGATTTGCAAGTATTTTATCCTGTTCTGTAGATTGCCTTTTCACTGTTGATTGTTTCTTTTGCAGAAACTTTAGTTTGATGTAGTCTCCCTTGTCTGTTTCTGCTTTTGTTGCCTGAGCTTTTGGTGTCATATCCAAAAAATAATTGCTAAGACCAATGTCATGAAGGTTTTTTCCTATATTTCCTTCTAGGCGGTTTACAGGTTCAGGTGTTATGTTTAAGGCATGAATCCATTTTTAGTTGATTTGTGTGTGTGTATGGTATAAGGTAACGGTCCAATTTTGTTATGTGCATGTGTGTATCCAGTTTTTCTGACACCATGTGGGATGTGATGTGTGTTGCACCATGATAAATCAAGGTCCCGTGTTATTATTTCTAGAATAGCCACAAAAAGAATAGCTAACAAGCTAAGAAAGGGAATCAAAATAATAATAAAAATACTCCATCCAGAAGAAAGCAATAAAGGATAAAAGGAAAAATAAAACAGATGAGACAAATAAAAAAACAAGGTAAGATAGTCGATATAAATCCCAATATATTAGTAATTTCATTGTAAATAAATGAGATAAATACTCCACTCAAAAATTAAAGATTGTCACTAAAAAACAAAACCACACTGCTTGCAAGGGACCACCTTCAATGTTGAGATATAAAAGTTTGAAACGCTGGAAGAGAATACAATGAAAACACTACCCTAAAGAAAGCTGGTATATCTAAACTAATATACAAAGTAGATGTTAAGGCAGGAAGCATTTTCCGAGATAAAAAGGGCCATAATAAATATAAGGGTTGGTCTATCAGGAACACACAGTAATTATAAATTTGATGCACCTGATATAATTTTCAAATGTATAAAGCAAATATTGAGATAATTACCGGAGAGAATAATGCACATTTTTATGCATGTTTGTTTTTATTATTGGTGTGTGTGTCCTGTCATGTATTTAGAGAGACATGCTGAAGCAGGTCTGAAGAACGGGATTAATGGCCTTGATCTAATGGACACACTGCAACTATCAAAATAGAACCTGTGTTCTTTTCCAGTGCACACAGCATACATATTGAAAATGACCATCTATTAGACGGAAATGTTTTGATCAGATAAACAAATCTTAACATATTGCTAAAGATTGAAATCATTCGGAGTATTTCTTTGGCCAAAGAAATTAAGCTAAAAACAAATGGAAAAAAAAATCCCTAGAAAATCTAAATGTTTGGAAATTAAGCAGTACTCTTCTAAATACCCCATTTGTCAAAGAAGAAATGTCAATAGAAATCTGAAAATATTGTGAACTGAACTATAATAAAAATACAATATTAAACAATTTTGGGAATTTTGGGATCAAGTTAAAGCTATGGTTAGAAATAAATTATAACCTTAGATGCTTTTATTAGAAAAGAAGAAAAGGTGAAAATGACATATGTCTAAAGAGTGTAGAAAAAGAACAGAAAATTGAAGTTAAAGAAATATAAGAATATAATAAAAAGAAAAATAATGTAATAGAAAACAAATGTACGGTAGAGAGAATGAACAAAACCAATCATTGCTTCTTTAAAAGATGTGAATATACACTTCTGGCAAGGCTGATCAAGAAAAACAGAAGGAAGGACCAACTTACCAGTGCCAGGAATGAAAAGTGGACATCGCTATCAATCCGTATCATCAGCAGCTTTTGCCTGTAAACTTCAGAATAAAGTGACAAATGTAGCTATGTATTTTTTTTACCCTGTGATCAAATAATAGCACTCCTAGATACATGTATTCCCAACAGAAATGCAGACTGAGGTATGCAAAGGACATGTACAAGAATGTGCCTAGCAGCTTGGTTCGTATCTGTGGAAGCTGAATATATCTGTCTTTTATGGTCTAGTAATCCCACTCCTATGAGTACATACCCAATAGAAATGCATCCTTAAATATACAAAAAGGCCTAAGAATGTTCCCAGCAGCTTGATTTATAACAGCTTACAACTGAAATAACTTACACGTCTATGCACAGGGGAATGTAGAAATAACTGTGGGATGTTCCATGCAATTAAATACTACAGAGCAATAAAAAACCACCAGCTACTGTTGTACAGAGCCACACAGGTGACTCTCACAAATGGGATATTGCGCAAAGAAGCCGGATTCAGGAGAGCAGAGAGTGTGATTCCACGGACCTACAGTTCAAACAGGCAAAGCTGACGTTCAGCCTGGAATTTAGAATGATGGTGACTGAGAGGATGGGGGCGGGGCTTGTGGGTTATGAATCTATGTCTGGGTGGGAGTGTTTGTTCTGTAAACATTTGTCAGGGCGCGGGGCCTCTTCCCCCTTCCTCGTTCCTGTTTTCACTCCAGGTCAGTCACCAGGTGTTTCTTTTGTAGCAGGAGTGTAAGCCATTCTAGTGAGGGTGAGGTTGTCTTAAGCTCTGTTTTATGGGGGTTGCATCTGTTCTGAGCTGGCCTTGCTCCTGGAAATCCCGGGCCAGGCTGCGTCTTCAGGCAGCACCAAGCTGTGTACTTCTCACTGGTGAACGCTTTGGAATGCATAGTATCTCAACAAAAAGTTTGTAAAGTGATATTTCTAATAGCTGTTGTTTGTTTGCATAATACTTTAAACATATTCCAGGAGCTTGAAAACATATTATCTTTACTGATAGTCTCAGAAAACCTTCGCAGGAGGCTGCAGGCGTTTAAGTGATGTTTGCCTTCCCTGGTAGAGGTGGGGCCTGGGCCAGAGCTTGCACCCTCCCCCTCCTGAACACTGTTCCAAGACGACACAGAGGTTACATTTTCATGAACAAAACGTTTGAAATCCGCTATCTGAGCTCTGTGTTACAGGACTTTGTCGTTTGTAGTCAGCCCTAGCTTGAGAGGTTTGGATGCTTGTTCAGGGAAGGAGCCTGGGATCCTGGAGCGCCCGGTGCTTTCGCCCTGGCTCAAGGCCCCGCCGCTCCTCATGAGTCACTGTGTGTGGTTCCCCTGAGGATCTGGGGAAAACCTGTGACGTCTCCCTGACCGTGTCGTGTTTCTCTTCTCCCTCACACGTCATTAAAGGTCCAGCGAGAACTCTGAGTCCTCCCCGCCCTGGACAAGGCATCCCGTGAGTCAGCCAGAATGTTCCGTGGTCCTGGCTGCAGTGATTGGCTCAGGAGGGGTCATGTGACCAAAGGGGATCCTGTTAGAGTGGATTGGACTCTGAGGATGCTGGACGAGAATCTGCATTTCTGCTCAGGTGGGCTTGTCACTGCTGGCACTTGAGGGCTGGTGTTGGTGTCCAGCAGGCAGGTCAGAGAGAGGGACGAGCAGGTCCCGGATAACATGATGGAGCACTCAGACACAGCTTCCCCTGGCACCAGCCTGTCCCTCGGGTGGGTGGCTGTAAGCCAGTGTGTGCCCAGTGTGTGCCCGGTGTGAGCCAGTGTGTCCTGGTGTGTGCCCAGTGTGAGCCATTGTGAGCCAGTGTGTGGCCAGTGTGAGCCAGTGTGAGCCAGTATGTGCCCAGTGTGAGCCAGTGTGTGGCCAGTATGTGCCCAGTGTGAGCCAGTGTGTGCTCGATGTGAGCCAGTGTGTCCTGGTGTGTGCCCAGTGCGAGCCAGTGTGTGGCCAGTGTGAGCCAGTGTGAGCCAGTATGTGGCCAGTATGTGCCCAGTGTGAGCCAGTGTGTGCTCGATGTGAGCCAGTGTGCCTGCTGTGTGTCTGGTGTGAGCCCAGTGCAAGCCAGTGTGTGCCCAGTATGTGCCCAGTGTGTGTCGTGTGAGGCAGTGTGTGCCTGGTGTGAGCCAGTGTGCCCAGTGTGAGCCATTGTGTGCTCGAGGTGAGCCAGTGTGCCTGGTGTGTGCCTGGTCTAAGCCCAGTGCAAGCCAGTGTGAGCAAGTGTGTGGCCAGTATGTGCCCAGTGTAAGCCTGGTGTGTGCCCAGTTTGAGCCAGTGTTGAGCCCGGAGTGAGCCCAGTGTGAGCCAGTGTGAGCCCAGTGTATACCCAGTGTAAGCCAGTGTGGGCCCAGTGTGAGCCCGCTGTGAGGCAGTGTGTGCCTGGGGCTCACGCTGGCTGGGATCTTTTCTTTGATCTGTCACTGAAAACATTCAGATAAGAATTTGGTTCTGATTTGCTTGGAATCACACAGTGAAGAATTTGAACTTGCTTTCCTCAGTCCAAGCTCTTTGCATTTGTCATGTTCTGGGGTCTTGGGTGGTCCTCGTTAGCCAGCTCCCTCAAGGGCTGACTGGAGTCAAACATGTCTGCTCTGGTTCTGCTCAAACATGTCTGCTTTGGTTCCACGGTCAGACACAGCCAGGGTCAGATGGCCACTGCCTGGGGGTCTCCGTCCAGAGACCATTCTGAGAGTGTGGGGGGCTCTTCCCCCTTCCTCACTGCTGTTTTCACTCCAGGTCAGTCACCCGGTGTTTCTCTCATAGCGGGGGTGAGCTGGGTTCAAGCTGTCATGGGAGTTGTGTCTGTGCTGAGCTGGCCTTGCTTCCTGGAAATCCAGGCCGGGCTGCGGCTTCCTGCAGTGACACGGTGTCGGCCCCACAAGGCACCGAGTGGGCTTTATGGCTTCACTGGTCCCGCAGCCATGCTGCGTCTCTTGTGGTGGAGACACCACCAAATGTTCCCTGTCAATTAGGACAAGAAGCAATGCACTCCCATGCAGTGATCTTGACTCTCAGAGCGGGAATCCACAGGGAGGGGGTGCCGCGCTGAGCCGTGCGAGGCCCCGCAAACCACAGAGCGCTTCTGGGAACATGCCCAGGGTCCACAAACCCCAGAGCATTTCTGTGAATGTGCCTGGGGTGGTTTTCATCTTCACCAGAGACTTCCCACAAGTGGTACCGACTTCCGGGTCTACAGGCCCCTCAGCCTGTGAGCGCCAGCAGGCTGCTCTCCCTCACCTCATCCCATGCTGAGTTTGTGCACTCTTTAGCCCACTTTCAATTCAGTTGGATTCTTCTGCTGCTTGGGATCCTTACAAAGCATTGTTGTTTAAGAAAACTTCATGTCCCAGCTGGGCGTGGTGGCTCATACCTGTAATCTCAGCACTTTGGGAGGCCGAGGCAGGTGGATCACAAGGTCAGGAGTTTGAGACCAGCCTGGCCAACATAGTGAAACCCCATCTCTACTAAAAATACAAAAATTAGCTGGGCGTGGTAGCGTGCACCTGTAATCCCAGCTACTCAGGAGGCTGAGGAAGGAGAATTGCTTAAACCCAGGAGGCAGAGGTTGCAGTGAGCCAAGATTGTACCATTGCACTCCAGCCTGGACGACAGAGCGAGACTCCATCTCAAAAGAAAAAAGAAAAGAAAAGAAAAAGAACAGTTTATGTCCCACGAGTACGGCTACACACATCTTCCTTTTAAATGATCACTTTTGTTTGGAGATTTGGACTTGACATTTCAGGCCATTAGCTCACCATCCATGGCCTGTTATGGAAACCCACTCCTGCATCCATCTGTATTAAGATTGCATTTAATAAAAAAGCCATGAATTAGTGAAAAACCAGAAACTGAGTTGAGCCCATCTTTCCATATGTTTGCCTGCTGGCGGTCTGGAGCTGAGTTCTTTCCTCTCAGACAGGGCTCTGCTGTTGGGATGGCCATGTGCTTGAGCGGAGGGTGGCAGGAGGGAGGTGGGACCAGGCCAGGCTCTCCCAGGCCGGGAATGAGGGAGCTAGCACATCACCAGCGGGTCTAAGGGTTTGTGGAAGCTGCAGTGGGGACCCAGCATTGGGCTGACGGTCCGTGGGAACGAGGCAGAGATGGTGGTGGAGCTGGGTGGTGCAGAGAGTGCCTGATGGCGGGAAGGTCCTGGAGAAGGGATGCTGAGCTCTGAGCTGCAGGAGGAACAGCTGCTAAGGACCAGCGTGGAGAGCCTAGCACCACCTTCCTAAGGTTTCCTTTGTGCCGGCTGTGGATCTGCTGGAACGTGTTCTTCCCTGGAGATGTGGGGGAGCTCCTGCTGTGGAGAGAGGTCTCAGATGCTGCCTCCCAGTGCTCTCGGCTTCAGGAAAGCCTCTCGACTGGGTGACAGCCCCACCCTGCCCCTGAATGGGTAGGGCACCTCCGAAACACATCGGTTGGATCCGGAAGCATGTTCTTAGTACAGAGCAGTTAGATGAGACTATTACGGTTTAGCAAGCGAGACAGCCAGTGCTAGGAGTCCAAAGCCTTGGTCTCAGTTCAGGCTTGGCCACCAACCCGCCACGTGCCCACAGGTTGATGTAGCTGGCTCAGCTGGAACTCGTAAATCCTCCCACACCCTGTTTTTCTTGCAGTAAGGCTGTCCCGGCACCAGGGTGCAGCTGGGATGCCCCCAGGACGATCTGCATGACGGTAGCTGCTTTTATAATTTCCATTGCCATGAAAAATAGCTGTCTTTATTGGAAAAGACCCTGAAAGAAGCGAGTAAGTAACATACAGACACGGTGACTGAACTTCCCCATCAGAACCAGGAAGGAACTCTGTCACTGAACTGTGACTGCCTCCGTTAGACTTGGTTCACCGCCCGGCCCCCTTGGATCACTGACTAAAAACGACCCGACTGTGTGAAACAGAGGCCTGGTCGAGTAATGGTGACTCTGTGACAGATACCTTGCAGGTACTAAAATTATACTTCTTAGGAGTTTCTTAAGAACATAAGAAAATTCCGGTGGAATAGTGTTAAATGACAAAGGCAGCTGTAAAAGTGTCCCAATACTGCGATCTCAACCATGGAGAGAAACAGCCAATGCCAGCAGCCGTTTCCTCAGATCGGTGGGTTACAAATAATTTTAGTTTTCTCCTTTGCAGTTTCTGTGCGGTGGCACACATCGTTTAAAAGGACAACCCGGTGACTTCCCTAAGGGTTCCCCCGAGGGTCTTGCTGCCGCCCTCGTCTTCTGAGCCACCAAGAGCAGGCCCCTTGTCTTGGATGCGCTGCGAGTCACGTCCGACGCCGCTGTGCCTTCACCACCTCATGTTTTATTACTGTTAAAAATGAATGTTTTTCCATTTTGGGATGAGAGAGTGCCCCAGCTCCCCTGCCCTCTTACAGGAGTGAATTTCATTCGTGGCCCCAGTTTAAAGACACTCGGATTGGCTTGTTGGTTTCATCATAACCTTCTTTAAACACTTGGTGACAGGCTAAGAGAACCCCTGAAATCAGAATGTAAGTCCTCGGCGGAGTTAGGTATGCAGGACTCAGCTAGGCTGGTCTCGGACTCTGCGTCTTTCCCGGCGCTGTGCAGGCCTCAGCTAGGCTGGTCTCGGACCCCGCGTCTTTCCCGGCGGTGCGCAGGCCTCAGCTAGGCTGGTCTCGGACCCCGCGTCTTTCCCGGCGGTGCGCAGGCCTCAGCTAGGCTGGACTCGGACTCTGGGTCTTTCCCGGCGGTGCGCAGGCCTCAGCTAGGCTGGACTCGGACCCCGCGTCTTTCCCGGCGGTGCGCAGGCCTCAGCTAGGCTGGTCTCGGACACCGCGTCTTTCCCGGCGGTGCGCAGGCCTCAGCTAGGCTGGACTCGGACCCCGCGTCTTTCCCGGCGGTGCGCAGGCCTCAGCTAGGCTGGACTCGGACTCTGGGTCTTTCCCGGCGGTGCGCAGGCCTCAGCTAGGCTGGACTCGGACCCCGCGTCTTTCCCGGCGGTGCGCAGGCCTCAGCTAGGCTGGACTCGGACTCTGGGTCTTTCCCGGCGGTGCGCAGGCCTCAGCTAGGCTGGACTCGGACCCCGCGTCTTTCCCGGCGGTGCGCAGGCCTCAGCTAGGCTGGACTCGGACCCCGCGTCTTTCCCGGCGGTGCGCAGGCCTCAGCTAGGCTGGACTCGGACTCTGGGTCTTTCCCGGCGGTGCGCAGGCCTCAGCTAGGCTGGTCTCGGACACCGCGTCTTTCCCGGCGGTGCGCAGGCCTCAGCTAGGCTGGACTCGGACCCCGCGTCTTTCCCGGCGGTGCGCAGGCCCCAGCTAGGCTGGACTTGGACTCTGGGTCTTTCCCGGCGGTGCGCAGGCCTCAGCTAGGCTGGACTCGGACTCTGGGTCTTTCCCGGCGGTGCGCAGGCCTCAGCTAGGCTGGTCTCGGACACCGCGTCTTTCCCGGCGGTGCGCAGGCCTCAGCTAGGCTGGTCTCGGACCCGCGTCTTTCCCGGTGGTGCGCAGGCCTCAGCTAGGCTGGTCTCGGACACCGCGTCTTTCCCGGCGGTGCGCAGGCCTCAGCTAGGCTGGACTCGGACCCCGCGTCTTTCCCGGCGGTGCGCAGGCCTCAGCTAGGCTGGTCTCGGACTCTGCGTCTTTCCCGGCGGTGCGCAGGCCTCAGCTAGGCTGGTCTCGGACACCGCGTCTTTCCCGGCGGTGCGCAGGCCTCAGCTAGGCTGGACTCGGACCCCGCGTCTTTCCCGGCGGTGCGCAGGCCTCAGCTAGGCTGGTCTCGGACACCGCGTCTTTCCCGGCGGTGCGCAGGCCTCAGCTAGGCTGGACTCGGACCCCGCGTCTTTCCCGGCGGTGCGCAGGCCTCAGCTAGGCTGGTCTCGGACACCGCGTCTTTCCCGGCGGTGCGCAGGCCTCAGCTAGGCTGGACTCGGACCCCGCGTCTTTCCCGGCGGTGCGCAGGCCTCAGCTAGGCTGGACTCGGACTCTGGGTCTTTCCCGGCGGTGCGCAGGCCTCAGCTAGGCTGGACTCGGACCCCGCGTCTTTCCCGGCGGTGCGCAGGCCTCAGCTAGGCTGGACTCGGACCCCGCGTCTTTCCCGGCGGTGCGCAGGCCTCAGCTAGGCTGGACTCGGACTCTCCGTCTTTCCCGGCGGTGCGCAGGCCTCAGCTAGGCTGGACTCGGACCCCGCGTCTTTCCCGGCGGTGCGCAGGCCTCAGCTAGGCTGGTCTCGGACTCTGCGTCTTTCCCGGCGGTGCGCAGGCCCCAGCTAGGCTGGTCTCGGACTCTGCGTCTTTCCCGGCGGTGCGCAGGCCTCAGCTAGGCTGCACTTGGACCCCGCGTCTTTCCCGGCGGTGCGCAGGCCTCAGCTAGGCTGGTCTCGGACTCTGGGTCTTTCCCGGCGGTGCGCAGGCCTCAGCTAGGCTGCACTTGGACCCCGCGTCTTTCCCGGCGGTGCGCAGGCCTCAGCTAGGCTGGTCTCGGACACCGCGTCTTTCCCGGCGGTGCGCAGGCCTCAGCTAGGCTGGACTCGGACCCCGCGTCTTTCCCGGCGGTGCGCAGGCCCCAGCTAGGCTGGTCTCGGACTCTGCGTCTTTCCCGGCGGTGCGCAGGCCCCAGCTAGGCTGGTCTCGGACTCTGCGTCTTTCCCGGCGGTGCGCAGGCCCCAGCTAGGCTGGACTGACTCTGCGTCTTTCCCGGCGCTGTGCAGGCCTCAGCTAGGCTGGACTCGGACCCCGCGTCTTTCCCGGCGGTGCGCAGGCCTCAGCTAGGCTGGTCTCGGACCCCGCGTCTTTCCCGGCGGTGCGCAGGCCTCAGCTAGGCTGCACTTGGACCCCGCGTCTTTCCCGGCGGTGCGCAGGCCTCAGCTAGGCTGGACTCGGACACCGCGTCTTTCCCGGCGGTGCGCAGGCCTCAGCTAGGCTGCACTTGGACCCCGCGTCTTTCCCGGCGGTGCGCAGGCCTCAGCTAGGCTGGACTCGGACTCTGGGTCTTTCCCGGCGGTGCGCAGGCCTCAGCTAGGCTGGTCTCGGACCCCGCGTCTTTCCCGGCGGTGCGCAGGCCTCAGCTAGGCTGGTCTCGGACCCCGCGTCTTTCCCGGCGGTGCGCAGGCCTCAGCTAGGCTGGTCTCGGACCCCGCGTCTTTCCCGGTGGTGCGCAGGCCTCAGCTAGGCTGGTCTCGGACCCCGCGTCTTTCCCGGCGGTGCGCAGGCCTCAGCTAGGCTGGACTCGGACACCGCGTCTTTCCCGGCGGTGCGCAGGCCTCAGCTAGGCTGGTCTCGGACTCTGGGTCTTTCCCGGCGGTGCGCAGGCCTCAGCTAGGCTGGTCTCGGACCCCGCGTCTTTCCCGGCGGTGCGCAGGCCTCAGCTAGGCTGGACTCGGACACCGCGTCTTTCCCGGCGGTGCGCAGGCCTCAGCTAGACTGGTCTCGTACTCTGCGTCTTTCCTGGCAGTGCATCAGCAGGACTTTCAGCCTATTGTTTTGGGTTCTTAGCAGCAATGAACATGATTGTTTTTGTCTTAAGGCCTCAAGTGATGGCCACATGAAGGAGGGTCCCCTCCTTTACCGACAGTCACCTGATGGTGGATGGTAGTTATAACTACAGAATGCCTTCTCCGAAACACCCGGGCCCCAGACCTGGTGAGCTGGTATGGGAGATTAGGCTGATGGTTAATGCCTGTGGGCCCCGAGATCCCCGGACCTTCTTGAGGGTGCTGAGCACACCTGGCGTGGGAGATTAAGCTGATGGTTAATGCCCCTGGGCCCCGAGGTCCCCGGACCTTCTCGAGGGTGCTGAGCACACCTGGCGTGGGAGATTAAGCTGATGGTTAATGCCTGTGGGCCCCGAGGTCCCCAGATGTTCTCGAGGGTGCGGCACATGCATGGCCACTGGGGCCAGGCAGCAGCATCGTGCTTGACTCTGCTCTCAGGGCTCTCAGGGCCGCGCTCTGCGGGCGTCTCAGTCCCCGGTTTGAAGAGCATTTTCTGACCACTGGGCATTACGCGTGCTGGCATGTGTGTATGAGCCTGTTCCGTACACACATATGATTTGTTTGAATGTAGCCAGAGACAGGTTAATAGAGGAATCGGGAGAGTCAGTTCTTTCACTAATATTCATCTCCGGTGGTCACAGACGTTGTCCCTGTTTTTGTGTGAAGTGATGTTCACTCGGCCCCCGGAGCTAGTGTGTTATAATCAGACTTTGGGAGCAATAAACGTTAACAGGCAGAGTTTCTGAAAACGCCTCGCTTTGCTCCTTGACGGAATTCCATTACAGCTGGGGGAATCGATACGACGCCTTGCTTCATTATTGCTTTTCTTCCACGTGGGCAGTTGCTTAATAAAGCCCGAAGAACGGGCCGCACCGAAAACAGAACGGGATGGTGCCAGGTGCCTCCCCTCTCTGGCCTCTCTGCATCCACCTGTGGGATGCGCCTTGTGTACGTCACAGAGCACTCCTGCGCCACACGTAAGCCTGTGTCCACCCTGGAGAAATCACTGGGCGCCTGGAGGGTGGTCCAGCAGGTTCCGGAATCCGACGGCTGCCTCTCTGCTCGGAGACCTTGGAGCTGTTTAGCCTCTTCCGAATTAATCTTTCTCGTCTAAAAAAGTGAAAATAAGGTAATTACCACCTTAGAGGGGAGTTGTGAGGATTAAAGGAAATGATACATGCAAACTACAGACCACAGCAGAACTCCGTGCAAAGCAGTTTTCAGGATTCCATTCCAGTGTTGGCCGTAAAGGGACTGTAATGTCCCAGTTTCTCTTTCCTCATCTAGAAAATGAGGGGCTGGATGTGGTGGCTCATGCCTGTAATCCCAGCACTTTGGGAGGCGGAGGTGGGCGGAACACTTGAGGTCAGGAGTTTGAGACCAGCCTGGTTAACGTGGTGAAACCCCGTCTCTACTAAAAATACAAAAACTAGTAATCTCAGCTACTCAGGAGGCTGAGGCAGGAGAATCGCTTGAACCTAGGAGGTGGAGGTTGCAGTGAGCTGAGATGGTGCCATTGCACTCCAGCCTGGGTGACAGAGTGAGACTTTGTCTCAAAAAAAAAAAATGAGGAACCAGAGGGGCTAATCTCTGAGACCTCTTCCCCTCTAAGAACATTTTCGTTGAGACATTTTGGGAGTGCCCTGGGCAGGACAGGCAGGGCACTGGAGAGGAAGCTAGGGCGGGACCATTTCATGTCCCTAGGGTTCACCGTGTCCCCACGAGGTCATGGGTGCTCCCCGGAAAGGTCAGGCTTGCATCACTCAGCAAAGGAAGGTTACTGTGGGTGGAGGGAAGCCCCCCAAATCCACTTCCTTCACTGCCGTGCTGCTCAGGTCTGGCCCAGCAGCAGGGGATAGAACATGGATCCCGGTTTCTCCCCCGTGGTTTCTCTTGGGTTTCTTGCTTGTTTCCCAGATGAGTTGATGTATACAGTTTATTCACGGATCAAGGCTCATTTCTTTGCTATCTTAACAAGTGACAGCGTTGGAGATAAATTTGCATTTTGTGGTGTCACCTCAGGCTTCCTTGTTGCTTTGGGCTGAGTAGCAGGGATGGAACACCTGTGGTCTCGGGTTTATCGGCCATGGTTCCTATCTGGGAAACTGGCGTGGGCCCTGATTGGCTATCGTCACCCTCTCCTCGCTTTATCTCTGGAGAGCAGCAGGAGTGTGCAGTGGCTTTGAAGCCTTTCTTTGTCTCTACTGACCATGCAAATTACACACCAACTACTTGTAAGCTTGAGCTCCTGTGAGCTGGCCGAGCTCGGGAAGATTATTGAGACCATGTCCGAATGGTGGCCCCAGAAGCCGGCAGTGTCAGCCCAGGTGTGACGGAGACCACATCCCAATGGTGGCCCCAGAAGCCGGCAGTGTCAGCCTGGGTGTGACTGAGACCACATCCGAATGGTGGCCCCAGAAGCCGGCAGCGTCAGCCTGGGTGTGACTGAGACCACGTCCGAAGGGTGGCCCCAGAAGCCGGCAGCGTCAGCCCAGGTATGACATCCCGTGTAGCTGCTGAGGCCTTCAGATGGCATTTGCTCTTTCATGTGGACTACAGGGTTTCTTTTTCTTCTTTTTCCTTCTTTCTATCTTCCTTTTATTTTACTTTCTTTGAGACATGTAAGAGTATGTGTGTGCATCTGAAATGAGAATCTGGCAGCATTCAGAGTTTTCCGGCTCAATTCCGTGTCCAGATTTGAAATTCAGAAAATCAGATGGTGTTGGAAGCTGCCATTGATGGGGTTTGTTGGTACTTCTCAACCTGCCATTCCAGCTCTCCCCAACCAAGCTGGCCAAAGAGTTCAAGCCTTTTGCAGAGACGTGGATGCTGTCTTTTGCTGTTTAAGAACCTACCTAGGATTTGCATTCTGATCTGCATTTCTTAAAAGGTTGACTGAAATTCAGTTCCTTGTAGTCTAGCTCCTTTGCAGTTTTTGATCTCTGAGGAAGATTCAGTCAGCTCGTAAAATTAATGGATTCTAGCAAAATTGCGTTTTAGTGATACTTTTCAGTAGATATTCTGTGAAAAGTGGATTTGAAGTATTTCTGTGATGAGGCTCGATTATTAATGCAGAACTTGATTGCCAAGAACCAAACTACCTCCCTCATCAGTAACTTGGTCTCTAGCTTCAGCATCTGTTGCTTGAATATTTCACAGACCTGAAAATGAAGGTGGGCCCAAGTTGTTCAGGGTTAAGACAAACTTTATTTTTTTAACCCCAAACCTTAGGGCTAATAAAAATTCTTTATTAGAATGCCCAAAGGCATTGATGAATAGGTTTGGTCACTACTTTTAAATGTAAAACTTTTTAATTTCAGTTCCATCTCATTTACATCAAACAGAGCATATGGCTCCCAAAGCAGCCCAGAACATGCTGCGGAGAAAACTAGCAATTTACTCCACGATTCAGCTTCATTTTTCTTTCATTTTCATGGAAACCATAAGATTGTTTTTGTGTTTCAAATCAAACATGTTTTTGAGCAAAGAGTACATTACCCAGCTGTCCTAAAAGCAGAACTTATCACTGTTCAGATTTAATCCAAGCCATCTGCTGCGTTTCTTTCTTTCCATTTATTTCTGAGGCACATCACAGGAAAGCTGCTTCTTGACATATCTCACTTGGAGAAACTACAAAGAGGAAAATATGGCAAAAACTTTCAATGTCGCTTTGTCGATGCACTTTGCATAAATAATGAAACGTTGCCCTCCGCTCAGTGTTCAAAAACCCAGTGCTTGTCACCCCAACTTTAAAATAAATAGGAAAACTCCAAGAAACAAACTCAGCCTTACATGTTCATTTCCTACCAGGGTGGGTGTCACTAATATCCACAGGCTGAGCTCTTTTTTCAAGTGTGATTCCAGTCAGCTTTTCAACCAAAGGCCTGAGAGCTGTGCAGGACATGACAGGTGCACCAGGGGACCACCAGCCAGAATGGGAGCAACAAGGGGTGCGGCTGGCCCTCGATTCCAAAGCCTGGACTGAAGATCTGAGCCACACACGTCTAATGGGGTACGGGAATCCTCAGTCCAGAAATGACCTTGAACTCAGATACTTGAGCAGAGGATGACATGGGCAGAACTGAGTATATTGTGCTTTCTAAGATGTTATGGGTCCGATCAAGAATGGGAAGGTGATCCCTGGAATTGGACATCTCTGTCAGGCCCTGTTGGAACCCAGGGCGTCTGTAAGCCACAACCGCCTGTGACCTGCCCCTCATGCAACTGCCACGTCTCATCAACAGGGACGCGGAGGAAACTGACTCCGAGCCGTCACTTCATCCCCGCTTCCATGGAAGACATGCTGCTTACATATTTCACAAATGTGGCCGGAGAAGGGAGGCAGGAACCACTCAGTCACTGGGATTATCTTCTGGGAAGCCCACTCGGATGATGGGGAGTATCTTCTGGGAAGCCCACTAGGATGACAAGGAGGACCTCATCTGCATGGCTCACAGCCATGACAGCTTGGGTCTCAGAGGGAAGGGAACTCAGGGGCAATGCGCACTGGTGGGATTGCTTATGCACGATATTTGTCAAGCCATCTCTTTTTGTAAATAACTCTTCTCATTAAAAACATAAGGCAGCTTTGCAACTATGCTGATCTCATTGGCTTTTGGTGAAGAAGAAGGAATGTGTGCTGGACCCTGTGCCTGAAGCTGGAGTCCCAGGTACCCCAAGCCCAGGAAAAGACAAAGCCAAGATTCTATGTTCTGAAAGGAGCCAAATGTGGCTCAGTTGCCCTCAAAGGAGAGAAGATCCAAGGTAACCCGTGGTCAGCAAGAGTCAGAGGGCTGAAGCTGTGCCTGTGGTGTTGGCTGAAGACTGAGGGGCCTTTTCGCGGGTGGGCAGTCTCTTCCTCCTCACTGCAGCTTTGGGGTGCTGATGCTCTGAGTTCAGGGTAAGGCCAGCTCGCCGTGAGACAATGTGTCCTGCCTGCCTTGGGAAGGAAAACGGGAGGAATTGGGAGGGAGAACATGTTCCCAGTTCTTTACTCACTGTTGTGCTGGACACAAATGTGGCAGGAACCTCTGATAAAATGCCCCAAAGCTCTGGAGACCTTAGGGGTCAGGTCCTGTGCACAAGATTGTAACAGTGGCCAACATGACAGAGTTTCAACAGATGCCTGTTGAGTAAAGAATGCAGGCACCGAGGTTCAGGCACAGCTCGGGGTCCAATGCTAACATAGGTGGATTGCATCACCAGCACTGGTGTCAGTGGGCCTTTTCCTTCAGGAGTGGGCTTTGAAGTAATGACTGCCACTTCTTTTGGATTTGGAGATAATAAAATAACGAAGTGCTGAGCTTCCAAGTCCGGTCAGACATCACGTGTGAGCTTCTGAGTCCGGTCAGACATCACGTGTGATCTTAGAAATCCCTGAGTGGTGAATGCTGGCCACACCGAGTGCTGGAGGCTTGTGAATTCGACTCTCTTCTCCAAGTCCTCCATCAGGTATTTCACTCATTCCAGCTGCAGTGCTGCGTGGTGAGGCTCCTGGCGTGACATGGAAGGAGGGCTGTGTGAGTCAGGGCTGACACTCCCAGAGCAGGGAATGGGAAAGAGAGCAGCCACTCTGCTGCCTTCCCATGTGGAAGGGTCTGTGGAGCTGGGCACCTCCGAGAGTCCCGAGGCCCCGTGCACTTGACTGAGACTTCCTCAGTCTCTGATGAGTGATTACGGCAGTGACAGAATTCTTGCAATGATGGAATTCTTGCAGTGAAGGAATTCTTGCAGTGACGGAATTCTTGCTGGTGACAGCTTATATAATGTTTGCAAAACAGCCGTTTTCTAAAATGGAGCTTTCCAGGCCAAAAATGCTTGATGTCAAGAAAATGACTTTTAGCTTTGAGATAGCATCTGGGTCTAATTTCAGAAAGGTGGGTCTACACACAGGTTACTGCCAAGGACACATGTCTTCAGGCTCCAGAACCCTGCCTCAAGGCTGGCAACACCACAGCTGCCTGAAATGCAATATTTAAACACAGAACCTTACAAAAGATGGCAAGAGGGTCAGAGTCAAGCACAAAACCAATACCAGGTTGTACCTCATTGCATGGTGAAGGAGAAGTGGCAAGGACTATGTGAGCCACTGGAATAACTTATAGGAAAATGAGGATTGTTTCATGACCTGTAATGTTGTGAAAACGTTACAAACTCTTATAATCTAAGTGTGTATGGAAATGAAAACAGTGAGTCTGACAATGATGTAGTACACTGTGACAACACAGTGGGACAGTGAGAGCTACAGCATCTTGATGTAGTACAACATGACTTAACACAGTGGGACACTGAGAGCTGGAGCATCTCGATGTAGTACACCATGACTTAACACAGTGGGACACTGAGAGCTACAGCATCTTGATGTAGTACACCGTGACTTAACACAGTGGGACACTGAGAGCTACAGCATCTCGATGTAGTACACCGTGACTTAACACAGGGGGACACTGAGAGCTACAGCATCTTGATGTAGTACACCGTGACTTAACACAGCGGGACACGGAGAGCTACAGCATCTCGATGTAGTACACCGTGACTTAACACAGCGGGACATGGAGAGCTACAGCATCTCGATGTAGTACACTGTGACTTAACACAGTGGGACACGGAGAGCTAGAGCATGTCGATGTAGTACACCATGACTTAACACAGCGGGACACTGAGAGCTACAGCATCTCGATGTAGTACACCATGACAACACAGTGGGACACTGAGAGCTAGAGCATCTTGATGTAGTTCACCATGACTTAACACAGCGGGACACGGAGAGCTAGAGCATCTCGATGTAGTACACCATGACTTACCACAGCAGGACACGGAGAGCTACAGCATCTCGATGTAGTACACCATGACAACACAGTGGGACACTGAGAGCTAGAGCATCTCGATGTAGTACACCGTGACTTAACACAGCAGGACACGGAGAGCTAGAGCATCTTGATGTAGTACACCATGACTTAACACAGCGGGACATGGAGAGCTGGAGCATCTCGATGTAGTACACCGTGACTTAACACAGTGGGACACTGAAAGCTAGAGCATCTCGATGTAGTACACCATGACTTAACACAGCGGGACACTGAGAGCTAGAGCATCTCGATGTAGTACACCGTGACTTAACACAGTGGGACACTGAGAGCTAGAGCATCTCGATGTAGTACACCATGACTTAACACAGTGGGACACGGAGAGCTAGAGCATCTCGATGTAGTACACCATGACTTAACACAGGGGGACACGGAGAGCTAGAGCATCTCGATGTAGTACACTGTGACTTAACACAGCGGGACACTGAAAGCTAGAGCATCTCGATGTAGTACACCGTGACTTAACACAGCGGGACACTGAGAGAGCATCTCGATGTAGTACACCGTGACTTAACACAGTGGGACACTGAGAGCTAGAGCATCTCGATGTAGTACACCGTGACTTAACACAGTGGGACACTGAGAGCTAGAGCATCTCGATGTAGGACACCGTGACTTAACACAGTGGGACACTGAGAGCTAGAGCATCTCGATGTAGGACATCATGACTTAATAGAGTGGGACAGTGAGAGCTACAGCAGCATCTCGATGTAGTACACCATGACTTAACACAGTGGGACACTGAGAGCTAGAGCATCTCGATGTAGTACACCATGACAACACAGCGGGACACTGAAAGCTACAGCATCTCGATGTAGTTCACCATGACTTAACACAGCGGGACACTGAAAGCTACAGCATCTCGATGTAGTACACCATGACAGCACAGCGGGACACTGAAAGCTTCAGCATCTCGATGTAGTACACCATGACTTAACACAGTGGGACACTGAAAGCTTCAGCATCTCGATGTAGTACACCATGACTTAACACAGCAGGACACTGAGAGCTAGAGCATCTTGTTGTAGTGCACTGTGACTTAACACAGCAGGGAAACTGAGAGCTACAGCATCTCAATGTAGTACACTGTGACTTACACCAGGACACTGAGAGCTACGGCATCTTGATGTAGTACACCACAACTTAACACAGTGGGACACTGAGAGCTGCAGCATCTTGATGTAGTGCACTGTGACTTAGCACAGGGGGACAGTGAGAGGTAGAGCATCTCGATGTAGTGTGTGTGGCACTTGAATCCTTGTCTAGGCTGTGATAGTTGTGAGCATTCTCCCCATGGCTTGCTGAGTGTCAATCCCTTTCTGAGTCTGGATTGCCCTCCAACATTTTGTGCTTTGCCATTTTGTGGTGGTGAAGTGCCTCTGAGTGTCCCTTTACTGTGAAGGTCTTATTGCCCCATTTCCCCTGGATATCATCGTTTCCCTCACAGCCACTTCCCTGCTGTGTGCGGATGAGTTGCCTTCCTTAGGTTCCTGCAGCACCGTGAGTGTCCCACATGGTAGCCAGTCTATGTTTCCCAGCAGGCTGTCTGTTTCCTGCCCCCTGGCCTTTCTTTGGAATTTCACTTCCAGCACCATCCCTTTTCATTCTCTGGTGCACTTATATCTTTGTTTGTCTGTTCTTTCTTCTGATAATTCACTTCTGCGAAATGTTGTTTGGTTTCTCCCTGGGAGATGATGTGGCCACACAGCTCCATGCTTTGCTGTCTGTGCTGAGCTGAGTGACAGGCACCCTGGCCAATCCCCATGCAGCCACCAATCCCACATGGCTGTTAACATGTGGTGGTTTGTTGCCTACACCTGGCAGCACACTTTGTACTTTATGTAGTTACTCGGTTAACATGCCATGTAATTGAAATCTGGACTGTGTGGTTGGGGGCTGGGGGTGCATATCTAAACTTTGGCCATGTATCCCTGTGGGTTGGGCCTGCAAGGGAGGACAGTCGGATGCAATCAGATCATCCACCACAGTTGTCCCAAGCCTGGCTGACTATGGAGTGAAGCTGGATTCCCATTCCTGGGCCCCAAAGTGGACCTTCACAGAAGGCTTCCTCCAGTGCATGGGGCCCAGGGAAGGCACCTGTGTGGAAAGTATTTAGGGATGGTTCAGGTGTGCAGTCAGGCTTGGGAACCGTGGATTGTAGGATTTGCTGTTTCTGAAACCAACACCAAAGGTGGATGTGGAAGAGAAGAAACCAGAACCTAACACTTAGATTCCTAGAAGAGACAGGACTGTGGTGGCTGCCACCAGACACGTCATGGGGATGTGGAGCCCCAGCCACAGCAGACACAGGGGTGGCAGGGGCTTCTAGGGGACCACCCAGCCCTCTGAGGAATGCTCTGGTATTGAAAATCCTTAGAGACAATTTATGAACTACTCTGAAGTCCCTTCTTAGTGACTAAAACTAGGCTAAATCACCTGATTTGTTTAATTTTTCCTTAAGAAACTTTCTCATTTATCAATTGAATGAGGAAGAGGCATGGGTGGCCTGCATACTTCATTGAGGGTCTTTGACGAGGATTTGCGTGTATGGGATATTAATGAGCCATTGTAGGGTGGGGTGGGGGGACAAGTCCTCAACAATAACTCTGAGGCGGGGCCCGTGGTATATGCAGTTCTTGTTGGTAGAATGGGCCCATGGTTCTAAACCCTTTCTGTACATCCACAGTAGCTGGGAGTGCTCAGATAAGTCTGGTAAGCAGGCCGCACTCCGGAGCAGTGACATCTGAATCTGGTGGAGGTGGGGCCCAGGCACCTGCATTTTCAGGGTCCCAGGTGGTGTCCAGTGTCATCCAGGGCTGAAGCAGCTGGTGGGGGCTTAGAGAGGATGGTGGGTAGGGCCTGGGGTGACCCTTCCAAACCCAGGCAGCAAGGCTGCTGGCTCTCTCCCCTGAGGAAGGAAAGCAGGAGGGTTTCTTGAAGCCACCTGCTACAGGTTGTTTTTGTTTGTTTGACGTCATTCATCAGCTTTGCGTCTCTTCACCAATACTGTCGCTGGGGCCCAGAGTGGGGACTGCAGAGTAAAGATTAATTGGGAAGCAGGGAGTTGAGGTGTGGTTTCTGGCCTCTTGGTAGGTCAGGAAATTAGCTGTTTGTATCATCAGAGAAGTAGCTGGTTGTATCATCAGAGAAGTAGCTGGTTGTATCATCAGAGAAGTAGCTGGTTGTATCATCAGAGAAGTAGCTGGTTGTATCATCAGGAAAGTAGCTGGTTGTATCATCAGGAAAGTAGCTGGTTGTATCATCAGGAAAGTAGCTGGTTGTATTATGGCTGGAGTGCTCAGCTCCTGTTTTCCTTGCAGGCTTTTGTCCCAGGCAGAGGTACCTTCCCCCGCCCCTCCTCATGTGGATGACTGGTAGTGTTTTCCTTACAGCACGCTGGCTCATTCAGTTGGTGTGAGGGAGCTGGCTGGATGGAGATGCTCCGGAAGCTTCATCAGTGGATGCCCCTCCCCCACTTTCAACACAGCTCCCAGCGTTCAGTGGAGCCTCGAAGAATGAGCCACATTGATGTGGCCAGGGCGGGAGGCACGGCACAATGCCGGCAATTATGCCAGATCGAGGACCTCGGTGGGGACAGCTTTTTGGGCCGTGGAAGCGGGGGCGGCCTCCAGCCCGCATGTGAGCTCGTGCCAGCTTCTTCCTAATGGGAATTCTCAGTGGGTGGCTCTGATGTATGACTTACAGCTGAGCCCGGAGAACATCTAATTTCCTTTGCAGCTCTCTTCCTCACAGATGCAATTACTGTAGTGAAATCTGGTCCAGGAGGATGGGATGGGATTCTATTTTAAGGTTATTTCTTTCCTTCTTAGGCCTGAATAGCCATTGTTAACCGCCCGGGCACCCTCCTGGATCCGTCCTTTGGGGCTTAATGCTCCAGCCCGTTAATTCTGCTCTTTAAATTCTCACAGGTGACTGCTCCCTGTCAGCCCCTTTGTCTTAACCTCATGGTTTAGTGCTGCTGTCCTCACTCCTGGTGTGCCCTGCATCATCGGGAGAGCTCTGCTATGGGCCGTTCGGGGTTGAGCACCTGATTCCCTACGCTCTGGAAGTGCACGGTACTCACTTGGTAGAGGATTTGCTAGAACCACAGTTCTCCCCCTGCTGGAACACTAGGAATCCCCTTGCTTCCTTTTTTTTTTTTTTTTTTTTTTTGAGATAGAGGCTGTCTCTGTCACCCAGGCTGAAGTGCAGTGGCACGATCACGGCTCACTGCAACCTCCGCCTCCCAGGTTCAAGTGATTTAGTAGAGACACGGTTTCTCCATGTTGACCAGGCTTGTCTCGAACTCCTGACCTCAGGTAATTCACCTGCCTCGGCCTCCCAAAGTGCTGGGATTACAGGCGTGAGCCATCACACCTGGCCCTTGCCTCCATGTTTAAGGGTGGCCCAGGTTGAGCTGAAAAGGCTGGGTCAGGACCGCTGGGCCTGGACACACAAGTGCTTCCTGTGTGTCCCACAGGCTCCCCAGCACCCGCAGGATGGGCCCGTTCTCCTAGTTTTACAGACACCAGGCTGAGAGACTGGGGTCCTCATCTCCCACCCACAGAAGTCTTCCCACTGTTAGTCCTCCCGGGAGAGGGGTGGGCTCGCCTGCTGAGGTCGCCATGGAGCCCACACGGGGCTTTCCCGTTCAGGCCTCTTGAGCCCTGCCATCTTCTGGGAGGGGAGTCGGAAAAGGTTAAGGACAAGAGATCCTCATCTGTGTTAGTCACAGGCCCAGAGTGGACAGTGGCCAGTTTCCTAGTTGAGAAGAGGACTTGGCCAATTGGGGGCCATGTTAGGCCCACTGCATTTTATTTCCTTAAAGACAATGTTTTATTTTTTTGTGTGCATTCGGGTTCAGATGCTAAGTGAGCTGTTTAGGAAATGTAAACATACATTCAAAATTGAATTATCTTTCCTTTTCTCGTGAGCCCCTACGACTTATTACAAATGAGATACAAAGGATTGTTTTTGATCTTGAACCCAACTTTGGCACAAAATTTGTCTTGCTGTGGATTTTCTTGTGGGTCTGGAACGAGCTTGCATCTGTTATCAAGTCTGCTCAGTGGCGAGAGGGAAGGGAGCCATGTTGAGGAGGGCGCTGGATGGGTCCTGGAGCTGAGGAGGGTGCTGGATGGGTCCTGGAGCTGAGGAGGGCGCTGAGACGGGCCCTGGAGCTGAGAAGGGCACTGGATGGGCCCTGGAGCTGAGGAGGCCACTGGATGGGCCCTGGTGCTGAGGAGGGTGCTGGATGGGCCCTGGAGCTGAGGAGGGTGCTGAGATGGGCCCTGGTGCTGAGGAGGGCGCTGGATGGGCCCTGGTGTTGAGGAGGGCACTGGATGGGCCCTGGTGCTGAGGAGGGTGCTGAGATGGGCCCTGGTGCTGAGGAGGGCACTGGATGGGCCCTGGAGCTGAGGAGGGTGCTGAGATGGGCCCTGGAGCTGAGGAGGGTGCTGGATGGGCCCTGGTGCTGAGGAGGGTGCTGAGCTGGGCCCTGGTGCTGAGGAGGGCGCTGGATGGGCCCTGGAGCTGAGGAGGGTGCTGGATGGGCCCTGGTGCTGAGGAGGGTGCTGAGATGGGCCCTGGTGTTGAGGAGGGTGCTGAGGTGGGCCCTGGTGCTGAGGAGGGCACTGGATGGGCCCTGGAGCTGAGGAGGGTGCTGAGATAGGCCCTGGTGCTGAGGAGGGTGCTGAGATGGGCCCTGGTGCTGAGGAGGGTGCTGGATGGGCCCTGGTGCTGAGGAGGGTGCTGAGATGGGCCCTGGTGCTGAGGAGGGCGCTGGATGGGCCCTGGTGCTGAGGAGGGTGCTGAGATGGGCCCTGGTGCTGAGGAGGGCGCTGGATGGGCCCTGGTGTTGAGGAGGGTGCTGAGATGGGCCCTGGTGCTAAGGAGGGTGCTGAGATGGGCCCTGGTGCTGAGGAGGGCGCTGGATGGGCCCTGGTGTTGAGGAGGGTGCTGAGATGGGCCCTGGTGCTGAGGAGGGTGCTGAGATGGGCCCTGGTGCTGAGGAGGGTGCTGAGATGGGCCCTGGTGCTGAGGAGGGTGCTGAGATGGGCCCTGGTGTTGAGGAGGGTGCTGGATGGGCCCTGGTGCTGAGGAGGGTGCTGAGATGGGCCCTGGTGTTGAGGAGGGTGCTGAGATGGGCCCTGGTGCTAAGGAGGGTGCTGGATGGGCCCTGGTGCTGAGGAGGGCACTGGATGGGCCCTGGAGCTGAGGAGGGTGCTGTGATGGGCCCTGCAGCTGAGGAGGGTGCTGTGATGGGCCCTGGAGCTGATGAGGGTGCTGCGATGGGCCCTGGCAGGTGTGTTCTTGGCCCACGCATGTTCTCAGCCCCAGTCTCATGTGCGCAGCCTCATTTCACCCTCACGGCAGCCTAACGAGATGGGCCTATTGTCCCCTGAGCCACAGAGAAGCAGCCCGGGAGGAAGGCCAGTGACTGACCTGGGTCACAGAGCAGCTGAGTCTGGATAAGACCTGGGCCCTGGCCCCTGAGACCATGCTCCCATCTGAGGCGGGTGTGAGTGCCGCGGGGCGGCGCCTTCCACCTCCATTGGCGTTGGTTGGCTGCTTGGTACCCAGGTTTCCCAACTTGAAGTTGAGTGCTTAGTGTAGACAAGGACAGCGAGTGAGTTCTGATGCTGCCCTCTGACTGGCTGTGTTACCTGGGGGATCCCATCTCCCACGGGAAGGGGACCCCTGTTCCCGGGACGACAGCAGGACTTGCAGGTGCCTTGGCTCCCAGGAGGTGAGCCGTGAGTGCTGGGGGGACCAGAGAGTGGTGGCCGGGCATGTGCAAGGGCCCAGGGGACCAGGAGGTGAGACCCCAGAGGCTGCTGAAGGAGCTGTGAGGACCCAGCAGGGGCAGCAGTGCGCAGTGCCAGGCCCCGCACTTCATCACGGGAAGCGACTGGAGATGTCACCTCATTTCAAGGTGGCCGGAAAGCTGTGGCTGCACACATCTTTACGTGGGGAAGGGAGAATGAACCCACTGGGAAGCGTGTGAAGAAGCCGTGGGAGGCAGAAACGGAGCTGCGTTTGGTTGTAAGGGATGGGGTGCTCATGGGTTTTGAGTGCCTGCTCTGTGAAGGGTCCCATGACACAGAAACAGGTGGAAGAGCGAGGCCTCCTCTCGGGAGCTGCAGGAGTGAAAATAAGGCTGTGCCAGGGAGGAGAGGGCCCCGGGTTCGCAGGGGCAGCCCAGCCTGTCCGGATCTCTGTGGCCTGACACCACCAAGTGAATTTCCTACTCACGCTCCATGTCTGGGGTCACCTGGGTGCTTGTGTACCCTGTCCCTCCGGGGCCTCCCACCCCATGAGCACACTGTCCCGTCACCCCTTCCCTGTGTCTCCGTGTCTGGGGTCACCTGGGCACTTGTCTGCACTGTCCCTCCGGGGCCTCCCACCCGTGACTCCACCAACACCCCTTCCCTGTGTCTCCGTGTCTTCTCCTCTCCCTACAGGGACGTCAATCACTACATTTAGGGCCCACCCTGGATCCAGATGATCTCACCTCAAGGTCCTTCAATAATGAGGTCTGCGAGGACCCTGTTTCCACGTAGTTACATTCCGAGGCTCTGGCTGGACATTCCCAGAGAAGTTAAGAGCCACTCGTGGTTTTGTTATTTCACTTTACCGAAGTTGGGGAAACCGAAGCTTAGGGAGGCTCACCTTGCTCAAAGCCTGTAGTTTGAGACAGACTGGGAGCCTCTGCCCTTGGTCACCCCACATGCCTCAGAGTCGCAGAACTTCAGGGCCAGAGGAAACCTTAACTGGAGCTGGAAGTGGGCTCACAGGTGTCTACTCTGTCACTTCATCCCACGAGAAGGAGATTAATTCTCCTGTCTGTAGTCACCTGGGTACTCGGGGATGAGACGAGGGTGACTCTGGCATCGTGACCTCATTCTGTGTCCTTTCCCCCACATCTCCTGCCTTCGGGATGACAGCTGTGTCCTGAGTGTCGTGTTAGGTTGACATTTTGGTGTCGGGAGAGGCTCTCTAGAGAGGGAGCGGGCCTTGTGTGGTGAGGGTAGCTTGTCAGATGCTTGAAGGCAGAGAGGGTTTGGGGAGGTGGCTCAGACATGGGCTGTTTTTCTTTTTCTTAAATGGAGGGAAGGTGGCCAGAGACTGTGGAGGTCACCCGGATGAACTCCAGGTCTGCCTGCAGCCGTAGGAGGAAACCGAAGGAGTGATCAGGCTGAATCTGCGGGGACGCCTCGGAGCCACCCAGGCTGTTCAGCGAACCTCAGGCAGCTGGGGCTGTGGGGGCACACCCCATCTTCTCAAGTTTTCAGAAAACTTTGGAAGGCAAGTTCATGGAAGCTGCTCAAAAAAACACTAGCTTTATTATTATTTTTTAAAGCCAGATTTTTTGAGAGGCGACGTCAACACATCTTCTCAGCTCTTTATGTCAATTCTTAAAACACTTGCCAGATTCTGCAGGACAGTTCTGAATGTCGGCATGCTCTGTGAGGGCACCTGTTCTTCAGAGCGAGGGTCTGAGGGGGCCTGCGCGATCCCTACCTGGCCCCTTCCCTGGCAGGTGAGGTTGAAAGCCAGTGGAGGTTTTCTGTTGTTAGAGACCCCCGGAACCCTCACAGCCACCCTTTGGTTCACATAGAGGAGGGGCTTGGATGCTTCGTAAATTCTCCTGCCGGAGTTTGAGCTGCTTTAACCACGGTCCTTTTCAGGCATGTTCATAACATGGAAACCAGCTTCAGAAGGCAGCCCTGGGGAAATTGACCTGACTCTATCTGTTAGCAGCAGCCACTCTTTCCTTCCTCAGACTGACCAGGTCTTCTGTGCCCTCTCCACGCTCATGCCTGGGTAGGTCCTGGGTAGGTCCACGCTTATGCCTGGGTAGGTCCTCTCCTAAGCTGAGGACTGCCCACCTCCCCAGCCTGCTCACTGCCTGCTCCTGCACACATCTCCCCATATGCTGCCAGGGCCAGCCCTGAACACAGGCAATGGCTGGCTTCTGGCTGCAGAGGTCAGCGTGGGCCCCACAGGATCTGCCATCTCCAGGAGCCCCTTTGGAGGTGAGGCCCCAGGTGAGCCCCAAATGAGTAGATGCACTGCAGTCTGCATCTACTCATTAACGTAAACCAAGCATTACCTGCGGGGGCTTCTCATGAATGAAAACAGAACTTTCAGGGTGTTACGAAAATGATATGATTGTGTACATAAAGCACTGAGCTTGGAATCTGGTCTGGGAGGATGATCTTTTGATTTTTTTTTTTTTTTAATTAAGGAGAGCAAAGTCATTACTAGAATGTATAGCAAATATGGAGGTTAACTTTGTATCGTTTAAGTCATGTTTGTGGTAACAGAGTTTTAGGCTGTGTTTGGTGTCAATGTTAATATGACTGGGGTGAGTCGTGTCAATGTTAATATGACTGGGGTGAGTCCAGTGTTGACGTTAGCAGCGTTTTATCTCAAGCATATGTGACGTTGATCAAAATGTGAACTTTTGATCCGATTCTCCTTCCTACCCCACTGGCTTAGTTATTGCTGTAGTCCGGTCACGAAGGGTGGTCACACGTTTGGTGTATTTCTGCAAACACGGAGGAAACACCTTATTTATATTATGCAATTTACCTTTTCTTATCATTTGGACTTTTTCTGAGCCCATCAAATTGCTTGTTTTATGATTTTGATTTTGCAACACAGTAATAAATGTCATTTTCTGGAAATAAGTAATGAACATCTGCTTCCTCTGAAGATGCAGTATGAGTCCACCACGTGCAGTTCTCACAGGCAGGGACCCACCTCCGGGCTGATACACAGTGGTGACGGTTTTCTTCTTCTTCCTCTTCTTCTCTTAAAAGTCTATTTGAAAAATTCCACTGTAGAGAAAGCTACTGTAATCTGCTCCTTAAGAAGATTTGGCCTAGGAAGAAGAAAATCATCCTTTATACTTTTGGCTTATTAAATTGAAAAATATGCATAGTGGTGTTCTTATTAATTTATTCATGATTTTATTAATGTTTAATGCTGCCTCTGGTGTTGTCTGCTTTCAATACCAAAGAAAATGCAAAGGCACATTTGATCATGTGTGTTTCAGATCACAGGATCTCGTGTGTTTCTCTTCTAACACTGAAGGCCACCAGATGTCAGTGTAACTTAACAAATCACATCCTACATGTCACGTTGACTTCAGCATTTGGTCTAAGTGTTGCCTTTTCCTTTCCTATTTCAACTTCTGAAGATGAAGAGGGACTTTAAGGGAATTTGCACACAAGCTCCATAGACTTGAGTCATTGGATATCTTCTGAAGATGAGGAGGGACTTTAAGGGAATTTGCACACAAGCTCTGTAGACTTGAGTCACTGGACATTGTGGGAGATGCCTTTTTGCTTTTGCTGTTTCCAAACCTCCCAGCTAATCACGCCATGAACTCATGGTCCCTCCACTGAGCACGGCGATGGTTCCACATCGGCTTCGTGGCAAGGACGGATTCCAGGTTGGGGCTGCAGCCGGGCTCTGCTTGAGCGGCCCAGGGTCTTCTGTCTCAATCCAGGACCCAGGACGCAGGATGCAGGACGCAGGACCCAGGACCCAGGACCCAGGACGCAGGACGCAGGATGCAGGACCCAGGACCCAGGACGCAGGACCCAGGACCCAGGACCCAGGACGCAGGACGCAGGACCCAGGACCCAGGACGCAGGACCCAGGACACAGGACCCAGGACGCAGGACGCAGGACCCAGGACGCAGGACGCAGGACGCAGGACCCAGGACGCAGGACCCAGGACCCAGGACCCAGGACGCAGGACGCAGGACCCAGGACCCAGGACGCAGGACCCAGGACCCAGGACCCAGGACCCAGGACCCAGGACGCAGGACCCAGGACGCAGGACCCAGGACCCAGGACCCAGGACGCAGGACCCAGGACCCAGGACGCAGGACCCAGGACGCAGGACCCAGGACCCAGGACCCAGGACGCAGGACCCAGGACCCAGGACCCAGGACCCAGGACCCAGGACCCAGGACGCAGGACCCAGGACCCAGGACCCAGGACGCAGGACGCAGGACCCAGGACCCAGGACCCAGGACCCAGGACGCAGGACGCAGGACCCAGGACCCAGGACCCAGGACGCAGGACGCAGGACCCAGGACCCAGGACGCAGGACCCAGGGCTGGGCTTGTCTGCAGCCCGACCTCCTCACAGGCGGATGTTGGTTCTCTTGCTGGGTCTCCCTGGAGGGTTCCTTGCTGACAGCCTGAGCACGCTCAGCCTTGCTCATTGTTCAGGGCTGGCAGCTCCATGTTTGCTGTGGGCGAGGCCTGTGCAGGACAGACTTTGTCCAGTATTTACAGCATTTTCCTGATTCCATGTTGAGAGATAAAGCAATTTGCCTGGAGTGCCTGCTGTGATCCTGGAGCTCTGTCATCCAGGGTCTGTTTATAACAGCAGAGGAACGAAATGAGCCGAAACACAAATCTAATACAAAAAAACAAAATCAGGAGCATTTTTGAAGTTTAGCCAGGTATCCAGGAGGCAGTCAGCCACTTATCCAGTGGCATGGGGATGAGAGGTAGTCTTCTAGAGGTGTGTGAACAGGGCAGGTCTCAGGGCATGGTCAGTGTCACATGCCAGCGAGTGGCTGCAGCAGGACTCAGGTCCGCGGGAGAGACTGGGGAGGCTTCCAGAGCGGCACCTGCCCTGGGGAAGGAGCCGATGATGATGCAGGGGGCTCCAGGCATGACCAGCTCTTCCTTCCTGAGATAAGCACCACTGCGGGATCTCAGTGTGCAGCCACATGTCTCATGGATGAGCCACCGGGATCTCAGTGTGCAGCCACATGTCTCACGGATGAGCCACTGCAGGATCTCAGTGTGCAGCCACATGTCTCACGGATGAGCCACTGCGGGATCTCAGTGTGCAGCCAAATGTCTCACGGATGAGCCACCGGGATCTCAGTGTGCAGCCAAATGTCTCACGGATGAGCCACCGGGATCTCAGTGTGCAGCCAAATGTCTCACGGATGAGCCACCGGGATCTCAGTGTGCAGCCAAATGTCTCACGGATGAGCCACCGGGATCTCAGTGTGCGGCCACGTGTCTCATGGATGAGCCACTGCGGGATCTCAGTGTGCGGCCACGTGTCTCACGGATGAGCCACCGGGATCTCAGTGTGCGGCCACGTGTCTCATGGATGAGCCACTGCGGGATCTCAGTGTGCGGCCACGTGTCTCACGGATGAGCCACCGGGATCTCAGTGTGCAGCCACGTGTCTCACGGATGAGCCACTGCGGGATCTCAGTGTGCGGACACGTGTCTCACGGATGAGCCACTGCGGGATCTCAGTGTGCGGCCACGTGTCTCACGGATGAGCCACTGCGGGATCTCAGTGTGCGGACACGTGTCTCACGGATGAGCCACTGCGGGATCTCAGTGTGTGGCCACATGTCTCACGGATGAGCCACCGGGATCTCAGTGTGCGGCCACATGCATGGATAAGCCACTTGTGGTCGTGGTATGCAGCATTTCACTTTGCTTCTGGGAAGGTTTTCCGAGTTTTCCAAGTGCAGGCTCCACACACAGATAAGTTTCACTGTATTAAGAGTATAGAGGGCCGGATCTTGGTTGGATTCAGAAAAGTAGTTATTAAAAATATCTGATACCACATAACTGGATAAATCGTCTCTTGCTGCAGTAAAGTGTTGTGCATGCCCCGTTTCTTAGCAAGCTTGCGGAGGCTTTGTTTGTTGTTCCCTTCCAGTGTGGAGGAGAGACGGTCGGACGCTGCAGCTCTGTGTTGTGTCCTTATCAGGCATCATGCTAAAAAAACATTTCCTCCAGGGGGCTGTTTGTGAAAGGCAAGATTTTCAGAGGTTTTAAATGGGAGGATTTCAGCCCTCCTGGACCAAGCCTCTGCTTGGAGCTAACATCGAAGCTTTCAGAGAGTTTTCCTATAGCTAGGGTGGCCTCTGTGGCCATGCCTGACCTTCGTCTAGGTGTTGGCATTGCTAGGACCCCAAAATCCTAGGGGATGTGACACCCAGGAATTCTAGAGATCTCCCAGGCACCCCGGGAGGATGTGGACTCCAGGCATCCTAGGGGGTGTGGATGTTCGTGATGCTGTCTTTGTGGATGGGGAAACCCTGTAACAACTTAGCTCCTGCTGGGGCCAGGGAGCTGGGGCCGGGGAGCTGAGGCCGAGGAGCTGGAGGCCAGGGAGCTGGGGGCCGGGGAGCTGGGGGCCGGGGAGCTGGGGCCGGGGAGCTGAGGCCGAGGAGCTGGAGGCTGGGGAGCTGAGGCTGAGGAGCTGGAGGCCAGGGAGCTGGGAGCTGGGGAGCTGGGGCCGGGGAGCTGGGAGCCAGGGAGCTGGGGCCGGGGAGCTGAGGCCGAGGAGCTGGAGGCCAGGGAGCTGGGGGCTGGGGAGCTGGAGGCCGGGGAGCTGGGGCCGGGGAGCTGGGGGCCGGGGAGCTGGGGGCCAGGGAGCTGGAGGCCGGAGAGCTGGGGGCCGGGGAGCTGAGGCCGGGGAGCTGGAAGCCGGAGAGCTGGGGGCCGGAGAGCTGGGGGCCGGGGAGCTGGAGGCCCGGGAGCTGAGGCCAAGGAGCTGGGGGCCGGGGAGCTGAGGCTGGGGAGCTGGAGGCCGAGGACTGCAGGCCCTGGCTTGTGTTTCTGGCACAGGACTCCCGAGTGACTGGTGTTGTTGGGGTGGATATAACCAAACAGGGATTTAAGGAATGCAGCCAGCAATTGCCCAAAGCCACGTCCCCTGGGGAGCCCCCGTCCTCACGGGTCCTGGTGTCTTCATCCTGTGGACTGGCTCAGCCTGGCCTCAGCGCCTGCCCCGGGGTCAGCAGGTTAAGGGGTCCACAGCCCCTGCAGCAGGAGGTTTTAATGCCTGAACTGGAGAACCTTCAAAGGCACACACAGAATCTCTGTCTCCTCAGCATCCTCCCATCAAAGTCTGTCCGCATGTGTTCCTGGCTAGTGGCTCAGGAAAGGTCTGACGTCTTCCCACGTGTGACACAGCAGCACAAACCTCCAGCACGTGTCCCCACCCTGCACACAGGTGTTCTGGTGACGTCCAGTGAAAGGGTCACTTATAAGCCTTGGGGCCACAGTGTGTCCTGATTAAGCGATGTTTGTAAAGTTGATCTCTCCTATTGTCACGGCGATACCTTTTATTATAGAAAGTCCAGAGGCTGCAAATCACCAGGAAAAGACTGCGCATGCTGGGATTCCCCCACCACAACGTCTTCGTGTCATTTTTGTGTCTGTCCTAATGGACTTCCTTTTCTTTGGTAAGGACATGAGTAATTATAAAAATGGAATTGTAGTGTTTCTTGTGACTTTTACCCTACATTTTAAACCTCATTACCTTAATTAGGTGACTTTTTGTGCTAGCTAAAGGCATAAAGCAAATATTCATTTCCCCCTTTCCAGCCATCATGGTTTTTTCCAAAGTGCATCATCCCAGCATCAGAATTTCAGAACTCTGGGGGAATCAAGATTCAGCCTCGTGGGGTTTTGGGAGTTTTCAGAGTGGGGGTGCAGGACCCCTCCCCGAGTGGGTCTTGGTGTGCGATCCTCAGACCCCAGGCACTCGCAGTCCCGGCTGCCGCACTGCCTGCCTGCTGCCCACCTTAGCCCACTTCCAGTCCGACAGGCAGCGTGAACAGAAGTGACCTCTCTGTGGTGATTGACGTGCCACCAGAGTGGCCCTTGGAGTAACAAAGGCCACACCCAGGGGTTTGGGCCTAAATGTGCTTGCTCCGGGCACGATTCTCAAACCTGGAGCCCATGAGGATTACCTGGGAGCTGTTGCAGAACGAGGGCAGCTGGGCCTGTGCCCGGGCCTGTCCAGGGTTGCTGGGGTGGGGCCTGCATGTCAGGGTGGAATCCTTGCCACTCCTGCCTGCAGCCTGGTGGAGACATGCTCTTCAGGTCAGCTCTGGTTATTTACGTTTTCACATCAGTACGGCAGGGCCTGCATGGGTGCGTTTGTGTCTTTCACTTGGCTTCCTGCTGGTGAGGGGTCTGCTGGCAGAGGTGCTCACATGTGCTCCCCTGGCCTGATGGGGCAGGTTTCTCTCTGGCCACGTGCCCACGTGCATTCTGTCTGCTCAACCTCCCAAGTGCACAGCTTGAAGGTGGTCCAGACCTTAATGTGGGGGGATTTTCACCAAAACCCTGTGGTGTCTCCAAACAGAGCGAGAATGAACCCCCTGGGAAGCATATGAAGAAGCCGTGGGAGGCAAACGGAGCTGTGTTTGGTTGTAAGGGATGGGGCTGCTCATGGGTTTTCAGTGCCAGCTCTGGGAAGGGTCCCTTTGCTGTGGAGAATCACAGAGGAGGCTTTTCTTTTCTGACCTGCTGCCCCTGCACCCCATGATTCTCCCTCATCAGAGTTTTGCTTTCTGCTGGGCAAAGCCAGGAAGGGACAGACAGTCCCTGGCCTGGGTTGAGCCCCCACCACCCTGTCCCTCCACCGTGGGACCAGAGCTGTCCATGACACCACCCTGCCTGGCCATGGCCCTTGGATCCCTCTAGGGCGGGCGCAGGGTCCGGAGAGCAGGCACGACAGCTGCAGACACCCAGACCTTCCCTTCCCTGCAGGAACATCGCAGGGCTTGCCCAAGGCCGCATGGACAGCTGCATTGGAAGGAGACTCATCGATGACTCTGCATTTTGGGGCTTTAATTTATCTGCCAAATATGGAGTAAGCCCCTGGCACGTGGGATATTGGAGTCTCAGCAGTGTGCACAGCAGAGTCTTGTCTCCATGGAGTTGGAGGGCGCTGACTCCCACCAACGTAAATTCAGTGCAGATGCAAAATTAGCAGAGAAGAGGGCGTGGGGTGCACTGGCCAACAGCATGAGCCAGCCCCACCTCCGAGAGTCAAGGTGAAGCTCTGAGGCAGGTGCTCATTTGCGAGCTGGAATGCATGTGTGTACAGAGGTTGTACCCCCAGATTTCCAATTTGGGGAGGTGCTGGGGCATGTGCCTCCTAGTGCCGTGGACAGCTCAAAAGTCAGCACCTGTATACCCTGGTCCTGTGTCTGGCTGGTCCCTGAGTCCCACAAGATGTATGTGGACTTGTTGTGAGCCACTCTCCCACCGGGCTGTCCTCCGGGGTTCTCCCTTTTCCCAGGTGTGTTTGGAGGGGGTGGCTGGATGTGCTGACTCCTCATCTCCTCTCTTTCACACCCCGTGTCCCGCCTCTCCCTGACCCTGCTGGGCACCGGTCAGACCCCCTTTCCTCATCTCTCTTTCACACCCCGTTTCCCACCTCTCCCTGGCTCTGGGCACCGGCCAGACCCCCTTTCCCAGATGGGAACTTGACTGGCGGTCTGGATGGAGAGAGGCCTGGGAGGTCTGGGCGGCAGTGTGGACATCTCTATGGATTCAGGCACCCCTGCTCTCGTTTTGTCTTCCCTCCACTGGGCACCTGCTGGTTTCCAGGCTGCCGTCAGTCCCCTGAGCCCCTCTGTCTTCCCAGCTTCTCCCTTAGGAATTACCAGCCATTCGTCCTTTTGTTTTCCTTTCAGCCCCTTCAAATTTTGTCTCGGGAATAATTTTGTGCATTATCAGATCATCAAGATATTTTACTAAAGACATTTCTTCCTAAGAATTTAGTTATTAAACTAGCATTTCCCTTTTTGAGTTCCTCTTATGGTAACAGCTCTTCACTAGAATGCCTGGGACCCAGTGTGTCATGGCAACCATGGGGCTGTCCCATGGCAGCCCCACTCCTGCACTAGGCCAGGGTCTCTCTGCCTCCACGCTGCTCCCTTGGGGTCCATCGTGTCTTGGCACCCGTGGGGCCGTCCCGTGGCAGCTTCGCTTCTGTGCTGGGCCAGGTCTCTCTGCCTCCATGCTGCTCCCTTGGGGTCCAGCGGCTCCTGGGTGGCAGCAACACAGAGAAGGAGCTTCCGGTCTATTTTCTCCCTGGTGGAGGTCTCTGAAGATTTTTCACTGCTGGAAAAAGAGGAAGAAGCCCAGTAAAAATAACAAACGAGGGGATGGAGCCTCCATACACACAGCCTTCCTTGCTCACGGGATGAGCCTGGGTCTGAGGGGCTTGGAGCCCGCCTTCCAGGTGAACTGTCAGAGGGTCAGGAACCCGGAGAGCCCCTGGCACCGCAGGCATCACTGCTGCCTCCGTCATCAGGCCCCACGTCCCTCTTGTGCTTGCTGGTGGCGGTGCCGCTTTCTCTTTTAGATTCTGCATCTCGTGCGTGTCGGTTCCTGGGTGATGAGCGGCCTTGGCCACAGGAGGCGGAGCAGGGCCCACCGCAGTCGGGGAAGCTCTGGGTTTGCTGTCTGCTCGGCTTTCCTCGTGAGGTTCTTTACAGGATGTTCTTTACAGGATCTGGGGGAATGCGGGGGGTGGGACGGGGGCTGCTGGTTGGTGTTTGAGGAGCTCACCTGCAGGCAGGACGTGTCCTGAGGATCCGTCTCAGCTGCATGGCAGGCATGGAGCAGGGCTGCCTCCGTTTGTGTAGAGGATGCCTGCACTCCAGAGAGGCTCTGAGGTTGGCCTGAGAGGCTCTGTCTGCATTTGTGGCTGGGACCACGGTGTCCTGTGCTGAGGCTGGTCTCAGTTGCTGGGGAGATGCTGCCTTGGGACCTGCAAGAGGGCAACTCCCAGCGCCCCTCACTTTCACCCCAAGGAGAATCGTAGCTGAGATGACAAAGCGCATCTTGTGTTCTTGTTAGATGTGTGTTGGCTTCATAATGATGCAGCATAATGATGTCAGGATGGCTTTGGAGCTCAGAGAAATGGGCTTGAGCCACCATAAAGCAATCCCGTTGGACTTAATGGCTGTGATTTTGTTGTGGTGATGTCAGGAGGCTTTCTGTCCAGTTTCTGAGGAGCTGTGTGTCTGGTAGACACAGAGCAATAAAGCAAAACAAAAACAAAGCCAGAATGCTGCTCCAGCCTGAGTGTGGGGGAGATGGGACAGCATGGGTTCTGTGCATGACGACTGCCCTGTCCACATAGGGTAGCGCATCTGCTTGGTTCAAAAGTGACTAAGACATTGGTCTTCAAAAAATATCCATCAGTTACGTCATTTCTTTTGGCAAAATTCTTGATGTTTGTGGGGGCCTCGTAAGTTTAGGCATCCTCATTAAAACCTCTAAAGACTGTCAGAAAGCACAGCTTTAACGATGACATAAAGGCATCTGTTACATGAGAAAAGCGTTTACTTCCTCTCCTCACCCCAGTATGAAAGGTGGCCTGAGTACCCTGCAGGTGTGGTCACAGCAGATCTCTTGCATGCAGGGAGTTTGGCAAACCCAGACTGGTGCTGGTCTGCAGACTCGCCGCCCCTCCCAGCTTCGCTCCCTGTGGGACTGCAAGTGCCTGGGGACTAATGAGTCCCGCTTCCCACTCCCCTTGCTGGGAGAGCTCCAACTGACGGCCAAGGAGTGAGCGTTTAAATACCTCAGCTACACCACCCCTTGAATGGGATGGTTCCGGTGCAGTAGGAGCTGGCTGGTGATGCACCTTTCACTGGAAACCCAACCTTCCTTGTCACACTTTTTTTCTTTTAAAAATTTCCTCCTCTCCCCTCCCCTTCCATTCCCTTGTTTCTTTTCCTTCTTTTCTTTTCTTTCTTTTCTTGAGACAGGATCTTGCTTTATCACCCAGGCTGCAGTGCAGTGGCTTGATCATAGCTCACTGCAGCCTTGACCTCCTGGGCTGAAGTAATCCTCCTGCCTCAGCCTCCTAAGTAGCTGAGACCACAGGCAGGAGCTACCATGCCTGGCTAATTTTTAAAAATGATTTTATAGAGACAGAGATCTCACTTTGTGGCCCAGGCTGTTCTCAAACTCTTGGACTCAAGTGATTCTCCTGCCTTGGCCTCCCAAAACACTGAGATCACAGGTGTGCACTACCACACCTGGCCAACTACAATTGTTTCTTATTCCAGGTCTGCTTCTGTGGGAATAGAAATAGAGAAAATTTTTCCCAGTGAAACTGCTCAGCAGGGTCTCCTATACTGACACCCACTTTCAACAATTCACCAGGTGACACAATTCTAAATCAGCTCTTTGTGCCCCTTATTAAATATGAGCAGGCATCCCAGGATCACTGGACACTTATGGAAAGCCTCTAATGAAAGAGCCCTGACAGCCACATGGAAGAAGACAGCATGAAATGAAGAGAGACTATGGACACTAAGCAAATACATAAGACATGTATAACTCCAGGAAAAACAAGAAGACACTGTGAAAGGAAGAGACACTGTGGACACTAAGCAAATACATAAGACATTTATAACTCCAGGGAAAACAAAAAGAAAAAAAATTAATACTAGTCACAGCGTACTACATAGCCTAGTTGGGGATAGCATTTACAAAGTCACAATATTGTAAGCACATAATACTGATCTGATGAAAATTGTAATGTAACTAAACTGGGAAAGAGAAAGTAAGCTTGGAAACAGTGATGTGTTATGGAGAGGTAGGCCCATCTTCTGTAGCAGTCAGAAAATAGATACATCCTAAATCTGAAAGCTGAGAAATGGCAACGTGAATGTGTCATGTGGAGATATGGAGATGAAAACCAAGAGTCAGCTAAATGAGTTGAGGGTGCTTACCTCTGGGGAGTAGAAATGCGGGTGGGGAAAAGGTGGGTTAGAGGTTTGCTCATTTCCCCAACCAGACTTAGATTTTTCAAACTATGTGCAAGCATGATGTTTAAAAATAAACCCTAAAATAAGAAGAGAGAGTTAACTTTGACAACGGCAATAACAGAACAAAGAATGTACTTTATGTATGTTTTCTTTGTTCTTTGTTTACCCCATTCTAGCAATGCAGAAACAGTTAGAAGACACTCACCGAGCCCCACCTGGCTTCCCACCTGTGACCAGGTGAGGCAACAGTGTGGGGGAGGATGAGGCAGCTGCCCTCGGCATTGCCTGTGGCAAGGCCAGCAACACAACCCAGGAAAGGGGACCGTTTTCAGTGTCTAGTGGGATAATAATATCTAGCATTTACTGGGCATACTCAATCTTGCTACCACCCTGGTTTTGAAAACACAAATCTGTTCAAATGCAGTTGATACATGGGGGAGCACTTTGTGCATGATGTAATTTTGCATTCTCCTATGAATGATGAATGACGGGTTGCTAGTCTGGTTGAACAGTTACAGATGGATTTGTAAGCTAGACAGTGTCCCTCAGGACCATGGAATGTGTGGATGTATCAGCACTACAGAATCTTCGAGTCTGCAAATTTTCCCAGCCTCAGGATCAGTGGGGACTCATCATCCTCTCATTTCCCTGCTTTGGTTCCACCCTCAGTGGCCGTCCCTCCGGTTCCTACTCCTTGTTATCATGCACACCTCGATTTACGTTCATGGCATTGGAAAACCCTCCTGTTTGATTGTTACTGTCAGGCCGTGGCACCCTGCTTGTGCTTTTCAATTTGTTTTGTTTTGCTTTGCACAGTTGTGTGTGCATGTAGCTGTTTTTATTCACTGTTATACTTTTATTCTGTATTTGTTTCCTGTTTCTTTTGGTCAAGAGGCCTCACAAGGCATCTTCTCTGCAGGGGAGGAGACTCAGCCCTGAGAGGGATGTTGTTGTCATGTGGAAGTGGAGGCACAGAGTGACTGGGGGGTGGGGAGGGAGTGGCAGGACAGGCCCAGACCTGCCCAAATGGTATGACATTTCGGCCCCCAGCTTTCCTGGGTGGAGCCCTGTGCTGTCCCTATTTTGAGCTGGGGCAGGACACACTATTTCTCTGGAAGGGAAGGTGAGGGTGCAGGGCACAGGAGGAGTGTTTGTTTGGGCCTCCAGAGCTGGTCTCGATCTGAGGACCTGCTTCATGTCAGCCCTGTCCCCTGGCCACTTGGAGGGCAACCCTGAGGCTGGTTCACAACTGCTCGGGGGTCCTGCCGCTGGGAGGGCTGGTTCACAACCGCTGAGGGTGTCTGGATGCAGGCTCCTGGCAGCATCCTGGATGGGCGCAGCTCATGTGGTTCTCTGCAGAGTGGCCCCACATTGGGCACAAGCCCCTGTCCCTACCTCGGAGGGCATCTCCTGCATTACCCAGGAAGTGAGCCTCTCTGAATCTTGTTTGCTTTGAGATTACGCAAGGAAGGAAAAAATGCTGAAGTGTAAGTTTTGAGGGTGTGAGGCATAGTTTAAATCAGGGAGGCACTCTTACAGCAGATGGCCTTTCAGAATAATTAAAAGAGCAAATTAAAAGAGCAAATTGAAAGAGCACTTCAGCGGGGCCTGGGTCTCCACAGAGGACAGGATGTCGGTTTGTTTCAAAAGACAGAAAATAAAGTTTCTTTCCAAAGCTGCAATTTCCTTGAGGCCATTGTACCATCATGTCACAAGCTCGTGTACTTTTTCCTTGTCTTGGGGCTTTTACAGTGTTCTCTGGGGGCTATTTCTGGGCTCTCAACAGTCTTATTTTGGGAACCACTGCTGAGCTGCTTGGCATTCTCTACAGCTGTTGTGGCAAAACAGGACAGACCCCGAGG